>NC_000008.11:20769193-21072223 GCF_000001405.40 Homo sapiens | reverse complement strand
GGACCTAAACTTTGCTTTCAACTCAGTTGAATGGGAATGTATTAGGCACACATTGTGGTCTAGCCATCTATGAGAGACCAAAGTACAGACATAATCTCTTTCATTAAGCAATTCACAAATTGCTTGAAAGGACACAGGATTCAGCTGTACAGATACACAGAGCAATGCCGGTAAGTTATAACAAAGGCTCAAGTGAGTCCTGGAGACAGTGAGAGTTATAGGAGGTCAGAGGAGTGAGTGATGAAACAGCTGTGGTATTCAGGAAACATTTGATGCAAGAGGGAAGCTTGAGATGAGCTTGAAAATGCATAGAATTGCTCTTGGGAAGAAAGAAGTAGAGATTTTCTAAATGAGAGGAGGGGGAACTGCTTAAGTGTGGAGGTAAAAATGCTACTAGTGTGTTTAGGGGATGAGGAGAAGCCCATTTTTGTTGGAACCACACAGGAAACCGTTGAAGATATGATAGGAAAGGCAATGAGACCTTGAACGCTAACTGGAACGTAAACCTTATTCCAATAGCTATGCAAAGCCCCAGCAGGTTCTTGAGCAGAGAAAGGTTGTAAGAAAAGGAGTTTTCAGAAACTGAATCTACAAATGGCAAGCATAGGAAGCAGTGGAACAATATTAAGAGAAAGGAGATCATTTAGGAAGGCATTGTCATGATTTAGGAGTGAAGTCATGAGCACTTAACCCAGGTGAAGGTGGGGGAAAAAAAAGAAAGGGGTGGGCAGGGCCCAACTCAGGAGATATTAACAGCAGGCCCAGGGACTTTCTATGGAGGGAAGGGAGAAGGAGGAATCAAGGGAGAGATCGTGGATTAAGCTTGGATAGAGTCAAAGTTATTCTCATTTGGGACCAGGCTCCATGTGAAGGGCTGTCTTGTCTGGGAGCTCCAGGAGCCTTGGGCTGAAGCCTTATCTCTGTACTAGTTATAGCCAAGTCACCTTCCCACCCACAGGCTTCACATTCTTTCTATGTAAGGCAAAGACAGTTGGCAAAATGCACTTTGGAAAAGTCTCTTCCAGCACCTTCATATAGAATTTTGTATGACAAAGTCCTAAAAAGTATGCATCTTTCTCATCCCTCCTTATCCCCATGCCTAGCATAGATTAATCTCCAAAAGGACAGAGGCTCCAGCGACCCGACTTCGATGTGCAAGAGGCACTGTGCTCCATTCTGCACCACCATGGGCTGACTGAGCATTTATGTTGCAGACTTTGAAGTTAACTAATATTCAGAGGGTAAGACTGAGCTGGGGTGTGCCAAGCCTCATTAGCTTTGTGGTTAGGTCACGGTGCCTGCCCATGAGGATGCTAAATGGCGGCATTGTCAGGATGAGACAATGTAACTGTCTCACTGCATTAACAACCCATCAATCCCTACAGCCACACTGCATGGCCCCTTTCCCCCAGCAGCAGCCTCCTTGGTGAGATGGTGTATGAAGGCTGCAGCTGGCTGTGCAGGAGGGATGCTCATCTGTTCTGTCTCCAGCTTCTGCTGATCGCAGATATGGTGCAGAATGAAGGATGCTGAGACCCTGGGCCTCACCCCATGACAGGACATTGCAGTGCCCATGTCATAAACATAAATAAGTATACAATGAAAGTGACCCCAGGTGGAACCTAATTTCTGCAGCCTTAAGAAGCTTCTTTTGTCATCTCAAGGGATACAGTGGCTGTGGAGAAGCAAAGATCAGAGCAGGTCTCAAATGCAGATGGACATGCAAGATTTCAAGCCAACAATAAATGTCTGACCTGCTCAAACGTAAATCCTCTCTCTTCTTAAGTGGACCTAAAATTCCCACTAGCACACATCCATTGCTCTAAGAAATTGCATTTTTGGTCACTAGGTGACAAGTGACCTCTTTTCAAGTTCCTCCAGGTGGGATAACACATTAAGTCTTTTAAACTATCCTATATATATATTTTTTTCTGGCCTGCTATTAATAATGTCACTTAACATCCACATTATCCTTTGCATACACACAGTAAGTTTTAATATTAAAACAGTCCTAAGAAATATTAACATTAGTCTCAAATTTTAAAAAAGAACAGATCAAATTTACTAAATGCCTTATTTCCTCCAACAAAGTACTCTTTGTTGGCATATGTTAAAGAGTCATAAATTAGATGTCTTACAATTGTTATATATATTACATATATAATATAGTTTCTCTCCCATTTAAAAAACAAATGGCTACTAAATAGCCACATCAAATTGAGGAAATCCAGTGTTAGCTGGCTAGTCCACTGGCAATACCCCAAGATATGGACTTTGGCCAGTTCAGTGTTGATGGGATGCATCAAAAGAAAGACTCAAACTGTGGAGTGCTATGAAGAGGAGGCATCATTGTACTGGGGACCAGAGTGGGTGACCCTGAGAAAGAGTCTGAAGGCTCTTTGCTGCTTGAGAGTGGGGATAGAGAAGAGAAAAACAGGTCTAAGGTTGATGACAGTGATGCATGTTTTTGAGGTTGAGGCCTTGAACTGTATACTTATTTTGTGTAGTATTTGATCTGTCCTCCCTATAATGCCAAGCCCCTATCGTCTACACAGTAGTGTCTTTTTCTGAATCATGGCCCAACAGCTTGTATCAACATGTCTCAAACATACTTGACCATCATGTACTTAGAAAAGTGGACTTAATTGATGAGCATCAACAAGAGCTGAATATAATGTGTATATTTTGTTGATATTTCCCTTCTGTGACACACCTATTGTGAGGCACTCTAGCATGGAGGTTTAGAGTATGAGCTCTGGAGGCAGATAGATACTCTGGGATTGAATCCTGATTCTATCACAGTCTATATGATTCTGCACAAGTCATTTAACCTTTATGTTTCAGTTCTTCCTATCCCTCCTCTAGCCAAAATTTGGCTGACTTTTATCAAATCTAGATCTTTATCCTTATTACCCTTGTATCTCAGCGTTGGGAGGTATGAAAAGTATTCTCTTGGCTACCCATTGCCTTTTCTCCCTCCCTTTTGTAAAAGCCTATAGTCTTTAAGGCTCAGACCAAATCAGCCTACTGCTTTCTCCCCCTTCTTCTAATAATCATTTGAGGAGCATCTTGCCTTGTGTCCCTATGCATTACGACTTGGTGCTGATTCGCTGTCTTCTCCTTTTCAACTCCAGTCCTCATCCTAGGCAAAGTCAGCATGCTTATGGACCCCACATTAGAGTCCTGGCTTCTTGGTTCCTTGAATTTCTCACATTCAATGACCTTCTTTACTTCAGCTGAGCCATTCACTCCATGATAAGATGCTAAACCACGTCATTCACAGAAACATCTCCACCTCCAAAATCAAGAACTTCCATGTTTGTACTAAAAGCTTTTATCCTTCTACCTCAGTTGTCCAAATACTTCCACTGCATGAATACGCTGACCTCAAAACTTTCAACTCATTGAAGCCCATTTCCATCTGTAAATCACCCCGTCTTCACTTCCCACTTTATCCATCTTTGCTTGCTTATTACATAACTTTAGTCAATCTATTTTAAAATAACTCCAAATCATTTGTTGCTTACTTTCTTTCCATTTCACTTACCTTGAAAAATGTTAATTCTGACAGAAACAACCCACTTTCTCTTGTCCACACCTGAGCAGCTGGGCATAGGAGGAAAACATAGAAGTAGGAACATAGATATAGCTATAAAATAATGAACACTGTCTTAGGTCAAGCTTCCTGGAAACTGATTCTGAGCTGGAGATTTGTGTGTAGGAGGATTGTTGGAGAATGGTCACCGGAATATCTCAAAGAGAGAGAGAAAGGCAGGAGTGAGCAGAGGGAGAATTTGACCTATGACACAGTTGCAGCAAAGGCCTTGGCCAACCTCACAAGAAGCTCTGGAACCACGATGGCTCTTCAGAGTTGTCACTGATTCAGGCAAGAGGGCTGGGCCTTTGAGGATATGGGATGCCTCTGGGAAGGGAGAGTAATTACCTTAAACCTTTGGCTGAAAGTAATTCCTGGGAAGTGACTCATCTGGAAGCCACCAGCAGCCAACATTTACATGGCTGGGGGTTCCTGAGGCACGGGCTTGGTGAAGCAGCATAGAACCCACTTCATTATAAACATTATAGTGCCTGGCTCTGCATTCTTCCTGCAGTACCCCTATATGTGAACAGCTTCTCCAAGATTCTGGCTGTTCTCATTTCCTGAAAAAGCTCTTGCCTTCCTGACTTCCTACTTTATGTCTATTTTAGGTTTTCCTTTCCCTGAGCTAGCACCTCTGCTAGCCTGTGTGACTTACCTCCTCGTGATGTGACTCATACGCTTATCCTCCAGAGGTCTGAGCCCCTGGTCAGCAAACTCCTCTTGGGCTGTAGCTGCTACACATATACCAAGTTACTGTCAAAATTGGGTAGAAAAGTGCCAATAAAAACTCCAGTGGATCACTGGAGAAACAAATGTATTTCTCTCTGCCCACCTTGTGTAAAGAATAGCCCAAACTCCATCTGATTGTTAAGGGAAATTAACCTGCCAGGACTGTGAGTGCTTTCTGTGCCAGCTGCTGATACAGCTAGGCCAAAGTGGCCATAGGCAGCAATAGCATGTTTTTGTTTTGTTTTGTTTCGAGACGGAGTCCTGGTCTGTCACCCGGGCTGGAGTGCAGTGGCGCAATCTTTTCTCACTGCCACCTCCGCCTCCCGGGTTCAAGCGATTCTCCTACCTCAGCTTCCCGAGTAGCTGGGACTGCAGATGTGTGCCACCATGCCCGGCTATTTTTTTTTTTTTTTTTTTTTTTTTGGTATTTTTAGTAGAGACAGGATTTCTCTCTGTTGGCCAGGGTGGCCTCAAACTCCTGACCTCAGACGATCTGCCTGCCTCGGTCTCCCAAAGTGCTGGGATTACAGGTGTGAGCCAATGTGTCCAGCCAACAATAGGAGAAGTTTTAATGACATTCTTGGTCTGTTCCCAGTGGAAAATTAACATTGGCAAACATAAAGGGTCACTGAGAGTGATGGTAAAGAGGGGTGCCCCAACTGCCATTCTTCAGTATCTGAATTTATTTCTATATAAATACATGTAGTATATGTATAATGGTCTTGAATTTAGGAAGCATGGCAGTGTTTTGCATCCTAGAAGACAGGCTTCCCATTCTTTCAGAGAATCATATTGAAACTGGCACCTCACCTGTATCCTCAAAAGACCATTCCATTGCTCTATCAGGCTGTCAATTTCTTAGGAGTCGTTGCATGTAATAAGATGAGTGAATTTCGTGGTTATATGCTCCATCTCCCCTCCCTTGCTGTAAAGTAGGTTTCCTGGTCTAATGTGATGTTGTGCAGGATCCCATGTTGCTGGATTAAACACTGATAAAGGCTTTAGACAGTGTGCTGGCTAAGGGCCTGGGGGCAGGGAAGGTAAGCCCATACCTGGAATATGTGTTTATATTATCAAAATGAACCTCTGCTGCTTCTGGGGTGGAAGAAGTTCCATGTAACCCATTTGCCATCAAACATCAGATTGGTCTCCTATAGGGATGCTGCCATATGGGAGACATAGCATTTGTCTCTGCTGGTAGGTTGGACATTTGACAGGGTTAAGAGCTAGAGCAGTCATGATAAGCAGGAGCTCATGTCCCTGAGTCTGTGTATCGTATCCATTGCTGCCACCATGGCCACTCCATTTCATAAACCCATTGTGCAAGTCAAGATTCTGTTATGAGAGCCTGGCTGGTGTCAGCTGGCTTAGTTGTTCTCTTTAAATGCTTATTTAGTCCTCTTCTTGGGTGGATGCTCTCTGGAGGGTATTAACATATGATGTAAAGATCTTCACATTTTGGGCCAGTCCCATAGGCCAATCCATTAGCCTCTTCTCCATTCTTTCTTGTCCCAATCTTCTAATCTGTTTTCTTACAGGTCCCTGATCAACTGGCGAAGACACTATCACTTCCAATGAGGCCATATAGAGCCTTACTTCAGGCCACTTATACTTCCACTCAACGTGGACAACCAGATGTCTCACCTGCTTGTAGTGCTTCTCTTCATTGCTCTTAGAGGATCACCCCCAAGAGGGGATACAGTGCAGCAGAAGTTCACTTTCAGTTTCTGCTCACATATCAAACAAACCCATCCATGCCCATGATGAATCTCTTTCTCCTGTGTCAGGTAGTTGTTGTCCAGAGGTGAGTTGAAAGAGAGATGCCAGTGTAACTGGTACAAACAGAAGGGTCTGGGCCACCTGTTGATGTGGCTTATTTAAAACCTTGGGGTCTACTTGTGCCTGGCCCTGGGGTTACTTTCTCTGAACAGTGGGTCATTGCTGAGCCTGCCTGGATATATTAGTTGGTGGATCTGGTAGAACTCAGCTTATGAAGGGCTGTTGTGGCTGCATAGCCACTTGACGTCTTCTGGTCAGATGTTCAGTTTCTATCGTGCTCTTTAGCTGCTAGTAGTCATTTTTTGAATGGTGTATTAGTCTCTGCTGTACACGGCATGGCCCTGCTACAGAATTCTAGTGGTCTACATTTTGATTCTCCTATTAGGATTTGCTATAATCTCCACATGGTATATTTTCCCTTCACAAATATCTCTAGTACCATAGGGTCTGCCAGGTCTATGGCACAAGCATTAAGCCTCCTTGCATACCTGACTGACCTGCTGAAGTACCCTTTCCTGGTCTGGGCCCCATTCAAACCTGGTGCCTTCCATTTTAGCCATGCAGTGGATTGGCATAGTATTCTCAAGTGTGACATATGCTTCCTTTAGCATCAGAAGAAGTATATTAAGCACTGTGCTTCCATTTTATTGCTGGAACATGGGAGAAGCCATAATTTGCCCTTTACTTTGGAGGGAATGTCCTAGCATGCCCCAGACACTTGGACCCCTAATATTTTCGCTAATGTTACAAGTCCCTTAATCTTCCTAGCTTTCTGCAGGTCAGGCTGCTTCTACCCAGCTGCCACATTGACTTTGTCAATCATTATGACATTGCATACACCTTGCTTTGTATGGTTAAATGCCACCACCTGGCTTCTGTTATTTCATGACTCTGTCATCTCTGTTATTACTAGGGAATTTAGTACTAGAACAGCCTCTCCTCTTATAAACTCTAGCCTGCAGAGGACAGCCACCACTGAATTTTTCAAGAATTTTGGTAATACTATGTTTTAGTCAGTTCCAGACTGCCATAACAAAATACCACAGACTGGGTGGCTTAAACAACAGACATTTATTTTCTCACGGTTTTGGAGGCTGAAAGTCCAAGGTCAAGACTGTTGTCAGCTTAGTTTCTGGCGAGGGCTCTCTTCCTGGCTTGTAAATACCTGCCTTCTCACCGTGTGTTTACCTGGCAGGAAGGGAAAGAGAGAGACAGAGAGAATGGGCTGTCTTGCATTTTTTTTTTTTATCTTACAAGGACAATAATCCTATGGGATTAAGGCCCCCTTCTTATGACCTCATTTAACCTCAATTACCTACTAAAGACCCTGGCTCCAAATAGAGTCAGACTGGGGATTATGGCTTCAACTTATGAATCTTGGAGGGATACAGTTTAGTCTATAGTATCCCCTCACCTATGCATTTCTTATCGCTTTGATAAATGAAGTGTCGTTCAGGTTGTCCCATAGAACATGGTAAGCCGATCAGGTTTTCTGGTCTTGTGCAGTATATCCATTCTAGCCTGGCAAATTATCTGAGCTTTGGTTTCTGTTTGTCCATCATCTGCCACTACAGTTTTGGCATTTCTCCTTCATTTAGCGGAGCCATCCCTTTATCCCAGCTTCCAAGAGATACCCTTTTAGCATATCAGCACCCTTTCTCACAGTACTTGCCAGGGTGTTCATCTTATGTCTTGGAATGGTGTTCCCATACCAATACATTTTCACTTATCCATGCTTGCACCCTGCCACCCTTGACCCAACACCCTCAGGAGCCGGTCTAGTGCTTGGTCTCTCATCTCCTGCTGCTGCGCAGGAGCTACAGCCCATAATCCCTGGTATATTTCCCTCTTCCTTGGTAGACCCAGCATTTCTCCAGTTGATGTTACACTAACTATGGATCTTGTGTCAAACAGGATACAAGTTAGGGTAGCATTTCATATGGAGGGTAGTATGCATGTTTTTCAAATAAGAGGCCTTTGCACACTTTTAAGCAAAAGGAGGGGGAGCATCAGCTTCTAAGAAGGAGGATGGGGCACCTCCATAGAGAGTTCATGGACATATGGGCTTTCAAGGTCCTTGAGTTTATCAACATAGATGTCCCCATCGCTATAGTCCCGTTCCCTCCTTCTCAGTCACAGCCCTAACCTTGGTGGAGCAGACTTGCTGAAGTTGAGAATTCAAACTCCTCTAAGGCTTTGCTCCCCTTGTAACTCAGCTTTTGGCCTGACCCTCAGTCTTTCTTGCCTCCTGCTGCAAGAGAGGGGGTTCTTGTTCTATGCTGCTAAGGAGGCCCTTTGACTTTCACACTTAGCTTTAACTTCACGAATAGTCCCCGTCAGCCTTTATTGTCTTTCTCTAATGCATCAGTAGCACTCAGCAAAGACATTCAATTCCATAAATTTGAAACTTACTATTTACCGATACTTCTCAAATGCTTGAGATATCTCACCTGCCCATACTTGCCCTTCCACTGGTATCTCATCCCAGTTCAACACAAATAAACATTCTAACAACCGTGCCAATACAGCATGCCAGGGACTAACAGGGACTCCAGCAGTCTCCACTGATAAAGCCCTCACTTACAGCTGACTCTACAGAGAGAGTGATAATGCTCCAAAATCCCATTTAAAAAATCTGCTTCTTGATACCAACTGTTTTATGTCAGGTTCTCTGAAAACAGACTTTGGAGATTTGCGTGGAGGACGTTTATTATGTACTCCATCAAGAGCCACACCTGTAAGGAACTGACGGATGCGGGACTGGGCTGAAAGAAGGGGTTGAACTGCAATGCGTCTGCAGCAAAACCTCAGCCAACCCCACAGGGAGTGCGGAGATGAGATAGATGACCCTGCGGAGTTGTCCCAAATTAATTTTAATGTAGTAATTATCCATCAGCCTCTTGATTTCTGCTTTTTGTGCCTTGAGAATTACAGTGAAGACATTATTCCAAACCAAAGGAAACATTTATTTTCTAATATTGTCTTTTATTTGTTTATATATTTACTTCTTTCAGCTCCTGATGGACAAAATCACCTTACATTTCACAGTTATTCCTCTTTCACTCCCCAGGTTGCTGTTGTGATCTTTGGGGAATCCTGGATTGTCAGTAATTGTCAGGAGACCAGAAGGCTAGTGTCAGGCCCATTTTTGGCAAGGGAATAAGAAATAAAATAAAACTCCAAAATGAATTATAAGAAGAGATAGTTTGAGAATATCCAGAAAAAGAAGCAGAGAATCCTAAGACCTAGAATTCTCTAAGAGCATGCCATGTCAGATTTGTCTTTTTTTTCTTAAGTAAAAGTGTTAGATTGCTAGATTAGGAAAGTGTGTTTCTGATTTTCATTAAGGCATCCTGGAAAAAATCGTAGCATATTACACCATATCTTAAGATGTATTCAGAAAGGATCAAAGCACTCTTAGGCAGATAACTTAGTGAAGGATCTAAAGATCTGAACTGATGATGAACTGGAGAGAAGTTTCTAGTGAACTTCTCCAGGGTTTGACTTCATCTGGATATTAGTCAAAGTTTTAATGAATGACTTTTATAAAGAAAGAAGCCAGTCATCAAATTTGTGGATGACAAGAATTTGGGACTGTTAGCAAATATTCTAGATGACAGAATCAGGTTCTCCCAAGTTCTTGACAAGCTGAAGGAATGAAATGAATCCAAAATGATGAAATTTGGCCAAGGAGAATATAACATTCTATATTGAGTTTTAAGAAAATCTCGCAATTACAGAATAAGATCATTATAAAGTAGAAGCAATACTTGTGAAGGAATATATACCTTCCTTCGTGGGATTTAGTTGGGAGTAAATTGCTGGTGACCACCCAGAGCAAATAGACGCTTGGCAACATGAATAAAACTGCATTGTCTAAAGTGGTAGAGGTGGTTATTTTGCTATATCCTGAGTAAGTGAAATCACACAAGAAGAAATGTGTTCTAGACCCCACACTTGACCAGACCAAATTTAGAAGAGAGGAACTAGAACAATGGAGGGCCATAAAACTTTGCATATTGGTAATTGTTTTGGAAGTTGATGGTATCTAGCTTGAAGAAGACAAAGCTGAGAGGAATACATGGTCCCTGGCTGCAAATGTTTGCAAGAATGCCATTAGAGGAAAGGGCTTGCTTGTTCTTTCTTTGCAAGCATTAGAAATGGGACCGTAAGTGGGGACCTCCGGAGAGATAGATTTAGGTTCAACATAAGGAAGAACCTCTATTCGGATTTAACTTTTGAGTGCCCTGCCATGGCATGAGCTGTCCGAGGAGGTGTGAGTTCCCGGTAACTTGAGACGACAGAGCATATACCAGATGATGACATCACGTGTGGGTTTAGGGAGAGATTCAAAATCTATCATTTGGACATTGGACTGGATGAGGATTGAGGTTACTTTCAGCCCTCAGATTCCATTTTACTGAACTGAAGACTAATATTTCTATTGATTTTAAGCAGGTCATTATTAAAATATGGTCTTGTGCTCAGGGCACAGCAAAGCTAGAATGAAGGGTGCCCTTTTAAACAAGAGCCCTTTTGAAAGATTGTGACCTGTTCGTATGCTGTTCCCATGCCTGTAAATATTTTTGAGATGCAAGCAACAGAACACAATACTCCACCTCAGTTGATCCCCTCTTTATCTTCTCTGACCTGCTGAAACCTGCTCTTATGTCCTTAATTCAAAGCCAAGCATACAAGACTAAAATTACAAGACTCAAACTGTTATTTCCTCCAAGAAATAAGATTGTCCAGGGTTAATAACTCCTATTTGTTAAATACTCTATGCCAAGCACTATGCTAAGCACTTGATTATTTTTAGCCATTTAGTCTTCAAAACAATCCTTTTAATGGATACCGCCATTGTTGTTGTCCATTTCCAGATAGGGAAACCAAGGCTTGGATAGTCAGTAGTCACAGTAAGTGGCAGAGATGAAACTCAAACCCAAGTTGTCAATCTAGTAATGAAATAATGCACACTGTTAACCACTATACGTCGCTGCCTCTCCATGGCAAAGAGAAGATTCTAGTTGCATGTAAGAATTCAGATGGCAACGGTGTCCATCGTGCTTTCTGGAACAGCTGAGCTGACCTAAGTGTGGAGCAGGGCACACTGGAGAATATGGTGCATTTCAGACAAGTAAAGGAGCAATTGCTTAGTGCTGACAACATTTTTGGACTAACAGCAGCCACAGTCTGCTTGCATAAATGGAGTCTTATTTCAATTGGCTCATTTGCTCAGAATAACAAGTACATATGCCAGTGTGGATAAAAACAGAAAGGCCAGAGACAGAGAAGATGGAAAGGGCATTTTACTGGTGTCTCAAGGAAACACACACACGCACAAGCACGCACACTTACTATGTTTTTTTCTCATCTCAAAGGTAATATTTCCTCATTGTAAAACAAATTAGAAAATACATAAAGCACAAGGAAGAAGATATCATTTGTAATCATCACACTGCCCAGATGCCTGGATGACCACTGAGAACATTTAGGCTCATATACTTTTAGTCGCATAGGAATAAATCCACACATATTTTTTAATAAAAATGCAAGTGTTCCCTGCACACTGTTTTGTAGCCTCTTTTTCTCTCTGAATATATTGTTGTGAATATTTTTCCACCTCATTAAATTTTCTTCTACCCTGTCATTTTAAATGACTACATAACATTCCACTATATGGACATGCCATAATTGGAACTTCATTTTTCACAAATAAATAAGTAAATCTTGGGTAATTTCTCCCGCAGGTCAAGCATAATTGCTGCAAGAGGTGGTAGAGCAATGCTGAGGCCAGGATGGGAGGAAAGGAGGAGCGCAGGGAGTGGGAATATTGGTTGGAGTTTTGATTTGAGGATCTACCAGGGGCTTTAAGAAATGGGAGCTGGTGAGAGACATTTAAAAGAGAAAAACTGCCCAAGAGGGAAGGAGGGAGGGGAGGTGATAGACTGGATAAGGTTTCTGAGATGGATTACATGGCTTGGCTGTGTCCCCATCCAAACATCTCCTTGAATTGTAGCTCCCATAATTCCCACATGTTGTGGGAGGGACCCGGTGGGGGATAATTGAATCATGAGGGTGCTTTCCTCCATACTGTTCTCCTGGTTTTGAATAAGTCTCACGAGATTTGATGGTTTTATAAGGGGAAGCCTCTTTCACCTAGTTCTCATTCTGTCTTGCAGCCGCCGTGTAAGAAGTACCTTTCACCTTCCACCATGATTGTGAGGCCTCCCCAGCCACGTGGAAATGTGAGTACATTAAACCTCTTTTTCTTTATAAAGTATCCAGACTTGCAATTGTCTTTATCAGCAGTGTGAAAATGGACTAATACAATGAGAGGAGATACAGGTTTCAGAGACTCTTCTTGGGAGAGAAAGGCTGTTTGGGGAGGGGAACGAGAATCTTGGTCTGAATAAAGAACAGAATAGGGTCTGGAGAGGACCATGATCAAGAGGGAGAAGTTGGAAGGCACAACTGTGTCTATTCTACTGTGTAAAATCCTATGCCTACGTTGCCTCCACAGGCACTGAGATGGAGTCCTCTGGCCCTCAGAAGGCCTGGACTGTGGCTACAATCCCTATGGGCTAATTACGCAAGAGAAGAGCTACAGGGAATGGGGAAGGATGAGACTCTGTGGTTGTATCTCCCTGGGAGATTCCCCAGCGGTGCCCCTCAGCTAGTGGCAAGGAGAAGGAGAAGGGCAGATTTGCTTCTTAGACCACAGAGTGCCTGGGAGCCACTGGATGGCCTTCCTCCTTTCTGTCCACCCTCCACTGCAGCCTAGGGACCACAGTATTGTACTGTTCTGTACACACGGGGCTCAGGGTCTGTAGGTGAAAATGGATGTTTATGGGAGTCTCCCCAGGTGGAGCAGACTGATTTCTCTCGTGGCCATGCCTCTTAGTCCTCAGCAAGAGGAACCCAATGCCAAGGGTCTTATGAACGACCCAGAAAGGAAGCCGGAGGCTACTGCAGCCAGCAAAAGGAATAGGGAGGTGCAGTGGGGTGGGATCAAAACTACCTCCTTTTGATCTCTGTCTTTACAAAGACAATCTGACCCCATGCCAGCCAGCCCTTTTACATAGGATTGAGGGGAGCACATGCCTAGCCTTTTCAGACTCGGAGGGGGGGATCTTTGGAAATCTTCCGTGATTCTTGTTATGTTGCCGAGGGAGCCTCAGGATTGTGTAAAGTCAAAATACCACATGCTCTGTGACCTTGAGCCATTGGATCTTAGCTTCCTTATTGATAAACAGAAGGGGTAATAAAAAAATCTATGTCATACATGTGGGGATTAAATGCCAGAATGCCACCTTTCTAAAGAAAAATTCAATACCTACTTTTCCCTGGGAGAGTGGTCTGTAAATGCAGGGTCTCAGGCATCTGACTGCTAGTTTTCTAGACAAATTCCCCCTTTTCTGGGTCCTGGACCTCAGTGTAGTGTCCTAGACCTCAGATCTGTCCTGTCAATTGAACTCGGATCCACTCGTTTACATTAACAAAAGCATCAAGAGGCATATGTTGGAATGGTACTATGAGATGGACTGTATGTAAGTTGCTCTGGCCTGTCCAGTCTATTCTTTCTCTGCACGCAAGCCATATGGGTCCAAAACTTATCAGAGGGATGTTTGAGGATCGTAGATTCAGAACCAGAGAAAAGAATTCTATGACTCCATTGTCAACTGGCTTTGTCAGACTGAAGCATGTATCTTTATGGCAGGTGCCTGCCTGTCAGATGAACAGACACTCACAGAACCCTGGAGGGGCAGGTTTGGAAGATGACTTTCTCCTAGGAAGGCACAATACGATTGATTAGGGTTCTGCTTACCAAATTACAATCTCACTCCAATATTATCTCTCTGAGTTTGCTCCCAAATCACCTTGACTGGAGTTTTGGGTGTTTATAAATCCTCAAGTCACCCAATTACAGATAATCTCTGCACTGACATTTTCAGTTGCCAAATCACTTCCACTGTGTGTGGGTTTTGCTAGGTTTAGCTCACAGGGGAAGATGGCATTCCCCATCCTGAATTCTTGGAGTTCTCCTTATCTCATGATTACCCTCCTGTAGACTACCAATGTAGAAGTAGAGCTGAACAACCAAGGGTTATTATTACTGAAACATTGGGGTGTGTCATCATTTTGTGTTGTTAATAACAAAAGTTAGACCTCAGATCTCAGCTTCCAGACTGGGGACTCTCTCTCCTGGGTATAAGGATAGTAAACTAATTTGTGAAGTGCCAGGAACACTTACCTGACTATCAGTGTCCAATATTCTCTGTCTTGATTTTGTTTGGTCTCACATAGCCCTCTTAAGAAGCTGATATCTTGACATATGTTAACTGCTCATTGCTTTCAGCATTAATGCAGTGGGTTTATTCCATCTGAGGAGCTGTCTTCTCCTCTGTTGGTACAGAACATCAGTCAGTGAATTGTATAAATATTTCTTTGATGCCTACTCTGTAACCAGATAAACACAGAAGGCCATAGACCACAAGTCATGATCTTTGAAGAGAAAACTCCTGAGTGTTTGGTCAGCAGACATTGCAAGTGACAGTAGGCCATAGAATCTTTTTAGGGGGCTGTGGGGCAAGCTCTTAGGTTGCCAGGGGCCCTCCTCTTTTCCTCTCTGCTTAGTAGGCTTCTTGCCTCTGATAACAGATTATCACCAGCAAAACCTCAACGGCAAACTCTCTTTGAGTCGGTTCTCATGGTTTGGAGGCAGCTTAGATTGGGCATTGATGACAAGGCCCATTAGCAGGTTTTGCCATTGCTCCTGGCCCCATTTATTGTCTTCTGTGCCTGCCCTGGCCCAGTGGCAGCTGTCTGAAGACCTCTAAGAGGTGATGTGTTGGCTCCTCCCTCCCCAGTCCGGGCAAGGAGCTGTGATCCCCTTCTCTAGTCCTTCCCACCTTTGGGGGGTCCATGTTTCATGACTCAGTGTTTTTTCTGAACTGGGAGGCTCTTGGGGCCCAGTCTGTTTGGAAGAATCTCCCTGCATCCAGTCCTGAACCTTCCATTGCCACTCCCTTCCTGGTGCTTCTGCCTGGACACTTAACAAAACCAGGGCGTCTGTTTCCACTGAATAGTGTCCAGCGGAGGGTGTGGAGGGGGAGAGCTCAGTGCTGTTTGTTTCTATCACACACATTAAAATCGATGGTGTTTGCTCATCTGGCGGAATGACAACTCATTCCTCTGGACAGGTTGGCTTCACAATTGCTCATGCAAGGGGAAATCTGGTAAGAAACGATAGTCTGGTCTTTGGGAGCATTAAACCGTTGTATTCTAATTTAAACTTGAGGCGCACTGACTGTCTTCTTCTCCTTTATTTATTTTTTGTTTCATTTTTTTTTTTACATTATTGATTTTTTGATTCTTGCTTTTTTAAGAAAGAAAAAAAATCCTCAAAACCAAATGACCAGATGAGAAAATTCAGTTAAGGTCATCACAGACTATCTGCAAAAACAAGGTCCCATCCACTCAGCCCAGGCAATATTCGGATGGCAGGAATGAAAGGATCCTCACACATTTCCCAAGGCTGTTGTGAAGAAAGAAAAGGAGGGTCAGACCCATCCATAGCCCTGTTGCAATACTGCTGTTGACCTATGGGGCGGTCTTTGACAAGGCCAATCTTTTGGCTGCGGGAGGAAGGCTGCATTTATTCTGAGGCATGAGCTGCCAGGATGCACAGATCGGGAAAACCATGTGGAATAATAATAGTAACGTTAAATACAATCCTTATGTTGGTTAAAGTGCTACAGTTTTCCATGTTCTTTCAATGCATTACCTTATTTAGAATCACAGAATTACAGATTATTGTGCAGGAAAGAATGATAGAGAACAGCTAGTTCAAACCATGCTTTTTAAAGAGGAGGAAATTGAAGCCAGGAGACATGAAGTGGCTTGCTGAAAGACTCACTCCCCATAGCAGCTCCATGAAGGGGCAGGACAGACAGGCTTATTCTGTGCTTTTTCATACCTACTATGTGCCAGCCACTCTGTTAGGCTCTGGATATACAATGATGAACAAGGAGAGTGAGATACGCTCACAGAGCTTAGAGGTTGGTGGATGAGACAGACAGAGAAACAATTACACCACGTGGTGATGGTTATGATGGGATGCGGTGAGACTCCTTAAGAAGGGCACCTAACCAAGACTGCATGCGATCAGGGAAGTTTCCTGGAGAAAGTGACTTCTGCAGAGGACCAGGATATGAAGAGCTAGAGTTAGCCAAGTGAAGGGTGGGGCTGGAGGCTGGTATGTGTAACTAGCCATGGAAAATTAGAGTGATCAAGTGAGTTCCTCCCCAGGGTTACCTTTTGAGGGATGAAAAAGAGTCTAATCCCAAGTGCCTGTCTCAGCACAGTGACCAAAAGGGACAAGGGTGGTGTGGCCACTGTGGGGCATCTTTAACATCATTGTCACAGCAGCTGCGGGAAGGACATAGAGCAGTGATCATGAAGAGGAAACTGAGTCACAGAGAAGGCTCAGTCATGTGCTCAAAGTCAGGCAGTTGAATGGCAATAGAATTAAAGCGAGGTTGCTGTATTTTAGGGACTCTGGGGCAGACAAATAGAGGTACAAATGAGCTCTCAGGAATCTGGGTTGGAAGAAAAATGTTGGGCAAGAAAAATATCAAGTTCTGGGTTTTGTCCTGAGCATTAAGCAATTGTGGGCCTCTGTGCCATTCACAAAGTGCACAAGATGAGAACCAGGACTTGACTGAATATGGAATTCTAGAGCTGAAAAGAGCAGCCTTTATGACCTGGAAGGAGCTGTATGTGAGTTCAATATAGGCTCCAAAGTCTGTTTTTGAACACACAGAAAGGCTGCAGTTATCCTAGGAGGCATTGTGAAACGTCTAAAATAAAAGAAAATTTAAATAGAATCAATTTAAATCAATTTTACTTTTAAAAATTCATGTGCAGTACTTTTAAGAAATGGGAAGAATGCAAAAATGAGCCATCTGCAGCTTCCCAGAGAGACGACGAAACCCTGTTCTTCCTTACACAGGGTAGGGATGAGGTGGAATCTAGACTGGCAGGTAAGAGAGAGCTTTTGTCAGTCTGCAGGAGCTGTGGGGTGTCCACCCTTCCCTCACCCTCATCTGCAGAAGCTCGGGAACATAGGCTGTCCAGGATCCATGCTTTCGGAGTGTAGTCTTTGCCCTGGGAAGTCAGAAAAGGAGAACCAAGGAGAGTGGCATGTATCACTGGGCCTATCTCCAAATGCTGGGTTCTTTCGTCTTTGTTTTCATGTCATTTGATTTTTTTAAAGAGGAATGTTTAGAGCATGTTAAGATGTATTCTCTTACTTGTCATCACAGCAAAGTGGAAAAAGCTGAAGTTTGCATCCCAGTTCTACCCTTGATTTACTGCCTGGTGAGCATCCTACTTAACTATTCTAAGTTTTGGTTTAGTTGTTACTTAAGTAGAGAAAATGCCTACTTCATAGCATTGCTGTGAAACTTAAATGAGTTAAGAGCTGCAAAGTGCCTAATATAGCATGTGGCACATCCTAGGTGTTTGGTACATGATGAGTATGATGTTTATTCACCTTCTCCCTGGTCTCATGATTTTAATACAGAAAGGAGGATGACTGTGTTCCTATAGAGAGAAGCACTGTACCGCAAAGAGGTTCAGTGCTGCTACTGTGATGAGAGTTGGAATTCGAAAAGAAAGGTCTTCTGACACTCAGTCCAGGAGCTTTTCAGCTCCACGGGCTTACAATAATATACAGCTTTAGCGTCTCTAGAAATCCTTTCTGATTTCCCTTGGAAGCAGTCATGTAGGCATTTACTGGCACTCAGCTTTATTCTAAATTTTGGTCCCAAAATTGTTTTTTTTAAGATAACATCAAAAGCTATTTCTGGATGCTAGGGAAAGAGGTTATTTTTCAGACAATCTCTCCAAGCAAACACCACCATGGCTCTTGCAGGAAATCTGCAGTGTGTGTGTGCAGCTAACAGGGGTAAGTGGCATTAGCTTGTACTAATAAGGAGATAGAACACCAAACCAAGGCACACCCTATACCCAGACTCTGTGTCATCACAGCCCAGGGTGGTCCAGGGTGGCCCAGGGTGGCTGAGCTTCCAGCCTCGGAAAGAGAGAAGGGTAGCCAGGCAGGAAAGTCTTATATGTGTGAATGATTGTCTGCATTCTTATCTTGAAATAGGAAGCTGGGCTCCTTCAGAAGCCCCCAGTGATGGGTCTTTAGAGAGAAGCAGCTAAAGTATCTACAATATCCAGCTCACCTATCCAAGAAAGGGTGGTATAAGGGACACTGAACTGAGCTCCTAGGAAAATTGGGAAAGTCTAGGAAAACTGGGACTCTTTGACAAACTGGGACAAGAAACTTAACCTTTTTTATGTAAAATATGCTTAATCATACCTGCTCTGCCAACCTCAGAATGTCATTGTAGGAATGAACAGGCAGGTAAAAGGTCTTTTGCAAACTGCAAATGTGATGTAGAGCCCTGTAGAGTATGGAGGTGGGGGTATGGGACAGATTGATGCCTAAAGGAAGCTACAGCAAAGAATCAAGTAGTTGAACAAGGAGAAATATAAACCAGATCTTTAGGGCTTTAAAAAATTAATTACTAATTAATAAGTTAGGCAAGGATTTATTTATAGCCTACTTTTTTTGCATCATGCAGTTTGCTAGACACTATAGATTTGGAGGAGAAAGACATATGCCCATGTTTTCAAAGATGCTGATGGATTGTACAGAGAAGCCTGTAAAAAGATACACTTTAATGCAATAGAGTAAAAGCTGTTGTTCATGTTATCTAATGCCTTGTAACAAAGTGCCCCACAACCTAATGGCTTAAAACACCAATGGGCATTTATTATCTCTCACAGTTTCTGTGGATCCAAAATAGGAACCACTTAGCTTGGTGGCTCTGGCTCAGGGTCTCTCATGGGTTGCAGTCAAGTTGTTGACTGGGAACACAGTCATCTGAAGGTTTGACTGTGGCTGAAGGATGCACTTGAGACAATGGCTCACTTGCATGCCGGCAAGTTGATGTGGTTAATATGGTTTGGATCTGTGTCCTCACCAACCCTCATGTTGAATTGTAGTCCCCACTGTTGGAGGTGGTGCCTAGTGGTAGGTGGTTGGATCATGGGGGTGGATTTTTCATGAATTGTTTAGCATCATCCTTTTGGTGCTGTTCTCGTGACAGTGAGTGAGTTCTCATGAGATCTGATTGTTTAAAAGTGTACAGCACCTCCCTGCTCACTCTCTCTTGCTCCTGCTCCCTGCAGGTGAGATGCCTTGCTCCCCCTTTGCCTTCCATCATGATTGGAAACTTCCTGAGGTCTCCCCAGAAGCAGAAGTCACTATGCGTTGTGTACAGCCTGCAGAACCATGAGCCAATTAAACCTCTTTTTATACACACACACACACACACACACACAAATTACACAGTCTCAGGTATTCTTTTATAGTGGTGCAAAAATAGACTAATACCTGAGTGTTGGTAGGAGGCCTCAGCTTTGTCCCCTTGGTCTTGGTCTTCCCCACAGGCTATTTGCAGGTTCCATGGCTGCTGGATTCCCCAGAGTGAGCCATGAAGGGAAAGGTAGAAGTTGCAATGTATTTTATAACCTAGTCCTGGAAGTCACACATTCTCACAGCTCTATCCTACTGGCTACATAGGTTATCTTCATTCAGTGTAAAGAGGACCAGACAAGAGCAGAAATTCCAGGACATGAGTAGGACTGAGGACCGACTTGTAGGATGGCGTTATGAAAGCATGAACAGTGTGCTTCAGGTGGGCAGAGGAAGAATAGATTTATTACCCCTAGGCTGTGAACCAGGCTTTGAGTGTACATAGGAGTTTTCTAATTGATTAAGACAGGGAGCAGATTTTCAAGTTGACAAGGAGTCATATCCAGGGGTGCAGAGTTGAAATGGACTCTTATGTCTGGGGAACTGTGAGACAGGCATTACAGCAGGAGCAGTTCCATGGTGGCAGAGAGCAGGAAGAAGAAGGTATGTTGGGGCCAATTATAAAATATCTTGAATGTATCTGAAGCCAAGATGTGTGGATTTCTCCTGGAGGCAGTAAGGAATCAGGATAAGATGATGAGCAGGATTTTAAAGAAGCCAGCTAGCAGAGTGAGCAGGTGGGCTCATGGAGAAGAGGCCAGAGGCTATGGAGAAGCAAGGGGAAGGTGACCCATGGCATCTTTTTAGAAGATGCAGTGAGGATGGGGGAGAGGCCTCCCTGAGAGCCAATCTGCTGTAGAACCAACAAGATTGGGGAGTTCTAGAAATCACTGAGCTTTATCCTTTTCTTTCTACAGCTGGGGAAACATTGAGGCAGAGGGACAGGGTTCATTCAAGGATAACGCAGCTTTTCACTAAAAAAAAAAAAATTTAGATTGCTGATTTCAGGCAACAGGGACGTACTCACAGAAAGAAGTATGTGTGTCACAAGAACTCAGAAAGGGAAAGGATGACACTTTGGGAGGTAGTGAGTTCCTCTAAATGTGGAATAATCAATAATGAAAGGATTGTAGGAAGACTTTGCTGATACCTTTGGCTGAGTTACGGTCCTCCTTTCCAACTCTATCTTAAATTTGTCACACAGCATTATAGTTGGGTCTCCACCTCCCACACTAGATGTGAGGTCCTTCCAGCTTCTTCCTATTTATCCCTGTCATTTCTGAATCTCTGGTACCTAGCCCAGTGCCGGACACATGGAAGGAATGTGGGGTGGATAACTGAAGGGGCGTTTAAGCCATAGCTCCATGGTTGGGCTAGATGATCACTAGGATTCATCAAGAAGCTTATGATGAAGGCAGGTTGCCCAATGTGGAGCGAGGAAGATAAAATAAGTTCAGCAGGAGATGATGGCAGTGGGAAGGGATAATCTGAAAAAGCTTTGGAGTCCATTTTAAGAACTTTTAATTGTATTCTTACCTTGACTTCTCATTAAGGAAGAAATTATAGTTCTAGAATATCAATCAATATTACATTGCCAGAAGGAAGAAAGGGTGACTTGGGATGAGGTAAGCAAAGGTGAGAGGGAGTTCTGAGGTCCTGCTGTCCAGACTTGGGTCCCCTGAGTGGGTAGGGTGGCACCAGTGCTTAGGCAACAGCAACCCAGCACCATCCTTCTGGGATGACAGGTGCTCAGTGGCCCTGGGACTCAGACTGAGGCCGGAAGAGCCAGTGACAACTATGGGACCATAGGAGGTAGCTAATATGTATGTTAAACATATGGAAATGAGAGCAAATAGCAGAGCCGGGGAAACAAATATTGAACAGGGTCTGGGCCTGAGACTAAACCAACACAGGGAAATGAGAGGCTGTTGCAAGCAAACGAGCTGCCCAGGGGAAGAGGAGGATGGGCAGAGGGAAAGACAGACTGAAATGGGACCTCAGGGAGCACGCTGCCGGCTTTGGCTGCAGGCTGGCCAGCCCTGCTGGGTGGCCCCAGAAAGACACTGTGCATGCCAAGACAGGTCCAGGCAAGCTGCGAGGGACTGAGTTTGTCCCGTTTGTTGAAGTTTCCCTTTCTTTGCACATTTCATCCCTCCTTAGCACCTTGTCCCCATTTTCAGGCAAGCCTGTTATATGCCCCGACCAAGGCTGTCTCAGGTTGGAAATATACACCCTACTCACTTTCCTGATGTTGCCGTTTGGTTGCAGTGACTCGAGAGCCAGCTCCAGAATGTCCCTATAATAGAAGCTTAGGGACAGACATCTGCATGGAAGTATGGGAAGACTGTGGCTAAGGGACTTTTCTTGAGGCTCAGTTTGCAAAGCAGACGTGCTCTTTTTACCTAGGGGGTAATGTTTAGGCTGTCACTGTCTGAAGACAAGTGGGTGGGATTCATAACCAACTTTCTTCTCTTCTATAAAACAGTCATGGCAGCTGAAATGGTAGTTCCACCCAACCCATGGGAGAGGGCCGGTGCACCAGCCGAGAGAGGAAGGAGTAAGCCACAGGCTGAGTGCCTGTCTGTCTGAGAGCACAGGACTGTGCCCCAGCTGCTTTCTGGGACACTGGGGGACAGAACAATCTGTGTCACACCAGGACAAAGCCCTGTCCTGAACATGTAGGGAGGCTCTGCCATCCGAATACAGGGACTGTCCCCTCTTGTTCTTCCAATGTGGAAGTTACTGTGACCCCTTGAGGAGAGCTTGGAGACGCGGGGACACTATGAGAGGGAGCCCAGGTCCCTCCAAGGTGTTTCTTGCAGGAGTGTTACATGTCTAGAGTGCTCCATCTAGACAGTAGATGCCACCTGGCTGGCCTCATTTATGAGATCCAGTTCTGTATGAAATAATGCCTGAGGACACACAACTCAGAACAGATCAGTCTTCAGTAAATTGTGCAGTTGGAAAGCTTGTGGGAAGAGGTGCTTTAGAATCAGGTGGTGGCAGGGGCCCTTGAGTCAGAAACATGGACAGAAAGGAGGGCGGAGCCTCCCAATGATGAGTCCACTCCATTGATTGCCCAAAGCCAACCTGAGAGAGAGCGTCTTTGGCCTTTATCTCCCAGAAGAAGCAGTGGACCTGCAAATGCTCCCCAGTCCCTGTCCCTCCAGTCCTGGGGCCTTACAAAGTACTCCCTTCCTCCATCTCTAGTTTCTATGACCTGTCAGGAGGCGTGCGGACTGATCTTAACTAACTGCACAAAATGTGTTGTAACCTCTGATAGGTTCCTTTTTTACGGGTGGGGTTAGGATAAAAGGATAAATAAGGCACTACTTCTTCTGTCTATGAGATGAAGGTTGACTGTGAGAGGCAGATTCATCCACAAATGGCTGAGATAAGATCAAATTGGATAAGAAGTAAAACACAAGCTTAAAATCAATCAAGAGAGTAGGAGAGGAAGGAGTTAACAGGGTTCTGGCCAGGAACAGGCCCCATGAAAGCACATGAATTAAGGAAGACCTCAGCATTGGGAAAGACTCCCAGATAGAGAAAGGGAAGGGCCTTCAGGCTTTGTAAACAATATGGATGGAGTGACAAATGGGATAAGGCAGTGAATACTCATTCCTGGAGACTGGTGGAAGCTAGGAATGAAAAGACAAACCAAACAAGCTCACAGTGGTCTTTGTGTGGCTGGATGAGGAATTAGGGTCCATGTTTAAGGCATAGTGCATTTCCTGAAGATTTCTGAAACTCAGAAAAATAATTTTCCTCTCCTTGACATCATACCTGGGTTTCTTGAAGAGAACCAGATTTGCCATACCAGCCCTTTAGGGACTGTTCATTTCTTCAAGGAAACAATACCTGCAATTGTGTAGCTATTAACTGGTGAGCCCAGGTGCCAATTTATGGCCCAACAGGCAAAGGAAACTAAGGAACTGAAATGAAGCCTAAGCTGCATTTAGATAATTTATGTAAGTCACTTGCACAGTGCATGGAATACAGTAAGTGCTCAATAAATGTTGTCATTATTACTGAATCTTTATTAAAACTCAATGAAATAGGTTTTATTATCCCCATTATATAACATAGTGAAGCTCAGACAGGTTATATTACTCCAAGAGTTTACAACTAGTCGGTGGAGCACTGGCATTTGGACCTGGGTCTGAATCTAAAGCCCATGTTTTGCCCACCATGCCTGTTGCTAGAGCAGATAAGCTGCCAGGTGAGGACAAGGGCTATTGGATCATAGCCAAGAGACATTAGAAACTTTGAGGTGCCAGGACTAGAGAGTGTGGGGAGGAGTTTCTCATCCAGTCCTTACTCCTGCAATCAGAACCTAATTGTAAGCACCTTGTGATGGTTAATATTGAGTGTCGACTTGATTGGATTGAAGGATGCAAAATGGACTTCCACTCACCAAGGCTGATCTGGCTATAGCCACCACTGAGTGCCTGATTGGCCAGTAGCAGAGACCAACAATGAGTCCTTGATATGGCACCATTCCTCTGGGTGATCGGCCAGCTACTTTGTGGCAGGTTGATTATATTGCATCATGGAAAGGGCAGCAGTTTGTCCTCACCAGAATAGACACTCCAGATAGGAGCTTGCCTATCCTGTACACATTGTTTCTGCCAAGACTACCATCTGTGGACTCACAGAATGCCTTATCCACCATCATGGTATTCCACACAGCATTGCCTCTGACCAAGGCACTCACTTTATGGCTAAAGGAGTGTGACAGTGGGATCATGCTCATGGAATTCACTGGTCTTACCTCGTTCCCCACCATTCTGAAGCAGCTGGACTGATAGAATAGTGGAATGGCCTTTTGAAGTCACAATTACAACACCAACTAGGTGACAGTACTTTGCAGTAGTGGGGCAAAGTTCTCCAGAAGGCTGTGTATGCTCTGAATCAGTATCCAGTATTATGGTACTGTTTCTCCCATAGCCAGGATTAACGGGCCCAGGAATCAAGGGGTGGAAGTGGAAGGTGGCACTACTCACCATCACCCATAGTGACCCACTAGCAAAAATCTTGCCTTCTGTTTCCACAACATTACCTTTCACTGGCCTAGAGGTCCTAGTTCAGAGGAAGGAATGCTGCCACCAGGAGACACAAAAATGATTCTATGAAACTGGAAGTCACCTGGCCATTTTGGGCTCCTCCTACCTCTAAGTCAACAGGCTAAGAAGTATGTTACCTTGTTGGCTGGGGTGACTGACCTGGACTATCAAGAGGAAATCAGCCTATTACTCCACAATGGAGGTAAGGAAGAGTACACATGGAACACAAAAGATCCATTAGGACATCAATCCCATGCCCTGTTATTAAGGTCAACAGGAAACTACAAAAACTCAATCCAGGCAGGACTGCAAATGGCCCACAACCTTCAGGAATGAAGATTTGGGTCCGTCCACCAGGTTAAAAACCACAACCTGCTGAGGTGCTTGCTGAAGGCAAAGGAAATACAGAATGAGTAGTTGAAAGAAGGTAGTCATCAAAACCAGCTATGACCACTTGACCAGTTGCAGAAATGAGGACGGTAATTTTCATGAGTATTTCTTCCTTATGTTAAGAACATGTTTGTATATTATACAATTGTACTAATACCTTCATTTTATTTCTTTTATTTTTCCTTTATCATGTGACATAAGATTTCTTGACTTCATATCAGCATTTAAGTGCTATTAACTTTCTATAACAGCATTTGGGTTAAGAATTAGTGCACTTCTGGTTGTGTGAAAGATAGCTGTATTATGTTAGGCATAATTATGACATTATTGTCTTTATTTGAAGATTATGTATGGTTTCAGGTGATGTGTGTGGGTTCAAGTTGACAAGGGGTGGATTTGTGATCCTTAATATTGAGTGTCAACTTGATAGGATTGAAGGATGCAAAGTATTATTCCTGGTGTGTCTGTGAGGGTGTTGCCAAAGGAAATTAACATTTGAGTCAGTGGACTGGGAGAGGCAGATTCACCCTCAATCTTGGTGGGCACCATCTAATCAGCTGCCAGCGCAGCTACCATAAAGCAGGCAGGAGAAGATGGAAAAACAGACTTGCTGAGTCTTCCGGCCTCCATCTTTCTCCTGTGCTAGATGCTTCCTGCCCTTGAATATCAGTCTCCAAGTTCTTCAGCTTTTGGACCCTTGGACTTACACCAGTGATTTGCCAGGGGCTGTCAGT
Organism: Homo sapiens; assembly: GCF_000001405.40. Classification (NCBI taxonomy): domain Eukaryota; kingdom Metazoa; phylum Chordata; class Mammalia; order Primates; family Hominidae; genus Homo; species Homo sapiens. Next base: position 21,046,534 of record NC_000008.11, on the reverse strand, counting down.
CCTTCAGCCACAGACTGAAAGCTGTACTCTTGGCTTCCCTACTTTTGAGGTTTTGGAACTCATACTGATCCACCACTGTCCTCCTTGCTCCTCAGCATGCAGATGGCCTTTCGTGGGACTTTACCTTGTGATCATGTGAGTCAATTCTCCTTAATAAACTCCCTGTCATATATACATATATTCTATTAGTTCTGTCCCTCTAGAGAACCCTAATACACACCTTCATTAGGAAGTCATCACCATATTGGCTGAGAAGGCCACCACGGATTGGGGAGCTCTTTGGGAAGACAGCAGGTTCAATCAGATACAGCCAGACTCCTCTACCCCTGTGCGGCAGGTACTTCTTGGGTCAGCCTGGCCCTGGCTGACATCAGAACAGACCAAATGAGAGCTCCTCATTCTTACTTGTGGAATCAATATCTGCAGCATCCCTGGGGCTTGACACTTGTAGTGTCTCCCTTTAGGGAGAGAAAGTCTGCATCTTCCAGTAACCCTTCACACAGCAGGGCATCGTGGAGGGCATCTTTGTCAGGCTTTCTTGATAATCTGGCTCCAGCCATGTGGGAGTCAGTATGGCCCACAGAAGAACTGCACTGGATTCTACCTTCATGTTTAACAAGCAGTTGTTCACTTTGTTCTCTTTTTCCTTGCACAGTGCTCTTGTGTCTACTTCCCTCCTCATCCTCAATCTGAGCCTACAGGACCACCCTCAGGAGCCATCTGCGCCCTACCTATAGTTTAACACCCAACTTAGATTCAGGACTGTCCTGCCTTTGGAGTCAATTAAGAGAATTCAGCTTCAAGGTAGACTTGCTGCCAGCATTGCTCAGACCTTCTACCTCGGTTCAGGACTGCTTTTTATTGTGATTTCTAAGGCTAATCCTCCACTGGTATATGTGAGCTCCAGCACCCGGACTGGAGCTTTGTCTGGATTATTTGCCCAGTCAGTACTCCATTGCCTCTGGGCTGAGTTTCCACCTTGCTTTCTTTTTTTTCTTTTTTTCTTTTTTTTGAGACGGAGTCTTGCTCTGTTGCCCAGCCTGGAGTGCAGTGGTGCAGTGGTGCAATCTCGGCTCACTGCAAGATTCTCGTTCCCCTCCCCAAACAGCCTTTCTCTCCCCAGAAGAGTCTCTGAAACCTGTATCTCCTTTCATTGTATTAGTCCATTTTCACACTGCTAATTTTTTGTATTTTTAGTAGAGACAGGGTTTCACTGTGTTAGCCAGGATGGTCTCGATCTCCTGACCTCGTGATCCCCCCACCTCGGCCTCCCAAAGTGCTGGGATTACAGGAGTGAGCCACTGCACCTGGCCCCCCACTTTGCTTTCTTTACCAATCTTTGGAGTTGATGGTTGATATAGTTTGGATGTTTGTCCCCTCCAAATCTCATGTTGAAATGTGATTTCCAGTGTTGGAGGTGAGGCCTGGTGGGAGGAGTTTCAGTTATGAGGGTGGATCTCATGGATGGCTTGGTGCTGTCCTCACAGTAATGAGTAAATTCTCAGTCTATTAATTACCCCAAGATCTGAATGTTAAAAAGAGCCTGGTACCTCCTCTTGTCTCTCTTGCCATATGACAAGCCTGCTCCCCCTTCACCTTCCACCATAAGTAAAAGTTTCCTGAGACCCTCACCAGAAGCAGATGCTGGTGCCATGCTTCTTGGACAGCCTGCAGAACTATGAACCAAATAAACCAAACAAATAAAAGATCTTTATAAATTACTCAGCCTCAGGTATCCCTTTATGGCAGTGCAAAATGGACTGACACAGTGATGGTCACCTGTTTGTCTTCTCACATTTCCATATCACTGTCTCTGAATCCCATCACCTACCTTTTTTGTGGGTCACTGCTTATTGAACCCGGGAGTGCCTTCCTGCTACCATATACTGTCTGTTTCCTTTCATCATACCCTTTAGGATCAAACCCTCTCTCCTTGCCTGCTTAATCCTGGGTGGACTCTGAAGCTTCAGAGCATGTCTACAGATCCCTAAATCTCATGTTCTCAACATCAGCCAACAGCATAAGCTAGCCAGACTGGGCTTCCTGGACTGCTGGGCATTGGCCGACCTGGAGACCTATTAAGAATTTCATTTTCAAATCCCAGGTGATATTGACACACATTTTAGGGAAACTTGAGCAAATTTCATGTTCTATTAGTATTTGCAAAGTAAGAAAGTCAAGTCATTATGAAATGATATCCTATTAACTTACATTAATGAAAGTGACACAGCATAAAGTCATTCCTCTTGGTCCAGACATTGCCCCAGCCTGCCTGGTGGTGCTACCTGGTACCCAAGCACATCTCCAGCTCCCACTCTGTGCTTGGAGGGGTGCAGTGAAGACATGGCACAGGTTCCAGGTACCATCAGCTGAAGATTCCAACCAGGTGGGAGGTAGGAGGTGGGATAGTGCAAGGTGGGCTTGGAGGATGGTGGGGAGGAGGTGGGCTTGGTGGATGATGGGAAGGAGATGGGGTGGTGGAAGGTGGGGAGGAGGTGGGGTGGTGGTGGAAGGTGGAGGGGAGGTGGGGTGGTGGAAGGTGGGGTGGAGGTGCGGTGGTGGAAGGTGGGGGGGAGGTGGGGTGGTGGAAGGTTGGGGGGAAGTGGGGTGGTGGAAGGTGGGGGAGAGGTAAAGTGGTGGAAGGTGGGGGGAGGTGGGGTGGTGGAAGGTTGGGGGTGGTGGAAGGTAGGGGGGAGGTGGGGTGGTGAAAGTGGGGGGAGGTGGGGTGGTGGAAGGTCGGGGGGAGGTGGGGTGGTGGAAGGTGGGGGAAGGTGGGGTGGTGGAAGGTGGGGTGGTGGGAGGTCAGGGGGAGGTGGGGTGGTGGGAGGTGTGGGGTGGTGGGAGGTCAGGGGGAGGTGGGGTGGTGGGAGGTGGGGGGAGGTGGGGTGGGGGGAGGTGGGGGGAGGTGGGGTGGTGGGAGGTGGGGGGGGAGGTGGGGTGGTGAGAGGTGGGGAGGTGGGGTGGTGGAAGATGGGGAGGTGGGGTGGTGGAAGGTGGGGGGAGGTGGGGTGGTGGAAGGTGGGGGAGGTGGGGTGGTGGAAGATGGGGTGGTGGGAGGTCAGGGGGAGGTGGGGTGGGAGGTGTGGGGTGGTAGGAGGTCGGGGGGAGGTGGGGTGGTGGAAGGTGTGGGGGAGGTGGGGTGGTGGAAGGTGGGGAGGTGGGGTAGGGGAAGGTGGGGTGGTGGAAGTTTGGGGGGAGATGGGGTGGTGGAAGGTGGGGAGGTGGGGTAGGGGGAGGTGGGGTGGTGGAAGGTGGAGGGGAGGTGGGGTGGTGGAAGGTGGGGGGAGGTGGGGTGGTGGAAGGTGGGAGGTGGGGTGGTTGGAGGTCGGGGGGGAGGTGGGGTGGTGGGAGGTGTGGGGAGGTGGGGATGTGGGGAGGGAGGTGGGGTGGTGGAAGGTGGGGGAGGTGGGGTGGTAGATGGAGGGGAGGTAGGGCGGTAGAAGGTGGGCTATCTTGCTGGGGCTTTGAATCACCAGGTTTTCTCAAAATGACTAGGGATGCACTCTGGGGTGAAGAGCATAGTTTTGCCAGTCAATCCAAATAAATCTGAGACTCTTAGACTTAGAACCAACCCTGAACATCCTCATTGTCACAGTGCAAGGCAGACAGAAGTCCTTTCCTTCCATGACCACTTCTTACCCTCTTACAGCTTGTAATGTTAATTTGTGACAACTCCCTCTTCTTTCTCATCAGGGAGAAAGATGATGGCTATTTTAACCTGATCTGACCTTAGAACAGACATATGGGCAATAAGAACCAAATGGGATAAACAAGAGTAAGATTTTCCTCCCTCTCACCCAGTACAGTATGGTGTTCGGGTTCTCCAAGAAGGCCTGGGCCAATTTTCCAGCGCTGACTGGAACTTCTACAGAGGACCCTGTCACTATCCTTAGAGACCTAGCTAGAGGAAGCCCTGGCTTGGTTCAGGGGAGATTGACAAACAGTTAAAGTGATGCCTGGTGACATGATCAGTGAAATACTACCCCAGGGTCTGAGTCTGGGGGGCTTCCAGGGCCTCCTTTCACCAGAGTCAACTACAGGCAGTCCTTTCTCCTGGTATTTTAACCATACAAACCTGCATAAGAATACCTGTCATCAGGTGAGAAGCAGGAAGGCTCAGAGATACAAATGACCCCCTGAGACCACGGCTCTCTCCACAGCTGTCCCAAAGATCACTTGCATAAACGTCATGGTTTCAGTCCTGAAATTTTTTCTTTAGAGGGTCAGTCATCTGTCTCAGAATGTCAGAACTGGAAGTGACTTAGAGGTCATCGGGTACAGCCACTCTCAAACCTTCTTTGCTCACAGACCCCATTGAGAATCTGATGAAAATTGTGACTGTTTTCCCAGGTAAATGCACATGTACATAATACCCATTCACAGGAGTTCTCGTATATAATTTTTAGGGAATTTTTTGGCCCTCCAAGCCCATTCATGGGCCCTGGATAAGATTCTTTGATCTGTCTCTAGCTCTACATTTCTTAGACAAGGCACAGAGATGACACGCAACTTGCTCAGTGTCACACAGTCTAGTAATGGCCGAGCCAGAGTCAGGACAGTTTACTTCCTGCCGTTCCAGTGTTTCTCCAAGGCCTCCTTAAATGCTTAGGTCTTGAACCCTTTACAGGCCTCCTGTGTTTCCTCTGAAAATGGGAATACCTGAAGGGGTCACCCCTTTGACTGCTGCAAACTAGCAGGGTCCTAGGGGGCTGGCTGAGGGTCATGGGCCAGGAAGACATCTCAGGTCATCACAGGGAAAGCAGCATAGCTGTAGCTGAGCAGGGAGTCTGCGGTCAGCCAGTTCTAGATCAAATCATTTCTCTGCCACGTGACTCTCGGCAGGTTAATTAACTTCTCTGCACCTTAGTTTTCTCAGCTCCAAAATAGTAATGATAGCAATGCCAATGACATTTGTGGTGGGAGGTCAAGCACCTAGGGGGTATTGGACTGAATGGTAGCACCGTCCTTTTCACTTTGCTGTTTTTCTGGGGTGGCCTCAGCAGCCCCGGCCACACTGCAGCCTGCCACTGCACCCAGAGCCAGGTTGTGTGAATTTTGTACTTCCCCTTTAATCATTCTCCCCTAGCTCAGCCTTCTTCCTGGCTGGCCCTGAGTCTTAGGCCTCCTGGTCAGGAAATACGATGCCAGCAGCAGAGAAGTTCGGTCCTTAAATAACTGCCTCCCCTGCAAGGTTAGCCGCTGCCGCTCCCCCGCCCCTCCCCGCTGCCTGTCACTGGCTGGGCTGCCGGCTGCGGGGACAGTGTGCCCCCTGCTGGCCACCTGGCCCTGGAAAGCTGCGGGCCATGGCCAGGCAGTCTCCAGGCTGAAGGGCTGGAGGAGTTGGAGGTCGGCCTCCTGCAGGGGCTGAAGTGGGGAGAGATCTAGGACGAGGGGGGTGGGCAGAGCTGCGGTCACATTCCTAGGTAGTGCTAGTGTTGGGGGGAAGCGGAGCTCCTGGTGGCCGGCCTGCAGATCCCCTGTCCCCCACATATTATCCAGCTGAAAAGAACCCCAGGGGCGGTGTGGTACCCTGGGAGAGGGGAGAGGGGAGAGGGCGGGGAAGTGGAGGCCAAGGTGAAGGGCGGTGGCAGGAGAGGCCAAGGTTTACATCAGGGTCTCAGGCTCATAGGCTTTGGGTGTGTGTGTGTGTGCATGAGAGAGGGGGAGAGACAGAGACAGAGATGAGAGACAGAGATGAGATACAGAGACAGAGGCAGAGACAGAGACAAAAAGACAGAGAGGCAGAGATAGAGACAAAAAGAGAGAGGCAGACAGAGACAGAGAGATAAAAAGATACAGATAGAGACAGAGATGAGGGAGGGAGAGACAGACAAGTTGAGACAGAGACAAAGACAGAAACAGAGATAGAGACAGAGACAAAAAGAGACAGAGACAGAGACAAAAAGAGGCAGAGACAGAGACAAAGAGACAGATGTAGAGAGACAGAAGAGACAGAGTTAGAAACAGGCAGAGACAGAGATAGAGAAGCAGAGACAGTGAGAGGCAGAGTTAGAAACAGAGGCAGAGACAGAGGCAGAGAGGCAGAGAATGAGAGGGAGATAGAGATAGAAAAACTAGAATAGAGAGAGACAGAAGCAGAGAGGGAGGGAGGGAGAGAGAATATCTGACTTGTTCGGCACACGCCAGCCCCTCCCCTTTGGGCGCGGGCGTCCATGGTCTGAGACGCAGCCTGTGGCTTTGGGGATCCTGCCTGGTTCCCGCCACAGGACACAAAAGCCAGACCAGCTGAGGCAGGAGGCTGAGCAGGTGAACGACAGAAACGGCCCAGGGCGGCAGCGCCCCCTCCAAGTCGGAGCTCCCTGATGAAGGGACGAAGCAAGCGCATCTCTTATCTTTCGTGAACAGTTAAATTCCCCTACATCAAGCACAAATAGAATCCATGCCTGCAAGGCTGGGCTGGCCCGTTCCCGTTTAGAGCTGCTGCTTGCCTTTCAATTTAGTCTTAAGATGCGATGGATACAAATTGCAAAGGTTTGGTCAGCTTTTGAGCGGAAAGCAAATTTTACAGCAAGGAAAGGGGAGGTGGGAAGTGGCAGGAGGCAGAGGGGAAAATAGCTGAAATAGAAAAATTGCTGAAAAGCCTCCTGCAGCCTGTCAGGAGTATTAACTTAGGATGATGTAGGAGAAACGACTAAGTGGTTTTTGTGTCAGCTACACTGAATCAAACTTGTTCAAATATATGCATGTGAGCGTGCGTGGCAGCCAGCAGAACCCACCTCAGAAATGGGAAACAGCTTTTTAGTTTTAAGGGTTTCTTATGGTTTGCAAGTATGAGAAAAGCTATACATAAATTAGATTTGAAAGGGAAAGATGGATGGGGATGGCAGCTGTCTTGGGTTTCTGCTGGAGGGATGGCAAGGGCTGAGAGGCCAGGTCCGGGCTCCCCAGAACACCCCATCTTCCTCCAAAAGTAAAGAGAGCCAGGGAGCAGGAAGTGGGCGTGGGGGCTGCTGCAGGGTCCATTGGGCCAGGGAGAGGCAAGGCCTTGATTGTGAGGGAGAGTTCAGGGCCGGAAGGAAATGGGGTTGCACTCTGAGACCTGCAGGAAGGAAGAGTCTTTTTCCTGTATCTTTCTCACCCCCCAGTTCCAGATGCCTCCACCCAGAGCATAAACTGCTGTCTCTCTGCTCCCCAAGGGAGGTACAGCACAGAGAGAAAGAGCACTCTCAGGTCCAGGCCGTGCACGGTGGCTCACACCTGTAATCCCAGCACTTTGGGAGGCCAAGGCTGGAGGATCGCTTGAGGTCAGAAGTTTGAGACCAGCCTGGCCAACATGGTCAAACCCCGTCTCTACTAAAAATGCAAAAATTAGCCTGGCATCGTGGCGCGCGCCTATAATCTCAGCTATTCAGGAGGCTGAAAGAGGAGAATCGCTTGAACCTGGGAGATGGAGGTTGAGGTAAGCTGAGCTTGTGTACTGCACTCCAGTCTGGGTGACAGAGTGAGAATCCATCTCAAACAACAACAACAACAAAACCCAGCACCTTCAGGTCCAGGGTGGCAGTTCCTGGGCCTGCCTTTACCAGTTCCTGGGCCTGCACTAACCAGTCAACTTCAGACATTTGCTCCTTTATTCAGTGCTTGCTGCATGATAGGTTTTTTTCAAATTCATTCATTTATTTAAAACACATGTCATAAACACATATGATATGTGCTATGGACCAGACATTATTCTAAGTGCCTTACAGTTATTGATTAATTCAACCATCATAACTGCTGTTATGGAGGAAGCATTGTTGCAAATAATCATTTTACAGAGAAGGAAAGTGAAGACCAAGGAGACCCATTTGCCCAGGGACATACCCTACGGTGACAGTGAAGGAGTCAAGCCCTTGTATAATCCTCTCTCTTTGAGGGCAGGGGAACCTCTGACTTGCTTCTAAGCAATAAAATGCAGCAAAGCTGAGATGTCCCTCCGTGATCAGGTTACATTGTATTAGAGTGTGTCTGAGCAAACTGGAGAGAGACATGCTCTCCTGCATGGCCCTGGCATATGTGGGAAGGGCCACATGGCAGGGAGCTGTGGGCGGACGGAGCTGAGGGCCTCAGACCTGCAACCACTGGTTGCTAAATTCTGCCAACACCTGGAGACCTTGGAAGAGCACCCCCAGCTTCAGATGAGATCATTGCCCCAGATGACACGTTATTGTAGCCCAGTGAGATCCTGAGCAGGGGACTCAGTGTAGGGCCTGGGCTTTTGACCCACAGGAACTGTGACATAAGGAATGGGGGTTGCTTTAATCTACTAAGTGTGCAGTGATTTGTTAGGTGGCACCAGAAGCCTAATACAATGGCTGGGCCAAGTTTGAGCCCCTGCCTTTATGTTGCCCTGTGCTGCTGCTTGCATAGCCATTGTTTCTCACATTCCTTATGGCAACTCTGAAAACCAGGTTCTTTGATTTCCATCTTATGGTTAAGGAAACTGAGGCTTGGAGGGTCAGTGGACCGTAGTCCCACAGCTGCGAAGGCCCCATTTGGAATTGAAACATCTGTCCTTTCTCCACTACCTGACATTCTCTCTTTCTGTGTTCACAGCTTTAGGCTGGAGTACACTGTTCTGTAAGGTTAAAGGCTAGACTTGCTCTGTGGGTCTGCTGATGTCTGCTCACCTGTTGGGTGATTGCATTAGCCTGTTCTTGCACTGTTAGAAGGAAATGCTTCAGACTGGGTAATTTATAAAGAAAAGAGGTGCAGTTGGCTCGCAGTTCTGCAGGTGGTACAGGAAGCGTAGTGGCTTCTGGGGAGGCCACAGGAAGCTTTCAATCATGGCGGAAGGGGAAGGGGAAACAGGCAGGCCTTACATGGCTAGAGCAGGAGGGAGAGGGGGACGCACCACACCCTTTCAAACAACCAGATCTTGTGAGAACTCTATGGTAAGAACAGCACTAGGGGGCACGCTAGGAGGCTGGTGCGAAACCATTAGGAACTGTACCCGTGATCCAGTCACCTCCCACTAGTGCCCACTTCGGCATTGAAGATTACATTTCAACAGGAGATTTGGGTGGGGACACAGATCCAAACTGTATCAGTGACATTCTTACTCCCCTTTCTCCTCTCCTTCCTTGCTTTTCCTTCAACTTTTTCAACATCTTCCCTCTTCTCTCCTTTCCCTGCCTTTCTTCCTTTGTATCCTGCATCCTCCTTCCTGTAGTTTCCCTGATATCCAATTCACTGCCTTTTATTCCCACCTTCACTAAGTGCCTCACAAATGCTGGACGATGAGATGGGGCTGGAAGGTACAAGACAGTCCTTCAGTCCCATGTTTCTCTTTATCTCTCCACTTCTTTCCTTTTCCTGTCACTTAAATCATCTCTTGTGTTTTGCATCCCCACAGCTGGTCCTGAAGGTCAGCAATCTGGCACTAGAAGGTTCTGACCCATCCTGGGAATGCTGTGGGAGAAGATACCTGATTCCAGGGCGGTTCAGGAGCAGGTATCATCCTCACTGCTGGCCTGCCGCTCCGGGACGCCCCTCCCAGCCCTTGGACCCACCTTCACATGGTGACCAGCACTCCTGTCAAAGCAGGGCCCAGGCCCGCCCACCACTCCTTCCCATCTAGTTCCTCTCCATGGTCACCATTCTATTCCTGCTCCTGACATCACCTTAGCTAAACTGCTCTCTATGTGCTGATCATTGCGGATTGACAGCCTGGAGGACAGCCCAGGGAACGGCTGCCCCTCCACTGACCTCTTCCATCTGGCCTGTCCCTTGGACAGAAAGTGGGAAGACGGTCAGTGAAGAAACAGTTCTTGGCACCTTCACCAGAAGGCGGGCAAACCGTGCCAAGATTGCTTGTCCCCAGGCCAGAGGATGGGTGGCACAGCGCCCAGGAGGTTTCGAAGGCCCTTGTTATGATACGAGACAATGAAACCACTCTCAGCCCTGGGTTCTTTGCAATTTGCCTTCTCCATTCCCAGCCTGGACCTCCAAGAGAACATTGCAGTCAGTTCTCAATGCCTGCGATTGTGTGCACACACATGCATGTACACCCACACACATATACACAAACGCACATGGGCACACAGACATGTGCGTGCACACACATTCACATGCACGTGTAAGTGCATAAGTGTCAGGCCCAGGAGCCAAACGCTTTGTTTCCTTGCTGATATTTCTGCATAAGCATTAGACTTTTCCAACTTCCCCTCTAAGACATTTCCTCTGTACCTGAAGCTCCTTAATTTGAAACTTTTTCTACACTCTGAAAAACATACATAGGATAAAAACTCTGAGCTCAACATGCAGTTTTTATCAGGATCAACTGAGATAATATATGAGAATGTGTTTTCTGGTGTGTAAAGAGCTAGATAAATTTTTGCAGCCAAGTGTCCTAGCTGAGCCCCAGTTCATTTGATCTTTGTGTAAATCTTGCGATGGGGATCCAGGGAGCCTGCCATTTGCACACCTGTTCTGTGTTAAGGCTTTTTATTAAATATGCATTTTACCCTGTCTTTTAGATTCCGGGAGGTAGGTTTGTTTGCGTCTCTTATTGCTATTGTGACTGAGCTGGGGACTGATCAGAAGTGATGAGGAGAGCAGTCAGCATTTTCCTCCTGCCCTCGCTGAGTGACTGATTTCCATCAAGTGAGGAAGGAGTAGGCAGATTCAGAAGCTGAAGGGCTGGACTTGGTTGATCTGGATCCAAATGGTTCTGCTTAGGGGCTGAGGGTTTTGGTGTGAGGCATCCCTACCTGGTCCTCTCAAATCAAAAGTGGCTTTGGCGCCCTGAGGGTTCAGTGTGGATGCCGTGGACAGAGAGACCCTCTGAGGCACCAGGCAGTGCTGCACGGGGTCTCTTGGGCAGCTCTCTCAGGAACCCAGGCTCTCGAGGAGTGCCTTTTCCAGGAGGCCTGAAACTATGCTCCTGCGGCATGGGCAGTATGCCTAGAAATTCTCAGATGTGACCGGGAAGATGTTCAGGGGGCACTTAGCAGGGCTGGTGCTGCCCTGCACTCAGGATCCAGTCACCGTGGCCGTTCGGGGATTGTTACTGACAGGACCCAGTCGCTTATACCCATAAGTGGTGATACCCCAGGCACTCAGTTATAGATTATTATTGTTCATAGACATCATACCTAAGGAAGGATGTGCTGAGCCTGCACCCTCACTGTCAGTTCACAAGGTTCTTGGTTCCTCCTAAGGGAATGCCAAACTCAGACTCAGAAATGATAGAATCCATCTTCAGATATTTATTAAGCACCACCAGGGTTCCCAACACCGTCTACACTGGAGGGTGCACTGGAGGTTGTCTTGGGTGCCATGGATAGGTGCACATTAGAGCAAGGTGTGCCCGCTTGGGCCAGAAAAAAAAATGGCAAAATGATGCCTTCAATTACAAAAGGGGCTCCTTATTTGGACCAACCAACTAGAAACAGATCTCATGGTTTGTGGGTTTCAGTTGCTACATTGCATTTTATTAGGCTCGAATTGCACACCAGAGGTGAAAATTCCATCCCTTTCACAGGGAGCTCACAATCTAATTGGAGAAACAAGACAGACACAAAGGAAAGCACACTTGATTGTACACTGCTTACAAAGATTCTGTATGTGAAGAGGGATGAGGCTGTGCTGTCAGCCTTTTTGAAGGAGGATGGATGCTTTGGGATGGAAAGATACAGACTAGGAATATGGCTTGCTGGACATTCCTTCTTTGACTCACAGTGAAAACAACAGCCTTCCTAACAATTTCTAAAATACCAAACTGATTCAAATATATGACTCAAAGAGCCCAGGGTTCTGTCTTCTGTAGATACCTGTTTAGAAAATGGGTGTGTTGGCTGCGTGTGGTAGCTCATATCTGTAATGCCAGCACTTTGGGAGGCCGAGGAGGGCGGATCACCTGAGGTCACGAGTTCGAGACCGGCCTGACCAATATGGTGAAAACCCTGTCTCTACTAAAATTACCCAAATTAGCCGAGCATGATGGCATGCACTTGTAGTCCCAGCTACTTGGGAGGCTGAGGCAGGAGAATCGTTTGAATCTGGGAGGTGGAGGTTGCAGTGAGCTGAGACTGCACCACTGTACTCCAACCTGGGTGACAGAGCGAGACTTCATCTCAAAAAAAAAAAAAAGAAAAAAAAGAAAGAAAATGGGTGTGTTATGGGTCAGTAAACAACACCCCGCAACGAAAGCCTCAGAAGCAGCCCCTGAAGCAGACGTTTTTCTCTGCCCTCCTCCTGCCCTACTGTCTCCCAGTCCCACTCTCCCCTGACGGTACCCACAGAAACCAGAATCCTTTTCCCCAGTGGTGACTCCTGGAAACCAGAGCCCCTTTTGTTCAAAGCCAGCCAGAAAACCTAAAAGTATGACTCTAACTTTCCCTGTGCCTTTCTGTGTAAAAACTGGACGCAAAGAAATTATCTGGCCGAGCGTGGTGACTCATGCCTGTAATCTTAGCACCGTGGGAGGCCGAGGTGGGTGGATCACCTGAGGTCCGGAGTTTGAGACCAGCCTGGCCAACATGGCGAAATCCTGTCTACTAAAAATACAAAAATTAGCTGGGCATGGTGGTGGGCGCCTGTAATCCCAGCTACTTGGGAGGCTGAGGCAGGAGAATTGCTTGAACCTGGGAAGCAGAGGTTGCAGTGAGCCAAGATCACACCACTGCACTCCAGCCTGGGCAAAAGAACAAAACTCTGTCTCGAAAGGAAAAGAAAAAGAAATCATCTGACCTTCCTGTTTGACTGTAGGTCATGAAACCCTCCCCATTGCAGAGAGGGCCTGCCCCACACCCCGAAAGAAGGAACGCTGCTCAGAGTAGCCAAGAAGAATCCAGACAGACAAGCCTCTCTGGGTTTCCCCACTCAGTCTGTTAATATTAGATCACGCCCTTTTTGTTCAATCATATCTCTACACAGCTGTCCATATTTTGTTGAACCTAAGCATAGAAATGAACAATTTCTCCTGTATCTTTGGGTCTTCATTCTGAAGGCTCCTGTGTACACCCATTGAATAAGTGTGTATGCCTTTGCTCCAATTAACCTGCCTTTTGCAAGTTGATTTTTCAGCAAAACTTCAGAGGGCCCTTGGCCTCCATAGGTAAAATTGAAGTTGAAATGCATGAACCTGGCATCAACAGATTAAGGTCATAACTTGAACTTCTCTTGGGAATGGTGTCGTGATGCCATAGCCACAGTGCTGATATAATAACTACCAGTATATGTAGTATTTGTGGAGTACTTACTACCTGCCAGGCACTGTGTTGTGTATGTAACATTTCATGTAATGCCCATGACACCCTTACAAGGTACGTGTTAGTATATATAACATATACTTATGTATATAGTATATACAAGGTATATAGATAAAATTTTACGATTTTATAGATAAACAGGCTCAGAGTAAATAATGATCAGATAAAGAACCCTTGTAGAGTTCTTACTATGTGCCTGGCACAACTATAAATCCTTTATGTGTATTACTTATTTAATCTTCATAGTAACTGTATAAAATAGGTATGCTGTTTTTTTTTCCTAATTTACAGATAAGAAAAATGAGGCCCAGATGTGTTAAATCACTTGCCTAAGGAAAAAGAAAAAGCTCAAATTCCCATGGATGGCAAGTGAGAACCAGAATTCAGACCTAGGCTGGTAGGTCTCCAAAGCCCAAGACTGCATGCTCGAATATAGGACAGCATGGCTGAGCTTTCCTTGGATGGAGTCCCAATAGCAGAGGCAGGAACACCTACCCCAGGGGTCTGGGAGTGTTGCCTAAGGCAGCTAACTGTCAGTGTGAACTTTCTTTGAAGCCGTGTGCTTTATCTTAGAAAATGTTTGTGAACTTTGCATTCTACTCCGTAATTTATATTTTTAACATAAAAATAATGTTTTGATTTTGGCTGTTTTTCTCAAAATTTTGCAGAAAAAAAGATGCTCCAAAAGCCATGCTATGCTCACCCCATGGCTTGGCCTACCTCCCGGCCCACAGCTTGGTGCTCCCGGATTTCTACGTAGGTGTCCCACAGTGAGAATGGTTGAAGTTGAAAGTATGTGGGTTCAGAACCAGCCAGATTAGAGCTCAGATCCTGACTCCATTTGCCAGCAAGTTCTGTGACTTTGTCTCAGAGCTGCAGTTTCTCAACATCTATAAATCAGAGATAATAATGCATGCTTGTCAGAGTCGGGCGAGGCACCTGTCACTTAACAGAACTTTGGTAACTGGCACTCTTCCAATTGTCTCCTTATGGCTCGTCATGCCCTCATCATCCAGCAGCTACTATGGGTCCACTGCTATGCTGAGCAGATCATCTCCATGGCCCTACAGTTTTTGGGTCTTGTGGGTTTGGAGCTGCTGTTCATTCTCCTTGGGGAGGAGCTCTGGTGCGTTTGATGTTCCTGATAAGGCTATGGCATCTGTGGTGCTTAGGCGAGAGTTGGGGGCTTTCTCTCTCTCCTTTGCTCACATTTAGATCTCCCCTTGGCTTGGAAACGTCATGTTTCCTGTTGACTGGTAGCTTTACTCAGAAGAAAGATCACCTTGAGGTGTATTAATAATACACATATTATCTTTATATCATATTCACAGCATGTGCATATTGTGTTCAAATCTCTGCTTCAAACACTTTCCAAGACCCTCTAAACCTCCAACCAAGGCTTACGTAAAGAGGAGAATCAACTAGTCAGGTGTGATCTGGGAGGGGGCACAAGGAGCTCTTGTTGTCATTTAGGCAACTTTACATTTGCAGAAAAGCCAGTTAACCTTGGTGAGCCTCACTTTTCTGATTTGTAAGATGATGTTAACCTGGCAAAATAGGACCATTAGGAACACTTTATCACATTCATTATAATGGCTATAAGAAAAAAAATAGTAACAAGTGTTGGTGAGGGTGCAGAGAAATTGGAACCCTTTTGCATTGCTGGTGAGAATGTAAAATGGTGCAGCTGCTGTGGAAAACAGTATGGTGTTTTCTCTAGAATTACCATACGATCTAACAATTCTACTTTTTATTTTTTTATTTTTTATTTTATTTTATTGAGACAGAGTTTTGCTCTTGTTGCCCAGGCTGGAGTGCAATGGTGACATCTCAGCTCAATGCAACCTCTGCCTCCCGGGTTCAAGTGATTCTTCTGCCTCAGCCTCATGAGTAGCTGGGATTACAGGCACCCGCCACAGTGACCTGCAAATTTTTTGTATTTTTAGTAGAGACAGGGTTTCACCATTGTTGGCCAGGCTGGTCTTGAACTGCCAACCTCAAATGATTTGCCCACCTCAGGCTCCCAAAGCACTAAGATTACAGGCATAAGCCACCACTCCCGGCCCACAGTTCTACCTCTAAGTATGTACCAAAAATAATTGAAAGCAGAGACTGAAACAGATAACCTGCACACCAATTCATAGCAGCATTATTCACAATAGGTAAAAGGTGGAAGCAACCCAAATGCCCATGGACAGATGAATGAATAAACAAAATGTAGTATATGCATGCAATGAAATACTGTTCGGCCTCAAAAACAAATTCTGACACATGCTGCAACATGGATGAACCTTGAAAACATGATGCTAAGTGAAATAACCTAAACACAAAAAGATGAGTATTACATAATTCCACTTATATGAAATGCCCAGAACATTCAAATTCATAGAGACACAAAGAGAATAGTCATTACCAGGGCCTGGGGGAGGGTCTATGAGGAGTTCCAGTTTAATGGGTATAGAATTTCAGTTTGAGGGCTGGGCGTGGTGGCTCACGCCTGTAATCCCAGCACTTTGGGAGGCCAAGGTGGGCGGATCATGAGGTCAAGAGATTGAGACAATCCTCGCTAACACGGCGAAACCCCGTCTCTACTAAAAATACAAAAAATTAGCCAGGCCTGGTGGCAGGGGCCTGTAGTCCCAGCTACTCGGGAGGCTGAGGCAGGAGAATGGCGTGAACCCAGCAGGTGGAGCTTACAGTGAGCCGAGATAGTGCCACTGCACTCCAGCCTGGGCAACAGAGCAAGACTCTGTCTCAAAAAAAAAAAAAAAACAAAAATTCTGTTAGGGATGATCAGAAAGTTCTGGAAATCGATGGTAGTGATGGCTGAATGTCATTGAAGTCTGAACATTGAAAATTAGTTAAAGTGCTAAATTGCATTTTATGTATATTTTACCAGAACAAAGAAAAATTTAAAGAATGCTTTAAAAGTAAATAAAAAATAAATTGGGCTTTTTTTTTTTTTTTTTTTTTTTTCCTTTCTGTTCTTCACTAGAAGATTTGGAAGTTAAATCCTTCCTTGCCTTTGAAGAAAAGGGAAAAGTAGCTTTAGGCTTAGTAGATCCCTGGGCTTCATATCAGAAAGCTGGAGCTGGGGTCTGCGGGGTAGGGAAGGCGGCCTGGAAATTGAGCTTGGAAAATTGGCCTGTGACCTGCCCAGTCTCTTGGTTAGGGCTCTCGTTGCTTGTCCCTGGTGAGTGGTCAGGCAGACAGCCAGAGTCTGCAGAAGCCATGGCAAGGCCAATGGGATAAAAGCTCTGAAAAAAGAGTAGAGGAAGCTTCTTCCCTGTGATAGTGGCACCCGATATCCACAGCAGCAGCATGGCTTTGCGGAAATCTGAAGGCTGGGGATGTGTACCCTCTGCCAGCAGGTGTCATGACCAAGTATTCTCCATGAGAAACCCTCTGTGAGGTGTAATATGTAGACTTAGACTTTGGAGTATCCTTGCCTTCATCTTCTGATGCCTTTGCTCAGTCACTATTGCCAGTGAAACATTTCACCAAAGGTCAACTGAGAACAAATGAGAAGGGAGAAGGAGGGTTTTGCCAAGGAGACAATAGAGATGGGATTGGTGGGTACAAACCAATGTCCTGGAGAAGTGTCAGGGAGAGTAGACCTAGCCTTCTTTCTACAGCTTCCCAGGCTGCAGGAAGGATGGGAGAGAGAATAAATGTATGTGGTAAGACCCTAGGGTCTACAGGCTGTGAGGTCATCAATAGAAATAGAGACAGCCAGGCCGGGCACAGTGGCTTATGCCTGTAATCCCAGCACTTTGGGAAGCTGAGGTGGGCAGATTACTTGAGATTGGGAGTTCAAGACCAGCTTGGCCAATATGTTGAAACCACTTCTCTACTAAAATACAAAAAAATTAGCCAGGTGTGATGGCACACATGCCTGTAATCTCAGCTACTTAGGAGGCTGGGGCAGAAGAATCACTTGAACCAGAAGGCGGAGGTTGCAGTGAGCCAAGATGGCCCCTGGGTGCCAGAGCGAGACTGGGCGTCAGAGTGAGACAGAGAGAAAAGAGAAAGAAAAAAGAGAGAGAGACAGCCCCTGGCCTGCTCCAAGTGCCCAGCAAGACCTAAAGGCCACAGGGACCACCATAAGGTTCCCACAAGCCGTTGGGGAGCCGGTTATCTGCCCCAGAGCCTGGCTGTCTTTTCCCTTGGGGTCCTGTGTGGCCAGCTGGTCATTTCTTGGCAGCCAGAACCTCCTTTGATGGCTGCTCAGGGGAGTGACTGATCGGAGATTAGCACAAGATTTTGTTCAGTCCTTCAATGAATTACCCAAGTGGACATCTTCTCCCAGCTTCATGATGCTGCAGGACACACACTCAGCCCATGGCAAAGGCCACTGGGACGATGGACTTCACACTGGGTGAGGTAGTGCCGGAATTAAACCTGCTGGAGACCTTCTGCAGGAAAGAGTGGTTAAGAATGCCCTTAGGATGATACTAATAATAATGACGATAATAACAACAAAAATGACTTCAGAGATATTGAGAGAATTAAACAAAATGAGAAAAGGGGTCTTGGCACATAATAGTTACTCAACAGGTGTTAATTCACTCTTTCTTTCCCTCTGGGAGGGCGCACACTTCATCAAAACACTCCTCCTCTTTATTGTTGTTCATAACGCCCCTTCTTTCCTTTGAAAAAGGGTCAGCCTCTTTTTCCCTTCTCCCTCTTTCCTTTCTGTCCGCCAACCCTTCAAGGTCACATCCCACTCACCGTGAGCACAGCTGCGCCCCTCCTGCCAGGACATTCACATTCGAGCAGCTCCACTCCCCTGCATAGAAGAGACAGAGTGGAGTTCATTACCCCTATTCATCTTCACGACTTTTCTCTTTGTTGTTACAAAGATTTTTCTGTGTGGCACAAGAAAAATTCCTAAGAAAAATACTCCCCCACCCTCAGAAACACATTCTCCTTGCTCCGCTGGCCCTTACACATTTCCATTTGGATTGATTGCCTACTACAGCCTGTGAGCTTTTGAACATCAAATTTCAAAACAGAAACATAAAAGGGCTAACATGAAATGAGCAGCTCTATCCTGCCCTCCATGCTGGGGGACACGTGTTCTTGAAGTGAAGGAGATGGGGGCGTCTTGTCTCTCCCGCCTACATCGTCTCCTAGGCTTCTGATGCTGGCTCTTCCTGCGGCCTTGACAGCAGGGTGGGGATAGCATTTTCTATGATCTGAGCACAGTGCTGGGCACCAGAGGGTGCCCAAAAGTAGAGGACTTGGGGCATAAATGGATATTGAACTCTCCAATAAGATTCAAGATGCATAGGCCAGGCGTGGTGGCTCACGCCTGTAATCCCAGCACTGTGGGAAGCTGAGAGAGGTGGATCACCTAAGGTCAGGAGTTTGAGACCAGCTTGACCAATATGGTGAAAGCCCGTCTCTACAAAAATTAGCCAGGCATGGTGGTGGGCACCTGTAATCCCAACTACTCAGGAGGCTGAGGCAGGAGGATTACTTGAATCTGGGAGGTGGAGTGAGCTGAGATTACACCACTGCACTCCAGCCTGGGTGACAGAGCAGGACTCCATCTCAGAAAAAAAAAAAAAAAAAAAAAAAAAAAGATTCAAGATGCACATACATAGGGGATTAAAACCAAGGGAAATACTGAAAAAAAAAAAATCACACCGAAATGCTAAAGGAATAGACATAAGGGTATTTACTACAGCATGGCCATAAAGTGACAGTCAGAGAGTATGAAATAAGAGATAGGAAGGCTTACAGGCAGGGAAATGTACCTGAAATGTAACATGGTTGAGTCTGACCTCAACCCTTTCCACTCAAATTGGTAGACGTTATTCTGTAACAATCCATGTCTCTGTTAAAGACAGTTTCCACTTATTTAGTGACTCCAGCCAGAAACCTAATTTCTCCTTCTACCTTACCCTAAGCCAAGTGTTCACCATGTTCTATCGATTCTTTCTCAAATATCAGTAGAAGTGGATCTTTCTGTCTGATTCCCCGGCCACTGTCTCCGCCCAGACTTTGATCATGGTTACTTGGATTACTGCAAACATCTTCTAGCTGCTCTCTTTGATTCTTGCCTCGCACACCTCCGATTCCTTCTTCTTACTGCTGTTGAAGCCGTCTTTCTGGAAAGTAAATGTGTTTTTGTTAGTCTGTTATTTTAAATCCCTTAAACATTCCCATTCTCTGTAAGTCGATAAGTAAACTCTTCAAAGTGACATTCAAGGATCTTCATGATCTGACCCCTCCCTACCTCCTGAACATCACTATTGGCTGTGTACCTACACCCACCTCGTGCCTCAGCCTTTCTGTTCTACTGGAAGTTCTTTAAATAGTCTGTGTTCTCTTGTACCTGTTCTGTACCACTGTCTTTTCTGCTTGGAACAATGTCTCCATATGCCTTACTTAGTTCTCTTTGACATAGTCTTCAAGGTGCAGCTTGGGCATCTCTGGAGAAGGCCACCCAGACACCTTCTGCTCCATCCTTTTCCTAACAGGTGTTCCTACCCTTGTCAGAGCCCTCATTGCACTGCATGGCACTAGTGGCTGATTGGATTGGTGAGTTCCCTCAGAGCAAGAACTATATCCTGTTCATCTTTCTTTATCCAGGACCTGACATAGCACTTGGTTCAGGGCAGGGACCTCATAAAAATGGACTGAGCAGTGTACATCAGAAAGTAGCATGAGCAGGGCCATGAAGGTGGGAATGAGACATAAGATCTCAGTATGCCAGGAACAGGAGAGACCTTGTATGTTTTCAAGTCCAACACTCTCATCCTAGATGATGGAGAATGTGAGATATAGAAAGAGGAAGTGGCTTCCTAAGTGTACATAGGCAGAATTAATGTTAACAGGTGGTTTATGATAGGACAGCCTTGAAAGCAAAAGGAATCAAAATGGGTCATGAAAGTAAAAATAAAGATCAAAGTATAGAATTGGTTAAACAATTTAGGATTAGAGCGGGATGTGGGAGAAATGATGACATCTTAGAGATGGAGAGAAAATGGGGAACTAATTCAATCCCTGCTGAGGAGCCAAGAGTGCTGAAGCTGGTTGACTCCATAGACCAGGTAAGTCCTACTGGAAGCCAAAGAGTGAGAGGCAGCTGGGCATATAGTGAACAGGGTAGGGGGATAGACAGACTCAGTGAGAGAGGAACTGGATCCCATGTCAATTATTGAGACAGATTCCTCCTATGGCATTGTTTTTTGATGACCCAGTCTCTGTCCCTTATATCAGAGCCCAACTCTATGTTAACGTGTCATGCTTCATGATAGGCATTGGGTTGAACCTAATAGCCATCTGGAGATGGAATGAGCTTAGCACAGGGAATATTAGTGAGCCTGATCTAGTTACTTCAGAGGAACTGTGCTAGGGAGATAGGATAGTGAGGCTGATTATTTTGGGAAAACATGGAAAGTTGGGTTGAATAATTTAGATTTGTTGCCATAGAGCATAGGGACTCATTATAGACTTTTGACCTGAAGAAGGGCTGGTTCCAACCCAGATCCTTCTCATAGAAGATCATTCCTTGGGTACTTCATTTACACTTGCTATTCTTTCTTTTTAGAATACTCTTTTCCCTAGCTGTTCTGTGAATTGCTCTCTTACTTCCTCAGGTCCCTGTTCAGAAGTCATGCCATTAGTACAGCCTGCCCTGACCACTCTATTTTAATTTGCACACTATCTATTCCCAGTCTACATGATCCATGAGCTGTTTCTCTATTGCACCCATCACCCTCTCACCTATTATAAATATTTCCTTTGTTTATTTGTTCATTGTCTGTCACAACTTGCTCGAATGTAAGCTCCAGGAAGGCAGGCATTTTTGCCTGTCTGTTCATTCCTGTATTTCCAGATTTCCAGCTTCTAGAATATTACTATACATGGCACATCATAGGTGTTCATGAAACATATGCTGAAAAAACATAAGACTATACACAGGAATTGTTGGAATAAAGCAACAGTTTGTAGCATTCTCCTTCCCTGCTCTGTGATGGGATCACAGCAGGAAGACCCAGAGTACCATGTGAGATTGCCACTTTGTGCCTGTGAGTAAACACCACTTACTTCATCTTGATTTCACGGTCTCCCATCCTGGGTCTACCCTAAAATCTAGGGCCTTCCCTTCCCATTCTAATGTTTGTTATTAATTCTGACCAAACAGGAATTGTCACTAGCGGGTTCTTTCTCACAAATTATACCTACTCAGACCCAGCCTCTGTTTAACTAATGGAGAAGCTATCAGTGAGAGGAGACTTCCTTTCTTCTTGTTCCACTGTAAGTGACATTCTGATAGTAAGTGCCCTTTTTTTGTTTGTCTGATTTAGATAGATTGTGGCTAAGTAAGGGGTTTGTAAGCAATTTAAAGCAAGGACCACCCCCTTTCTCTTTATCCCTGTGATGTCTCACAATGCTAGGTACCCACAGAGTCACTTAATATATATTTGATATGGTTTGACTGTGTCCCCTCCCAAATCCCATTTTGAACTGCAGTTCTCATAATCCCACATGCCATGGGAGGGACCCTACGGGAGGTAATTGAATCGTGAGGGCAGTTACCTCCATGCTGTTCTTGTGATATTGAGTGAGTTCTTACAGTATCTGATGGTCTTATGAGGGGAATTTTCCATCCATCTTTGCTCTGCACTTCTCCTTGCTGTGGCCATATGAAGAAGGACATGCTTGCCTCCTCTTGTACCACAATAGTAAGTTTTCTGAGGTCTCTCCAGCCTTGTAGAACTTTGAGCCAATTAAACCTCTTTCCGTTATAAGTTACACAGTCTCAGGTATGTCTTTATTAGCAGCAATGAGAATGGACTAATACAATATGTATGCATTGACGTAAAAAAGAGAGCAGTGGCCGGGCGCGGGGGCTCACGCTTGTAATCCCAGCACTTTGGGAGGCCGAGGGGGGTGGATCACGAGGTCAGGAGATAGAAACCATCCTGGCTAACACGGTGAAACCTCGTCTCTGCTAAAAATACAAAAAATTCTCCGGGTGTGGTGGCGGGCGCCAGTAGTCCCAGCTACTCCGGAGGCTGAGGCAAGAGAATGGCGTGAGCCCGGGAGGCGGAGCTTGCAGCGAGCCGAGATTGCGCCACTGCACTCCAGCCTGGGCGACAGAGCGAGACTCCGTTTAAAAAAAAAAAAAAAAAAAAAAAAAAAAAAAAAAAAAAAGCAGTGACCATGTTCTGGGAGAAAGAGATGCTTGAGACAGGAGGTATGTCCTCTCAAATGATACTGTTTGGTGGCACCTGCTTTCTCACCTGAGCCCTGGAAAAATGGATCAACTCTTCACTTCTAGCACATCTTTTCCGGACTTTGACTGATGTTCTTACTGCTTGCCAACCTTCAAGGCAGAGATTTGGACAGAGATTCTCTGACTTTGGTCTTTCCTTTTTTTTTTAAGATTCCCTCTTTTTTTTCCCCTTTTAGTTGCTGTTACCTTCCTTGAAAGCTGGTCTGGATAATTCCCAAGAATGCCCAGTGTGAAATGCTGCCTGCCCCGGTTTCCCTAACCCAAAGCCTTTCCCCAGACACACTCGTCAACCCCTGAGCTGCCTTTCCTCTCCCAGCCTTGCCTGTTTGGGAGACCCCATGCTCTTTTCTTGGCTCTCTTAGCCTTGGCTATTCACAGGAGGTCCCCTAAATTCCTCTGATCAGTTTAACAGGCATGCATTGAATAGCTCCACTGTGCCAGACACTGGGGATGTGAAGATTAGCCCTGGCCTCTGCTCTGGAGGCTCTTACCTTCTGGTGGAGGAGTAGACCTGGGGTCAGGTGTTCATCAACCGGTGTGCTGCATGCTGTGGTCCAGGCAGGAAGAGGCACTTTCAGAGCCTGAGGGCACTGAGGCAACAACAACTCACTCTGGGGCCTGAAAGTTGTCACAAAGGAGGTCATCTTTGAACAGGGTCTCCAATCATCCAAGTTGCTTTCCTGTGTTTGACCTCTAAGCACATTTTTGGCCCTGAGAATCTCTAAACATATTTCTCAACTCCTGAATCTTCAACAGGTTCCCCGACAAGACTATTCTGTCTCTTTCTGTCAATTTCAGAGACTTAACACATCTCATTTCCTCTTTTACTTCATTTCTGTCTGTGATACTTCACTTGTCCCTTGATACATTCAGCCTGGCACTTGAGAGCCTGTTTATTATCTCCCGGGTACTCCACTCGCTAGCAGGATATGTGGCTGTCTCCTTCACATTTCATTTTCTTTGATTACCCTCTCTCTGAGGAGAGGAGCTACAAAGTAGACACGGAGTGCATTTTGCCAATTACAGATGGACAAAATAAAGTCCCAAGGTGTTCAGTCACTTTCCCGGTCTTCTAATCATTAAGGAGTTCAGGACTCTAGTGCTTGTTTCTCTGTGAACTCCTGGTTGGACATCTGCTCCCTGTGGAATTGAGGAGTAGAGATGATTCCTTCCTGTTATGAGATCCCCAGAAAGCAGTCCTGTAGTTAGGCAGGAATGGAGTAAGGTCTTCAGGCTAGTCCTGAATGGTAATTTTTAATGGTAGAAAAGGTAACAACTGGTATAAGAGGTGAGGCTTCTGTTTTCGGGAGGTTTCTGTGAGAGGTGTTCTTGCAGGAAGGACAGAAGTTAACATGACACCATCTTCTGCCCTAGTCAGCGAGGGAGCAGTAATCCTAGAAAGACAACTGATACATCGAGTCTTGGTAGCATAAAACCAAGGTTGCTTTGGGAACTAAAATAGGACTCATCAGAATGGAGACCATTTAAAATTTAAATCCTTGCATTTGTGAGGTTCTGGCTTGTCAGAAGCTCCTAGAGCTTGTGGAGAAGTCTGTTAAGTTCCCACCACATCTTGCCATGGGTAGGTGGAGGGCATCATCTGTGCTCTTTTCAGAGCATCCAGATGCCCTGGAGCCAGGCAAAGGTTTAGGTCAAAGGGTGCTGGCTCCTTGCCCATTTGTCAGAATGTCCGCTCAGCCACGGCAGGCTGGTGACCTGTGGACCACACCAGCACACACATCAGAATCTCAGTGTATGCATGAAGATGGCCTGCTTTATCCCTCTACTCCATGCTAAGTAAGGGAGCTTGGGAGGAAGGTGTGGATATGTTGGTAGAAGGAGAGAGAAAGAGCTATAATTCTGGACAGATGCACTAAACCTCAGGCATGAGATTGGGCTTTTCTGGAGCCCCAGGGCAATGGGGACATTTGATCCTTGCTGGGAACAGCTTAGAGCTATGTTCTGCTGTGGAATCACTGTAGAGAGGAAGTTAAGGTCAGAGTTTCTAACAGGAAGGAAATCCTATGTCTGGGGAAAAGAGCCACAGGTTCAGAAGTCAGAAAATGTGTGCCCCAATGCAGGTCTGACCCTCAGGGACTCTGTGGTCTTGAGCAAGGCTCTCAGTGCCTCTGGGCCTCAGTCTCCTCTTTTTAAAATATTTTATTTCATTTTTTTAGAGACAGGGTCTCCCTTTGTTGCTCAGGCTGGAGTTCGGTGGCAGCCTCTTACCACTCATTGCAGCCTCTTACTCCTGGACTCACACAGTCCTCCCACCTCAGCCTCCAGAGTAGCGAGAACTACAGGTGCACCCTACAATGCCTGGCTGAGTTTTAAATTTTTTTTATAGAAATGGGGGTCTCACTGTGTTGTCCAGACTAGCCTGAACTCCTGGCATCAAGCAGTCCTCCCACCTCAGTCCCCAGTTTCCTTTTTTAATGGGATATAGGGGATTGTTCCATGCAGATCACAAGGTTGTCACATAGATTTAAAATGGGCTCCTCAGGCATGCCCACTCCATTCTGGGGAGGTCTCACAACTGTTTTCTTAGCAACTGGTAGAAGTATCTGAAAACAGTACCATCCAGTAGAAATATGCCAGCCATAGAGGCAAGCTACACATATGCCTTTAAATTTATTTTTTAAATATTTATTTATCTTTTAATTGAATAAAAATGTATACATTCATGGTGTACAGCATGGTATTTTGAAACGTATATATTGTGAGATGGCTAAATCAAGCTAACTAACATATGCATGACATCACTGGCTTATCTTTATTTGGGTGTGGGGTGAGAACACTTAAAATCTACTCTTCTTAAATTTTCAAAATGCCACATTTTAAAATGTGAAAAGGGACAGGTGAAGTTAATTTTATTAATAGTATTACATTCTATTTAATTTGATATATTCAGAATATCATTTCAAGATGTAATCAGCATAAAAAAAGTCAATGAGATATTTTACGTCTTTTTTTCTTTTCACACAAACTCTTTGGAGTCTGGTGTGTCTTGCACACTTACAGCACATCTCATTTCAAATTTGCATCATTTCGTTTGGTTTAGAGCTACCTGTGGCTACTGGCCTCTGTGGTGGATGGCACAAGCTCAGAGGATTGGGTGGCAGATGTTCAGGCAGCTACACAGTTGGCCAGTGCTCCCCACTTCTTTTGAAGAGGGCTTCCCAGAAGCGGTGAAGCTTGGATTGAGTTTTGAAGTCCAATAAACAAGGAGAGCAGGCAGAGCACGGTGGCTCACACCTGTGATCCCAGAAATTTGGGAGGCCGAGGTGGGTGAATCTCTTGAGGTCAGGAGTTTGAGATCAGCCTGGCCAAGATGGCAAAACCCCATCTCTACTAAAAACACAAAATTAGCCGGGTGTGGTGGCACGCGCTTGTAATACCAGCTACTCAGGAGGCTGAGGCGTGAGAATTGCTTCAACCCAGGAGGCAGAGGTTGCAGTGAGCCGAGATCGCACCACTGCATTCCAGCCTGGGTGACAGAGCAAAACCATGTCTCAAAAATAAAACAAATAAGCAAAGAGAGGACCTGGAAGGCCAACTATAAGAGGAAAAATGGCTAAAACAAGGGTGGAGAGGCAGCAGCAAGCAGGCCTGCCTCCTTGGGACATTTCCTACTCACGGAGGAAGGAAGCTCTCATTCATTGCTTTTAGAGGCTAGTGTCCAACTCCACTCCTCACTTAGGGTTCACAAACAATTTGCACTTGTTTACATTGTGTATTTACGTTTTTTTTCCTCTCCCTAGCCAAATGCATACAGCCCTAAAAAGGGTCCATCCATTTGGCCCTGCTTTCTGGTTAGCTCCCTGTTGGTTCCCTGCAGGCCCTCTGCTACCCCACTTTGTGCCTCAGTCTCTCCTATAAAATGGAGTTAATAATATCTATTCTTGCCTCTCCTCCACTCCAAGGAAAAGTACAGACTTAAGGGAGCATTAACAAGTATGAAAAGTGTTTGAAGCAATGCAGAACAAGGAGCTTGAATACAAAGTGTTTAATTATTCATTTGGTTTTTCAGATCTACACACTACCTTCAAAAGGTCTGTGGGATGAAGAATTCTGGGGGCCCCGTGGAACTGACCTTACCCATAATTTGGGATGCCCCCATTCCACATGTGTCTGCTCCATGGAGGTCGATGTCTGAGGTGTAAATGGGGCAGGGCTATGTCTGATTGAGGAGAGGTGCTGATTCCACCCCCACCGTCTCAGGGCCCTGTCGGCCATGCATTTTCCTGCAGCCTCCAGGTACCTACCTCCCTTCCCTGTAACAGAAACAACCTGTGACCTTCACAGTATCAGCCTCCTGGAAGAATAGTGCCTGTTACCCTTCAAAGCTGTGGTGTGCCAAGCCTCCACATGGAAACTGTAGCCGTGGCCTTTTAAAAAATAGCATTTCATGCAGTAGACATGCTTTGTTCTTAGCAATTACTTTTCTCACCTAGCAGCTTAACTGGATTTTTGTTTAGTTACTTGTACATGTCTTTTCACTGGAGAGCACTACCAGATTCTGAGAGGGAGCCAACAAGATCTGAGATGATGAAAACAGAGTTATACAAGGGGTAGGACTCCCATTAAAAAAAAAAAAGGAGAATGGTTTGGGTCCTCAGACTGGGGAATGGGACCCCATATTTTTAATTTCCATAAAAACTGATGGGACCTTTCATATGCCTTCCCCTAACTTGCACAAATATCTTATACTTCCTATTTGTTAGTTTCTTTGCTTGTTTCTCCCCTTAGAAGAGAGACCCCTCTGGGTATAACTGAGGTGGGGGATCTTCTTGCTGCGGTTTCAGAAAGCAGGATCCCTGGTCCCTGATGGGAAGTCACTGGCTTTAGGAGAGGCCAACTCTCTGATCTAGGAGGCTTATAGAGATGAAGCTACCTGAGGATTGGTAATCTCTCCTGAGTTCCTGATGCTTCAATTGTAAGTTGCAAGAAATTACTGAGACCTAACTGTGCTTCCGTGGAAGAGTTGTGTGGGTACATGTGCAGGAGTTCAGGCTGCCCTTTCTCTCATGATTCATCATGAACAGAGCACATTTGTGTCTACTTTATTCATCACCACAGTCCTACAAGGTAGAGTCTCAGCCCCATTTTACAGGTAAGGTCACAGAAATTAAAGAAAAATAAGGAAATGGCCCCAGTTCCATGGTTATTTCATGGTTCCACTGGAGTTATCTCCCAAAAACTTAAAGGAGGCATTTTGGGGTATTAATAAAGGAGAGTTAACTTCACAAGTTGGAAAATGGGCATAGGGAATCATTTCTTGATGAAAAACAACACACAGAACTGGAATCTGCATCTTTCCATTCAGAAATTTTTTTTTTTACTCTTATGCACATACACGTGTGTATGTTCTCATACACATGCACATGTACATACACATGTACACACACAGTTTACCCATGAATACAAATACATTTGTGATATCTCAGTGTTGTTGTTATTCACATTATCTATACACAAAGCCGAGAACAGGAGGCTCTGAGTCCATGAAACAGATCAAGGTGGTTTGTACGCATCTTAGGTTGTATTCTGGACGTCTTCCCTGAGATATCCAGGAACTGTCCTGAGATCGCTGGGTGGGTCTTGGTGAAGCCCCTTCTAGTCTTAAAGATTTTGGCTGCAGGTGGAGATGATCTGAGCTTCTCAAACATAAGAGCATAGTATCTGCCAGTGTTAAAGAGCAAAGGGGGCTCCCTGTCTGATGTGCTAGAAACCAATACTATGACACCAGGTTTTTGAAAAAAGAAGTTTTTGTTCAATGCCAATTTCCAAGGAGATAGGAGTCAAGCTCAACTCTGTCTCCGCTGACTGGCTTCAAGGCAATATTTATGTCAGAAAAGATTCAAGGGGTGGATTTTGAGATGGGTAGGTAATTCCTGGAGGGAAGGGGGGGTCTCGACAGTCCTGGGACATGCACAGTTATTTCTTCATCCTAACCCATGGGTGGCTTCTGCAAATTCGGGAGAGTTGGCATGAAACATGCAGTGGAAATTCAGTCTGTGACACCAGCAAGCTCGTTCTGTGCAAACTCTAGTCAGCCATCTTGGTTCCAACTCATTTTCGCCAAATCCTTTTTTCTTATAAGGAAGGGAGTGTACATGTTTCAGCAAGTTGCTGCTTTTCTTATCTACCATCCTGCAAACTCAATTTCTGCTAGTCATTATTTACTTTCACTTTCTGGGACAGAGTTTCACCAGGGACAGAATGAAGGACAACTCGGGTAACTGAAAGAGGCAACTTTGGAACTAATGAAAGAAGAGTTGACTTTACAAGTTAAGAAATGGTGAAAGGAGATAATTACCATGAAAAGAAAGAAGATGCTAGGAGGGGCCTGAGGTTGCACCCAGCCCTCTGACTGCAAACGTAGGGCTAGCACCATGCCAATTCCTGGGTTTCAGAGGCAGACGCTGGGGCAGGCTGTGGACTTTGGGAGTTTTAAACCCTTATGCTTTGCTTTTCGATTGTGGTATTAAAAATTGCATCCAGTTTTTCTTCTGCTTATCTTTCGTGCTGAAAGAGAGTTTGGGGATCCCAGGGAGCCCGTTTGCTGGGCATCAGGAAAGGGCTGAAAAGTGGCTTCAGTGCTTTCATTCATGAGGAGCTCCCTGGTTGGTAGAATGGAGTCATGGGCAGACACTGGCCCTTGACAACCAGTTGCTTCATTCATTTTCACAAGATCCTGGAAGGCATCCCCCAAGCAGAAAGCTTGCATCATTATTTTTTGCCACTGCTGGAAATGAAAGCTTGAGAGGCCATAGGATTTTCTCTAGACACATAATTCCAGTTAGAGGGATGGGTGCACAGGCAGCTGCGTCTCAGGCCTATCCACGCACCAGCAAAGGAAGGAGGAGAAACTGTGATTGCCACTGGGCAAGGGTCCCCACTCTTTGCATTGCCAGCTCACTGGAAGTCTAATGTCACTGAAGAGCTGCGACCTGGGACCCTCATGCCCTGCAGCGGCTGAGTTTAGGACCTCAAAGGAAAGCTGGGGCTAGTGAGATTCTTCTGAGAAATTCAGGAGACAAGGACTTTGTGACATACACTCCACCGTCAACCCTCTCCTGACACCTCATTACCTGGCACTAAACTCGCTGTCTTCAGAACAAAAGTGTCTTGCCTTTTCAATACATTTTCAACCAAGGCAGAAATGGCAGCAAAATCTAAACCCGAGTGCCTAACCTGTTTTCCCACAGGTGTTCTCAGGGAGGAGAGCTGTATATAAGAACTTGTTTAACAGAGATAACCATTACATGGCACCACAAAAATATAGACAGTTGAAGGAAGGGCTGACGGATCCCAGATGAGTTTGAGAAACATCCTAGTTAGACACAGCCTTTTGCCAATTTGTTATATATTTCCTCTACTTCTCCCCTGCTTATTCCTGTTCCTAGCAAGGGGAAGATAAGGAGAGGGGAGACACATGCAAAGAAAGAAATGGAAGGAGGGAGTGAGGAGGTGGGGGAGAGAAAGAGAGAGGGAAAGAGGGAGGAAGGCAGAGAGAGAGAGGGGCAGAGGTGGAAAGAATGAAGGAGAGACAGTGAGAAAGGGCAAGAGAGAAAAAGAGAGAAAGTGGGGGAGAGGAAGGGAGGGAGAGAGACAGGGAAAAGGAGAAAGGGAGTGACAGAGAGAAAGAGAGAGAGATGTACAGAGGGGGAAGGACAGACAGAGAAAGGCAGAGAGATGAGAGCAGAAAGAGAGAGAAAGGGAGAGAGAGGGAGAAGGGAGGCAAAGAGACAGAATGAGGCAGAGAGACAGAGATCAGGAGAGGGAGGCTTTGTTACTTCTGCCTGCCCCAGTGCTGAACCCCAGCCTGTGTTTGCAGACTGCTGTCAGCAGAAGGGACCATGTTTTCAATCTCCCTGTTTCCCTGTTAGAACCTCCCAAAGGGTCCTTTCCAGACTTTGATCTCCAGGCTCTGGAGCTGGATGCCATGGTTTTGCTCCCAGGCAGCATCACCACCTCCTTCTATGACCTTGGGCAAATTGCATGACCTCTCTCTGCTCAGCTTCCTCACCTGTGCAAATGTAAATGTATAACCCTCTGTGTCCAGGCGCCTTGCCCTACAGGACTTGCATCCCACACTTGGCCTGGGCTCCCTTCCCTGGACACTGGCTGTCACTTCTGAGGTATACAGTCCATTTGGTCAGAGGAAACCAAACTGTGCCTTCCTATTTCAGGTCTTTGAAAAGCTAAGCACTGAATTCTTTGGGGGCTCTGGGAGGGAATGCATAAAGAACTCCTCAGCCAGCACAATGTTTGTTCTAGACTCAAGTCCCCTTGGTCACCTGTGTGGTCCTGGCCCACCTGCCTTTTCCTGCTGGTCAGACCTCATTACTTTTCCTTCCTATGAGCTGTATACTCTCAGGATCTCTTTTCTGCAGAGAAATTTCTGCCTGTGTGATTGACAAATTGCTTATCTGGACTCATCTATCCTCGTGTACAGCAATCTTTTTACATTTCCCTGGATTCTGATCTATTTGTCCTAACCCAAATGTGTTTTCCGCCTTGCAGTGAGGGTCTCTGGCATCTGAAGACCCACCAGCTTGCATGTCCAACGTCTTCCTGGACACAGAGTCTTAGCCTTTGTTGTGCCAATGTGACCCCATCCCTGCCCCATCACAAACACAGTCATCAAAGCTGCACACAGACAAGATATTATGAAAGACTCTTAGTAGACTCTTATGCTGGATTTATTCAGGAGGCGTTATTATCCCTTTAAGGATCCTCTGGGAAGGCTTGGTGTCAGAGGTTGGTCTGTTTTCTGCGTGCTCTTAATAAAGTTTTCCATTAATTAAGCAGGGCAGTATGGGCTTGCAGCTCTGGCCACATTATTTGTCTTTTTATTTGGTAGTTACATGGCAGTATCTTCAGTACAGGAGCCCTGGAATTATACACTGGGCCCTGATATTTCAAGACTCAACAGGAACAAATATGCAATTATATAGTTCAGTGGTGCAGCGCCACAGCAGTGTAGGGAGGGATGAGAGGCGCCACTCCAGCTCTGGAAAAGTTCTTTCGAAAGGGAACTTGGCCTTTGGACTTGACTCTTTTCCAAGGCAAGGATCCTGCTCCCGAAGCCAGCAGGAAACTCCACCTGCCTCTGGCCTAAGTGCAGGGCATCCGTCCATATCCTTCCGGGCAAAGGAGGTGTGCATGGGGGGACTCACCTTCTCTGATGCCATGCACATCTCCTGCCGTCTTCATAGCAATTCACTGGTAAGGAGGTGGTAGTGCAAACAAGTGGTCTGTGGTGGGACACCGCCTGGACTCATATATGTATCTTTGGGGAAGTTTGTCATTCTTTCTGAACCAGGGGTTTCTCGTCATCTAGCATATGAGGATAGAAATGACCCCTGCTTCAAGGGTGGCTCAGAGGATCAAATAAGATCATCCAAATAAAAGGCATGTCTGCTGTTATGATCCCCATTTGACAGATGAGGAAATTATGGGTCAGAGAGGCTAAGGAACTTGTCCAAGGTCACACAGACAGCAAGTGATGTTAGTCATGTTTCTAGTCCCTCGTGTGTCTGGCCTGCTGTTTCCCCTAAGCCTTGTGGTAGACTCTGAGCAAAGTCAGTTAGTGGCCCCACCTGTTCATAATGGTGCTTGACTATAATTTAGAAAGGGAGACACGCTGTGCCTGGTTCCACGTACAAAGGGCAGCAGCCTGCTTGGAGTCAAAGTGGCTGGAAGGGATGACCCAGGACATCTTGCACAAGTCCTAGGGCAGTCTCTGAGCACCTCATGGATAGAGAGAGCAGGAAAATATGAGGGCTCCAACAGAGTCGTGCGTGTGTGAGACAGCGTGAATGTGAATGTGTTTGTGTGAGTGTGTATGAGTGTGTAAGTGTTTGCATTTATGTGAGTGTGAATGCATGTGAATGTGTGAATGTGTGTGACCATTTGTGTGTGTATGTGAATGTGAGTGTGAAAATGTATATAAGCATGTGGATGTGTACAAATGTGAGTATATAAGTGTGTGGCCATTTATGTGTATAAGTTAATGTCTCTGTGACTGTATGTGTGCAAATGCATGTGTGTGTGTGTGTGTGACCATATGTGTATGAGTGTGCCTATGTAAGTGTAGGTGTGTAAATGTGCGTGAGAGTGTGTGTTTGCGTGTGTGAATGTGTGTGTGTTGCAGGGAGGTGTCTGAGGGTTCCAGGAAGGAATCACATAACCAGAGGTTTCCATGGCAGCTGAGATACCCGCTGGTCCTTAAATAATTAACCAGCCAGAGCTTTTAAATACATTTCAAAACAAATACTCATTTCCCTTTAATGCAGTGCTGATTCCCCTTTTACACACTGCCTGAAGCTAATGTGAGCCTGACTGTAATTCTCCCTCTCATGCAGCAGCAGCATCTTAGGTTGTCATGGAAAGTAGCTCCTGTTGTCAGGGGGCCAGCCCATGACCTCACCTTATCCAGAGGAAGGAGGGGGGTGCAGGGAGGGAGGTGCTCTTCCACGCCCCTTCCGAAGGTGGTGCTCGGGATGTCTAACGGGTCAGCTGTATCTCCGCTCCCGCACTCCTGTTCACTTGCTAAGAGTCTAACAGGCAGACTCCTCTGAAGAATTTTCTCCTGCATACACCTCCTAAAAGAGAAGTCTCCCTCAGTGCACAGACTTTCCAGTCATTTTGTTCTCTGGTGACAGTTCACCCTGACCAGGGCGAGTGAACCCAGCTTCTCCTCCCTCCTCTGCATACCACAGTGTATGCACCATCTTGGCATATGTAGCCTCTATCTAAAATCCATCTGCCGATTTGCCTCCTTAGGAGGGAATCAGCCATCTGACACGGCCGTTACGTTATTTTCTGTTCTTATATATCTGATCTTCTCATACCCGCGTCCCAGAGGCCTAGAGCTCCATAGAACTGGGTGTCTGTGTGTGTGTGTGTGGGGGGGGGGGGGGGGGAAGTGTGTGCTAAATATTTTGAATTATGCCTTATCTGGGTCTCATGCCTGACTTTTTCAGCCTCAGTGTCATTTGGGTCAGCAAGTGACATTTGGGGAATCTGGAAACCACAGCATCGGCGGAGAGGCCCATGAGCCAGAGTTTGCATCACTGGGGAGGTTGTCCTGGTGTGATGCATTCCTCCTAGGTGACAGCTGGGTCATCAACTGTGCCGTATTTAATCAGCATCCCAACAGGACTCCAGTCAAGGCAGGCGGTGGTGATGGTTCTGGACTATATGCCTATTAACAATAACAATGAAAATAATGCAGCCAGTATTTGTCAAATACTTACTAGCTCAAAAGCTCTGGATTAGGTATTTTACCTGCATAACCTCATGGCCTCCTGACCTTATTATATATGACCAGGTATTATGATTATCCCCATGTCACAGAAGAGGGAAGCAGGCCCACACGGTTTACTTAATTTGCCTGAGGTCGCAAGATGGCCAGTGCTGGAGCCAGGAATTGAACCTCGAACTGTACGGTCAATGCCTTTAAACCACTATGCTCACTCATGTGAACAGACTCATAGCTTGGGGAAGAGCAACCCAACCCAGTCCCTAAAAAAGAATCTGAGTGCACATGGGTGAGGTCTGAGCATCCCCAGTGGAAGGACTCTGTCCTAACTGAACTGGGATCTACTTGCCCACACAGTGAGACCAAACACCCACACTGATGTTTGCAGTGGGAAAAATGAGGGCGTTCCTTTGCAGGGCACCAAGCAAGGAGAATTGAGCAGCTGACACCTAAGAGTCGACCTTTCTGATGGCATACCAGCAAGAGTTCTTAAAGGCAGGGAAAATTTCAGGAAAGCAGAAATTACCGGCAAAATCATCAATCAATACATGGAGATTTTACATTGGTTTGGCCTCAACAAGTGGGATATCTTGAAGTAAGACCTTACAGGTTATAGGTAGATTAAAAGATTTTCTGATTTGCAATTCGTTAAGGAAGAGAAGTGTGCTTCACAATTGGGATCAGCAGAAAAGGTTAGCTCTGGCTTGTGGTTGTGACTTCCCACATGCCCTTTTGGAAGAAATTTAGAACGAAGAATGATGATCCGAGTTCAGGGCTCAGTTCCTCTATCTGAGGTCTGTGTGCCAGCAGATCCACTTGGTAGGGTTTAGGGTTTCTGAAAAACAACTCAGGAACATATGTTAAGATGTTGTCTTTCGTTTCTATAAGGAACCAAACATCCTGTGACTCTAACTTCCTTGGCTGTCGTTTTAAGCTACTATTGCCTTCTTGCTTATTATGTTGCCCATTTACTTCCTAGGGCTAGCTAGGTGTCTGGAATTTCCCTTGAATGTACTCAAGATTTTACTTTACTTCCATGCTTGCAAAGCGGTGTATGGGGTGGGGAGGGTTAGCAGAGGGTCCTTAGGAGGAATTCCCACTCTGTTTCAGGTCCAGGAGCCTCAGGCATGAAGAGAACATAGAGTGACAGTTACAAGGTGCAAAGGGAGGAGACTTGAGGTGCCAGGCTGGAGGGTGACCCCACAGCAAGACAGGGAGGGAAGACACGGCACCTTGAGGAAAGAGCACAGCAAAGAGCAGGTGGGGTGGGAGCCTGGCATTTGAATCAGACTGAGTAAAGAAGGTGGCCCTCCTCGATGCCAGTGGGCACCATCCAATCTATTGAGGGCCTGATTAGAACAAAAAGGCTGGGGAAGGGCAAATTCGCTGTCTCTGCTTGACCTGGGGAACCCATTTTTTCTTGCCCTTGGACATTGGTGTTCCTTGCTCTCTGGCCTTCAGACTCAGACGTGGACTTAAGCCATCGGTGCCCTGGTTCTCAGCCCATTGGGCTTGGATAACTACACCACTATTTCCCTGGACCTCCAGCTTGCAGATGGCAGACTTGGGACTTCTCAGCCTGCACAAGCATATGAGTCAATCCCTCATAATAAATCTCTTTTCATATATCTGTACAGATTCTGATGCTTTTGTGACTCTGCAGAACCCTGATGAGTACAGTGGATGAGGTATCTGAGAAATGTCTCCTGAGTCTCTCTCACTCCTACTGCCTAAGCCCAGGGGTACAAACAGGACTTCCACTAAGAATTAACTCTCTGAGTATTGCTCCAAACTCACCATTTCTCTCCTGAGAGCACCTTCTTCTTCCTCGCTTTGCCCACTGCCTGAGCACCTCATCCTGGGCTTTCTTTGTTCACTTGCATAAGTCCGGAGGTCCCTGGGAGGTCATCACTCACTTTTCCCAGGCTGGCATGGTCTGAAATCCTTCTTTTAACTTCTAAGCATGGCTTGGAGGAGGATGTGCTTTGCCAAAGTTAAATCAAGCATGCAACATCCACCAAATGACCTAAAGTTAAATAAATACTGTGCAAGTAATCTATGTGTCCTAAGAGAATCAGCACTAAAGAGCTTTTTTGAAGAGTCAGGAGAAGGACCTAATAGTAATCACAGTCTGCATTGGCATGACACAATGTGGTTAATAAATTCCTTAACATGCCCTCTCGTTGGTTTCTCAATGCGATTGTCTGTGATGGTTGTACAGTAATCCTCATTTGATGGGTGAGGGGACGAGGGCTCTGTAAGGGCCAGTGACTTGCCCAAATCTGGACTTAGCTGTGAGGCTTGGTGCAGAGTCCACACCTTTGGGCTCCAAGTGCTGAGGCCCTTTCCCCCTTACTCAGATAAATCAGTGAGAAGAGAAGGGCAGCAAATCCAAGAAAGAATACAAGCATAAGAACAGCACCAAATGGGAGTGATCATAGCCATGTGAGGCCCCCAAGCAAGTTCCCTTCCAACCTAAGCTTACGTAGGCAGTGGGGCTCCTGCCCAGGCTGAGGAAGACTTGAGGTTTAATATGTGATCAAGTCAGATTTTAAACTGAAATATCAAAATGTCAGTGATACCAAAACACACAAAGTCCCAGGCTGACTGTCTTCATGCAGTGTCTATAATACCAAGCAAATGGGGAAAACACAAACGGGAATGTGTAAAGGAGCAGAATTTATGCTAATTTCTCATCCATCGTTCAAAATGTTTTATTATGGAAAATTTCAAAAATACATAAAAGTAAGAATACTCTTAATTTTTTTAATTTTTATTTTGATATAATTGTAGACTCACATGAAGCTATAAGAAGTAATACAGAGAGGTGCTGTATAGTCTTCATCCAGGCTCTCCGAAGAGTAACATCTTGCAAAGCTGTAGAATAAAATCAAAATCAGGAAATTAACATTGATATCTAACCACCCAGCAGGTTCACCTTGGCTGCTGCCTAGACAGAGCTCTTTTATCAAGACAGGGGAATTGCTGTAGAGAAAGAGTAATTCACATAGAGCTGTCTGTATGGGAGACTGGAGTTTTATTATTACTCAGATGAGTCTCCCTGAAAACTTGGGGATCGAGGGTTTTTAAGGACAATTTGGTGGGTAGGGGCCAGTGAGTTGGGAGTACTGATTGGGTGGGTCAGAGATGAAATAATAGGCGGTCAAAGCTGTCTTTTTGCACTGAGTCAGTACCTGGGCAGGGGCCACAAGACCAGATGAGGCAGTTTATGGATCTGGGTGGTGCCAGCTGATCTAGCAGGGCCTACAGAATATCTCAAGCACTGATCTTAGTTTTTTACAATAGAAATGATGACCCCAAGAGCAATTTGGGAAGGGTCAGAATGTTGTAGCCTCCAGCTACATGACTCCTAAATCATAATTTCTAATTGTGTGCTCATTTGTTAGTCCTGCAAAGGCAGTCTAGTCTCCGGGAAGGTTTGTTTTGGGAAAGACTGTTTTCCTGTTTGTTTCCAAGTTAAACTATAAGCTAAGTTCCTCTCAAAGTTAGTTCAGCCTACACCCAGGAATGAACAAGAACAGTTTAGAGATTAGAAGGAGGATGAAGTTGGTTATGTCAGATCTTTTTCACTGTAACATTTGTCTCAGCTATAAATTTGCAATGGCAGTTTCAGATATAACCCACCACACTTACTCAGAGGTCACTAGTTTTTTGTATGATCATTTGTGTGTGTGCATATTAGTTCTATGCAATTTATAATGCATATTAATTCTATATACATAGATTTATGTAACCACCACCAGAACCAAGGTACAGAACAGTTCTATCCCAAGGATCCCCTATACCATCCTTTTATATCCACATCAACCTCCCTTATCCTCCCTAATCCCTGGCAACCACTGATCTATGATCCATCTCTATAATTATAATATTTTAAGAATGTTATATAAATTTACATGTTAATATGTAAATATATACATTATGTAACTGTATTGGTATATTATATAAAATATTAAAAGTAGATAAAGTAAACTTCAAATAAAATTACTAGAGACAAAGAGGGATATTATATATTAATAAAAGGATCAATCCTTATTTGTAAGGAATTCTTTGAAATCAAAATCTTTGAAATCTAATTCCTGGGACTTCTAGGTTTTTATAGTTAACATATTATTTTATTTCTGACTTCAATAAATTGTTAACTTCAAAGTTTTAATAAATTTATATCTTTAAAATAAATAAAAGGATCAATTCACCAGGAAGACATAAAAATCCTAAATGTGTATGCACCAAACAACAGAGCCTCATGATACATGAAGCAAAAACTTGATAGAAAAGAAAGGAGAAATACAAAAATCTGCAATTATAGTTGAGGATTTCTCTGCCTCATTCGCAGCAATTGATAGAGTACTAGAGAGAATATTAGCAAGGATATAGAAGAAGTTAACAACACCTTTTGTAATGCAAACAACCTTTTGTAATACAAAAGGTATGTAAGACAAATCTCAATCAATTTAGATGTTTATTTTGCCAAGGTTAAGGACATGCCTGTGACATGGCCTCAGGAGGTCCTGATGACATGTGCCAAAACAGCTTCATTTTATACATTTCAGGGAGACCTACGACATCAACCAATACATTTAAGATATACATTGATTTGGTCCAGAAAGGTGGGACAACTTGAAGTGGAGGGTTGGGAGGTATTGGGCTTCTAGATCATGGGTGCATATGTGGATTCAAAAATTTTACAATTGGCAATTGGTTGAAAGAGTTCATCCAAAGACCTGGAATCCATTAAAGGGAGTGCCTGGGTTAAAATAAGGGATTGTGGAGACAAAGGTTCTTATTACGCAGATGAAGACTCCAAGTGGCAGGCTTCAGAGAGAATAGATTATAAACGTTTCTTATCAGACTTAAAAAGGTGCCAGACTCAGTTAGTCCTCTCCTGGTTGAGGGAAAAGACTTGGGAAGGGAAAGGGATTCTCTGTGTGATGTAGATTTTTCCCACAAGAGATGGCTTTGCAGGGCCATTTCAAAATATGTCAAAGAAATATATTTTAGGGTAAAATACTTTGATTTCCTTCAGGGTCGGCTATCTGTCATGTGATGCCATACTCATGTCACACCAGAATTTGGTGTCTTATTGCTACAAAAAGTCTTAAGAGCTCTGTTTTAATGCTAACGCTGGTCCATTGTGCCTGAATTTCAAAGGGAGGAAGGTAAAATGAGGCATATCAAACCCCAACTTCCCACTATGGCCCGAACTAGTTTTTCAGGTTAACTTTAGAATGCCCTTGGCCAAGAGCAGGGGTCCATTCAGATAGTTGTGGGACTTAGAATTTTATTTTCAGTGTACACAACCAATCAACATGATCTAATTGGCATATGTGGAACTCTGTCTAACAACAGCAGAATACAGTTGACTCAAACAACATGGTGAACAATTGCACAAGTCAACTAGTACAAGGATTTTTTTTCTAAAATACAGTATTCATGGGATATGAAACCTGTGTATATGCAGGGCTGACTTTTCTTATATGTGGGTTCCACAGGGCTGACCGCAGGACTTGAATATGAATGGATTTTGTTAGCAGAAGTTGGGGATTGGGGAGTAGGTCCTGGAACCAATCCCCTATGTGTATTGAGGGATGACTGTATAAATTTTTTTCAAGCAACCACGGAAAATTCATCATGATAAATTATATCCTGGGCCAAAAAAAAGTCGACAACACTAAAAATTATTGAATCATCAACACTAAAAATAATTGAAATCATCAAAGATATTTAACATCATTAAACATTAGGAAAATGCAAATTAAAATCACAATGAGATATCACCACATACCTATCAGAGTGACTAACACCAAATACTAGTGATGATGCAGAGAAACTGGATTACTCACACACTTCTGGTAGGAATTTAAAATGGCACAGCCACTCTGGAAAATGGTTTTGGCAGTTTCTTTCAATGCCAAACATGTACTTATCATATGACCCATAAATTGCACTCCTGGACATTTATCCCACAAAATGCCAAACTTATGTTCATGCAAACACCTGTATAAAAATGTGTATAACATCTTTCTTTATAACCGTCAAAAACTGGAACTGACTTCAATTTTTTTCAATGGGCAAGTTTAATCAAATTGCATATATGCCTATCATGGAATACTACTCAGCAATCAAAAGGAACAGACTTTTGATGCGTGCATCACTAGGATGGACTTCAAATAACATTATACTGAGTGAGTAAAACCAACCTCAAAATGTTACATAGAGTGTGAATTCATTTATAAAAAATCTCAACCACTTTTAGGAAGAAATACTAAAAAAGTTTGCTCTAAGCATGCCAACCATCATGTCCAGCTTTTTATAGGAACCATGGCTCTGAAACAGATGGAATCCACTGCTCCAGCACCTGGTTTGCCCTTCTGTGCCCCGCTTTCATTGTTATTTGGGGGATGTTTCCCCTTAAGGTAGAAATGGCTCTGGATCAAAGCCAATATGTTTCATGCAATTACAAAACAAATTATAGAGTCACAGAATGTTAGAGGGAAAGAACCCTTAGAGATCATCTAGTTCAGCAATTCACAACTCTGGCTGAACAACACCATCACCTGAGGAGCTTTAAAATAGACTGATGTCTGGGGCCTTAACCCCAGAGGTTCTAGTGTAATTAATTTGAGGAAGTTTCCAGGCACCACTATTTTTAAAAAGCTCCCCAAGTGATTCTGAAGTGCAGCCAGGTTTGAGAACCACTGATGAATCCAAGCTCCTCATTTTACAGATGAGGAAACTTCAGGCCTCCAGAGGTGAAATATTAGCCCACAGTAGGCCACATGACCAGACTGTGTTAGAGCTGTCTCTTGAATCCCTCCCCACTGTGTGTGTGGTGTGTGACACTTTCACATTCGTTGTCACATCCATCCCCCTTACAAGACTTTGAGGCAAGGTTCACAATTATAATTACTTCCATTGTAGAGATAACACAAGTGAGGCACACAGAGAGAAAATGCTGTGCTTAAGATACTGCAGATTGCAACAGAGAAAAACCACAAGTTTGGCCTCAGCTTCCAGCCCAGTAAGAGGACCTAAAAGGAGAGCTGAGCATTCATTTATCAAGATGATGTGGTTGAGAGACAAACTACAAACCCAAGCATATGGAGGACTACAGAGCTTTCCAAGGGCACCCTCCTGGACCAATTTCTCTTGCATCTGTTCAACATAACTCATTAAAGTATCCTCAATTTTCATAGATCTTCATCTGTTACTGTCAGCACCTATTGGATCTCCATTTGCACCCAATTTATCTCTGCCTCTTACTGGGAATGAGAACTAACAGCCCCTGCCCTTCTCACTTCTGAGGTTGCTTATTTACAATTGCGTTTTAGTGCGAATTGGCCCATTTATTCATTACTTTTAAGGGGTCCCTTTCAATGTCTAGTTACCATCAGAGATGTTACAATCATTCACTGTAGCATCCTGGGTGTCTACGTTTTATTAAATATGGTTTGTAACAGTGGGAGTGGGGGTGTGGATGTGGAGAGAAGGGCATGAAGACGGCAAAATGAGGACGCTAAGCTGGCAACAGACACCATGGTCCCTTGGGGATCTTGGTGTTTCAGGAGGTCCCTGGCAGTGACTGGTGGAGGGCAAGCAAGTCCAAGGACTGTCTCTCAGGAATTCTCTGTGAGGCAGAAGAAGATGCCCAAAACATCCAAAAAGGAATGAAAACCAACTCTTGTCTTCATGCTGAGTACACTTTTTGCCAGTTGTCTTGGTGCCATCACTGCTTGGAAAATAAATGCCTTCATTGTTGTTTCTCAGCTAAATCATTTTACAAGAAGCATCTGTGAAATTTAAGATATGTATCAGAAAATGTCAGTAGTGTTTTTGGTTTATGTGTTACTGCTTTTCTGTCATTCTTTTTATTTTTATTTTATTTTATTTTATATTTATTTATTTATTTATTTATTTATTTATTTATTTTGAGATGGAGTCTTGCTCTGTTGCCCAGGCTGGAGTGCAGTGGCGCGATCTCGGCTCACTGCAAGCTCCGCCTCCCTGGTTCACGCCATTCTCCTGCCTCAGCCTCCCGAGTGCCCGCCACCACGCCCGACTAATTTTTTCTGTTTTTAGTAGGGACAGTGTTTCACCGTGTTAGCCAGGATGGTCTCGATCTCCTGACCGCGTGATCCACCTGCCTCGGCCTCCCAAAGTGCTGGGATTACAGGCATGTGCCACCACGCCCGGCCTATTTTTTATTTTTTTAAGTTGAAACTGGTTCTTGTCTTTAAGCCAAGTGAAATGGTGTGTAATTTTAAAGAAAGAAAACTTTAGCAGACAATATCTCCCAAATGGCAGCCCATGGTTCTGGAAAAACTTGGCACTTGAGCCACAGCCCTGGGTTTGGATATGGCACTTACTAGATTAAGGGCTAATCCTTTGCATTTGAGTTACTGTTATACACAAACCCAGTTAAATCACTCAATGGGAGTTGTATGTGTGCTTTAAATACTGACCTTACAGTAAGATTTTTAAAGTCTGGTTAAAAAGGATAAAGTAAGACTCATGGGGTCCCTTTTAGCTGGGCCTAGGCAGAACACAGGTCAATTCTGCCTCTGAATTTGCAGGGCACTAAGTCTCCTCCGCTTGTGGTCTTGATAACTTATTCATCTTTGCACCTTAATAAATATCTGTTCTTTAATCCATCTGCCTGTCCATCCATCCATCATCCATCTGTCATCCATCCATCCTCCATCCATCCTCCATCTATCCATCTATCCATCCATCCAGTCATTCTGTGGACTCCATGTCCCTTTCATTTGCAGGAAGCCTTGCATTAGAGGTTTTAGGGAATCATTCCTGCAGCTGGCCACTCTGCTAACCACAACGCAGTTGAAAGCTCCAGCTCTGAAATGATATTGGCTCAGGGCTGTATTGACTTTCGTGGGCCTTAGGCATTTATGTTCATAGATCCTTTTAGTCCATTAAAAATGTGTGAGTTTGTGTGTGTGTGTAAAATATTTTATAACTGTGATGATAAAAATAAAAATATAAACCAGGATGGAGCATATTTATTTTTTTCTGATTAAAATTAACACATTTTGGGGGGCCCCCAAAAGTTTTGTGGGCCTTTGCCTTTGTGCTTATAGTAGAAATACAGTCCTAAAGCTGATCTCTGCTCCCAGATCCAAACAATACTCCCACTCACCTTTCTAGAAGGGTCGTCTTTGTCTAGCTAGGAGAAACTTCTGAACCTAAAGTTGATTTCAGCTTGAAAACTAAAATGTAATGTATTCTGGGTGAGTAGAGAAATGTCTAGCCTAGGACAATCCCATTGGGAGCCAGAAGCCCAATAAAATATTCATAGAGTGAATGAATGAATGAGTGAATGCTTTAAATAGGATTGTACATCTCACCTTTGCTTCAAGAGAAGATAATTCAAAAATTATAATCAAAGGCTGTGTTTACTTAAAAAATGCCAACTGATGCCAGCTAATCAACCAAGTTTAGAAAATATAGGACATTCACATCCAAAGAAAGGATGGGTGAGCACCTAAGGCCAAATGCCAGATTTTTTTTATAGAACCACACAGCAATTTTGTTAGGTTAAAAACAATAATGAGCTAGTGCCACCATTTAATGGATCACCTACAAAATTTAGGCACTTTAAATGCATTATCTTTCACTCTCACCAAGCTAAATATTTTAACTCCATTTTATAGTTGAGAAAAGGGAGGAAGAGTGACCTACCTGCTCAAGACCAGGGACCCCTATAATGTTGTTGCTATATGGCCTTGGATAACTTCCTTACCTTGCAGAGGTTTTCCAGGTATTAAGTGCAGCTTGTATGCTACACATTACTAGGCAAATGCAAATAATCCTTGTTGTTTTCAATTGTAGTTTAAGAATAAATTAATGGTAATAATTATATTTTTGAAACTTGACTCCCCAAGGCTTTGTGAAATTTCTAAGCAAGACATGAGCAAAAGAACAAAATTTGGTACTGGGATTCTACCTCACCTGTGGAGCGCCTACCTTACCTTATCTGCCTTACCTGTGAAGTGCCTACCTTGCCTTGCCTTACCTACACACCTGTGGAGTGCCACTAAAGAGATCTTGGAGAGAAGACACGTTTAGGGTGACCAGCTTCTTCCTGTTTGCCCAGGGCTTTCCAACTTTTAGCTTTGAAAGTCTTATGTCCCTGGAAACCTCTCTGGTGATCCTAGATTTATCTTCCTAACCTGC
Source organism: Homo sapiens (assembly GCF_000001405.40). Classification (NCBI taxonomy): domain Eukaryota; kingdom Metazoa; phylum Chordata; class Mammalia; order Primates; family Hominidae; genus Homo; species Homo sapiens. Next base: position 21,002,583 of record NC_000008.11, on the reverse strand, counting down.
TCCTGGTTCCTACCGAAGGCAAAATGTGGCTTATTAGGAGGCAGATGCATCACCCTCACAGCACTATGCATGCTGTATGTAATTGTCCTCTTATTATAGGTGAGGAAAGTGAGGCTCAGACAGATGCCCTAGGTGACTCAGCTGTGAAACAGGGATGATCTGAATCCGTGTCTCTCATTCTCAGAGTCATGGTCTTCCCTTTACATTGTGCTCCGGGAAAGACCTCCTGGCCTGAGTGACCTCTGTGCTCAAGTAGCATCTGTCACACAAGACCCTAGATCGGTTTCCTCTGAAGGGATTCCCAGCAGCAACTATGATACAATTGGGAGGTGGTTAATTTGGTGCAGACGGGACATGGTTAATGTGGCAAAGGGTTTCCAACTGCAGGGTGAAGCCATCATGGTCTGTTGTTTTGGGGGAGGAGGGTGGGAAGCTTGCCTGGAAATGGATGGGAGGGGAAGATGCTTTGGAGCCTGCCTGCCCCGCTTTATTATTAGGTTAATTGAAACCATAAAAGCAAACTCCGATTTGCATTAAAGCCCTGCATAGCAGATGGCGACAAGTTCTGAGGATCATAAAAGGAGGATTGAAAGTTATAAAGCATCTTGGGCTCATCTGCGCCAGAGTGCTAGACGAAAGGCATTGTGGGAGATGGGCTGCACCCTTCTCCAACCCGCGAGTCAGCGCCCGGGACTATGTGACCCCAGTCCTGCACCCTGCACCCCCTCCTCGTGTGGCACACAACTTCCCCACCTGGGATAGGTTGTTTTCCCCGGGGCTCACAAGTCCCAGAAATGTCAAATATCTTTCCTTTTGCTCTCTCTTAAAGCATGTTTTCACATCCACTTTCTTTGGGAAAAACAAGGTTTGCCTTTAGTGCCTCTTCATCTCTACTCATGGGCATGAGTCAGTTGGCATTGCTATAAAAAATACCAGGGACTGGGTGGCTTCAACAATGTGAATGCATTTCCCACAGTTCTAGAGGCTGGAAGGTCTAAGATCCAGGTGCCAGCCAGCTGATTCTAGTCCTGGTTGAGGGTTCACTACCTTGTTTGCAGACAGCCACCTTCTCGCTGTGTCCTTACACGTGGCAGAAGGGCTGAAGGATCTCTCTAGAATCCTTTTTTTGAAGGCACTAATCCCATTTATGAGAGCACCACCCTCATGGCCTAACAATGTCCCAGAGGCCCCACCTCCAAATACCCTCACACGAGAGATTAGGGCTTCAACATATAAATATGAATATTCAACGTATAAATATAGATACGAAAATTCAACATATGAATTTTGGAATGGGAAACAAACATTCAGTCCATAGCACCATCTTTATCCTTTCAACCTAGTACTATTCTTGCCCCCCATCCCCAACAGTGTCCAGTTTGTCATTCTCCCCTAAATACCTTTCCCTGGGAGGTCTCAGGCTCCTAACATACCTTTTCTGTCTTAGTTTGTGCTGCTGTAACAAAGTGCCATAGACTGGGTGGCTTATAAACAACAGAAACTTATGTCTTAGAGTTCTGGAGGCTGAAAGTCCAAGATCAAGGATCCAGCACGATAGGACTTTGGTGGGTCCTCTTTCAGGTTGCAGACTGCCTACTTTTCATTGTAGGCTCACATGACAGAGAAGAGAGAGGAGAAGCAGGTTCTCCTGTGCCTCTTATAAGGGCACTAATCTCAATCAGGAGGGCTCTATCCTCATGACTTCATCTAAGACTTCTTACTTCCCAAAGCCCCACCTGCAAATATCATCACACTGGGGTAATCCCTGGTTTTGACACATGAATTTTGAGAGGGCACAAACGTTCAGTGCATAACGTCTTTCTTTTCCTTGTCCACTGAATCTGCCACTTCTCTCTGCCACTTCTCTTTGCCCATTCTCTCCCAGAAGAATGGAACCTAACGAAGTGATTGACATTCTCTGTCTATGGTGAATACTTCTCTGTGATGGTCCCACCCTTCCCCAAACCCCTCCTCACTTTCAGTAATCGAGAAAACAGAATTCTTTAGACAAGAAGCTCTAAAGATCTCAATGCTGCCAGTGATCCTCCCACCCATCTCAGAGAAGAGGACCCCTGCTCTGCCACACCTCACACCTCATCCCAATTTGTCACATCCCCTCTGGACTTGGCTCTGTCAGTTAACTTCTTTCTCCGGCCACTTTGAATTTTTCTGTCTCCTCTGGTCTTTCTCTGTCTACACACCATCCGAGAAATAAATCCCCACCCAGTCCTGGCTTCCTCTTATTTGATCTTCACCAAAGCCTCTAGCCTCTAGCCTCTCCATGGAGTGGTTTTTGTCTACTGCCTCCACTTTCCTGTTTCCATCCCTGCCATGTCACTAAAATGCCATCCACTTTGCCCCCTCTCAACCTCCATGGGGCTATCTGGACAGCCCTTATCTGCTTGTTGGCCTGCAGACACTTTCTGTAGAAGGTCGAATGTTCCATATGCCTTCAAAGTGTATCAATAAAGACATTTCTTGCCCCACCACCCATACATGTGATTGGAGATCTTCAGGACTTTGTGTGCACCTCTATAATTCAACAACAAAAAAAGTGCTATCATGGTTACTAAAGTGTGGTTCTACCCTCTAGGATGTTGTGTTCTTTGAAGGCAAGGGACCCTACCCTGGTCACCCTTGTATTTAGTTCTGGTAAGACAGGCATTCAGAAAATGTGTTGTTACTTAATGAAGGGAAGATCAGAAGAATGGCATTTCCACGGTAATTTCCTGCTGATGCCTACATAAGGAGTCTGAACAAAATCTTCCTGCCAAGCCCTTGCCATTGTGTCACTGTAAGGTCGTCTTTACCAACCTGTAATTTAATGGGTCACATCTTTAAGCCACAGTACAAATTGAGTTTTCTAAGATGTGAAAGGAAGGAAAGGCAAGAGTAGATGTTCATCAATCTTGTACTGTGTGGGAGCCACCATACCAGTCACTCTGTATGTATTCACTCAGGCAATCACTGATAGGCAAATGTTTTAAGCCACATTATTTTAGAGATGAGGAAATAGAGGCCAAGGAAGGTTAAGCAATTTGGACATTGGGGACAGAGATAAAACAAGACTGGCTATGTGTGCATAATTGTTGAAACTAGGTGGTGGGCATATGGGGGTTTGTATTAATCAAGGTTCTCTAGAGGTACAGAACTAATAAGATAGATGTATATGTGAAATGGAGTTTATTAAGGAGTATTGACCCACAAGATTACAAGGTGAATTCCCACAATAGATCATCTGCAATCTGAGGAGCAAGGAAGCCAGTCTGAGCTTCAAAACCTCAAAAGTAGGGAAGCCGACTGTGTAGTCTTTGGTCTGTGGCCAAAGGCCTGAGAGCCCCTGCCAAACCAGTGGTGTAGGCTCAAGAGTCCAAAAGCTGAAGAACTTGGAGTCTGATGTTCGAGGGCAGGAAGTATCCAGCACGGGGAAAAGATAGAGGCCAGAAGACTTAGCCAGTCTCATCTTTCCACCTTCTGCCTGCCTTTATTCTGGCCTTGCTGGAAGCCTATTAGATTGTGCCCACCCAGATTGAGGGTGGGTCTACCTCTTCCAGTCCACTGACTGAAATGTTAATCTCCTTGGGCAGCACCTTCACAGACACACCCAGGAACAATACTTTGCATCCTTCAACTTGATTAAGTTGACAATATTAACCATCACAAGATTTATTATACTATTCCCTATTTTTAAATATGTTTCAGTTTGTTCTATAGTAAAGTGAGGAAAAAAGCTGCTCACTATCACTCAGCTAGTGTATTAGTTACCTATTGCTGCATGACAAATTACCCCAAAGCTTAGCAGCTTAAAACACTGCACTTTTATTATCACACTTTCTGTGGATCAGAAATCTGGGCTCAGCTGGTTCAGGGTCTCTCACAGGCTGCAATCAGGGTCCTGGCTGGGGCTGCATTCATCTCCAGGTTGAGTTGGGGTGGGGAGGATCAGCTTGTAAACTCATGCATGTCAGGGCCTCCCTGGCTGTTGTCCAGAGATATCAGTTCTTTGCCACATGGTCATTGCCATAATGTTACAGCGTAGCAGCTAACTTCCTCTAAAGTGGGGGCTCTTAGAGACAAGGAAACAGAGTGCCTGAGATAAAAGCCACAGCTTTTTTATAACCTAATCTTGGAAGTAACACCTCATTACTCTACTGCACCCATTAAAGCAAGTTAAGGGAAAGTCTGCACTCCAGGGGAAGGGGCTACAGATGGGTGTGAATACCAATGGGGGCCCTCTTAGAGGCTGCCTATCAGAGCACCAGAGCTAGGAAGTGCCTTCACTAGCCTTTAAACTTTTTTCCATTTAACACCAAATTATGTGTTTTTCTACTGCTCTCAGCACCCTCATGGATTCACCATTGATAGGTAACACTTCAGTTCCAATTAGCTTATCAAATTGACCCAGCAGAGTGCAGGTCTGTTTGCTGAGTGTGTCTTGGAATTTGGTTCTGGTTGGAAACAGGGCTCCAGCATCATGTGACTCTAGAGGAGCATCATCGCCACTTGAGAAATGGAAAGTACCAGATGAGAAGCATGAAAGCCTCTTCTGAGAAGTGGTCCAGTGGGAGCTCTGGGTGGCAGAGTGTAGGAAGAGGAGCTTTTGACAGGGGTATCCACTGAGGGAAGAAAACTGCATTATCTTTTTACCATCAGCCCCCAGCAGACTGTCTAGTAGGTGGTCCTTCCATGTTTGTGGAGAAACACAGATGCATAAAATGAGACGGGGGTGTAGGTATGTTAGAAAAGGAGGTGGAGCCCATTGGGAGCAGACCAAAGTCTGATCCACACCGGAGGTGTGGTCCTGGTGGGCCAGATCCATGGGAGGGGGCAGGAATCCTTCCCCAAGGGCAGGCCCCTGAAGGAATCAGTGCAGGCTGAGCAGCTTCTCAGGGTCCCTGACCACTCATTCATGGTTTCCTGTGTCTCCAGAGATGTCAGTCATTGACCCTGGGACCCAGCTCTGGGCCCTGCCAACATGACCAGCAGAGGGCTTACTACCAGAGTTTGCAGTGTGTGTGCCTCATAGCCCCAGGGTTTGTAGAGGTGACTCAGGTGCTGCTGGAGTCACCCCTACAAAGGGAAGTCGAAAGACAGGTCTCTGGACTCCCAACTTCTGCTCCCACAGTGGCATGGTTTTGTGAGTTGGATGAGAGGATGGGGATACCTGGGCTTACAGGCTTTCTTCTTTGAGCCTGCATGGTTTTCAAATTTCATCTCCATTACTAACAAGCTGTGTGACTGGGGCCAAGTGATGTAACCTCTTTGTTCCTCCCTTACTGGTCTATAAAAGAGGAATGGTAATATATTACTGAGGCTTTGTGCATATGAAATAATTTAATTCATGTAAAACACTTAGAAATCAAATGTTAGCATAAAAATTATAACATTATTATTATTATTATCATATAGGTGGTTTGCTTTCTCGGGTTGTGTTTTGCCTGTGGGCTGGAATGACAGGCATCTTGTCCCTTCTCAGCAAAGCTTTGAAACCCTCCCAACCCAGAGGGGCCCCAGGGAAGTGGCACTTTTTGCTTTCATCTCAGAGAGGTGAGAGGCAGGCACAGTTCCAATCCCAGGAGGCACTGGGGCTGGAGACGGGGGATGGATTTCTTCTAGTTTTTGTTGTTGTTTTAATTTCCAAATGCATTTCTCCAAGGGTTGGGGGAGGCTGCGGAGCGCGGGGAAGTCTGAGCACCCAGGAGCCTGTGTGGCTGTGATTAGATGGCTTAGGCCCAGCAGCAGCAGCTGTTAATCCTGACTATTAATTAGAAGATATGGGGAGAGAATACCAGCCTGCGAGCTCAGTTAAGCCTGAGCAGCACTCTGCCTTCTTCTGCAGCGTAATCCCCTTTGAGACTTGGGAAAGCGTGGGCCCCAAGAGAAGAACCAGGAGGGTCGGTATAGGCAGATACCTGCCATCAAAGGCCCAGATGTCTCTGCTCCCAGAAGTTGCCAGCTCTTCCGTAGGGACAGTACTTTACAGTCTCCTAAACCCATTCAAATGTGCTTCAAAGGTACCTGTCTTTATTCCTATTTGGAAGGCCAGTAGGGAAGCCTTGGAGAGCCTGTGGGAAATGCAACAATGAGTGTAGCGGTCAGGGCTCCCCGCATGCCTTCACGTCCATGTCTAGCTCTCCATGAGGATCTGGGAGGAGAACTGCTGGTGCATCCCTGGCTTGGAAATCAAAGCCTGTAGGACCCTCCGATGACTTTACAGGTCATTGTGTTTGACCTGATGTCCTTGTTCTTGCTGGCAGGAATGGAGCTGGCCATGCCTAGAGGGAGCAGTTTCCTCTCCCAGCTCTAGAGGTTGCTTTCCAAACTCCATAGCCTGGTCCTCAAGATTCCCTAAACTTACCTCCTGAGGTTCCCCACTGCCGCCAGTGACCCTGTACCTGGAGCCATCTCCTTACAGTTTACAGAGAACCCTAGTCCTGATCACATCCTGTCTTCAGCACCACCATGAGAGAAGTCACGCTAGGAATTCAAGTCTCTGATTCTAAAGATGGGAAAGCTTAAGGGGCGACACTGCTCAGGTCAGTTCGTCAGAATGAGAGCAGGGAGCAGGCTTGAGACGCATGTCTGTTGATTCTTTTGTCTGATCCTGAGCATAGGTATCTCCACTTCCATACTTTCCCTCCCGTGACTCCTTGGCCTGAATGGTTTTCCCCACTCCCCTCCCCCTACAGACATCCTCTGTTCATTCAGGACCTAACTCAAGTCTTTTATTCCAAAAGGTCTTCCCCAACTACATCATGTCCATTTATCTTCCTTTCTCATGAACTCTCCTGAACATCATTGATACCATGGGCACATTCTGCACAAGGAGAGGATGTGCCTGGGCACCAGTTCCTGGTTGAGGGAGGGAACATGGAAATGAAATGGAAGGCTGGGGCTCCAGTCCTGGGTTTCATTTCTGACTAGCTGTGTAACCTGGATCAAGCTCTCCACTCCACCTGTCCTGTTTTCCCATCTATGAAATAAGCAGATTTGTCTGTGGTGGGGGATGACTGAGAGTCAGGGATGTAGGTGAAGGAGGTATGGGAGAAGGTATGCAAAACTGCTGATTACTAGGATTACGTCATCTCTGAGGTGAGTTAAAACAACTGCTGAGAACTGATATAGCTAGAGCTGGGCTTTCTTTTCTACCTTCTCCTTTCCCATCTTATCAGAAAGGGCTTCATGGAGTTGCCCAGGGAGAATGCAGCAACTGCCAGGACTGAAAGTCCAGAATGTGAACTTTGAAAACAGAACGTCCAGACTGAAACTCTGGTGATGATGATGACAATGATGATGATCTCAAAAAATTTTTGAATATTCATCATGTAGTAAATTTTATGTTAAGGCTTCACATGCGTAATCCTAACTACTCTTCACAGAAAAACAGGAACTGTTTTATTTGTTTTGCAAGTAAGGAAACAGAGGCTTACAGAGGTTAAATAATTTACCACTCTGCTAGCAGGCAGCATTTTGGGTTTTTAATTCACACTTTGTAATTACTACGGTTTGCACTCACTGCAAAGTTACACAATCTCTTCAAGACTCAGTTTCCTCCCTGAAAAAGATGGAAATAAAAATATGTATATGTTTGTTATTGGTGCTTTGTCTAAGTAATATCACATGTGTGGCATGCTTACTGTTGTACCTGGTCCATTTCAGAGTCTCAGTCACAGGCAGCTTCCTTCCTTACTCAATGAGATGTGTATGGTTTCATAGGGAACTGGTGCAGTGCCATAAAGCACCTTGCACTCTGGCCACTTTGGGATCAGTCTCCACCAGTGATTCTCTGTCCCATCTGCACGTTCTACATTAAATAGAAAAGCATTTACAGATGATTTAGCTCAAATATCTCACTTAACAGATGAGAAAACTGAGACCCCAAAAAGCCAGGGGTCTGCTTAAGATAGCATGGCTTTTTGTAGACACAGAAGGAATTTATATCCATGCCTCGTCCCCTCCAGGCAAGGTTCTTTCAGTAATCATCACATTACATGCATTACACATCAAATTGACCATATCTTTTTGCTGTTTTAAACTTTTTATTTTGGGATTATTATAGAGTGACATGCAGTTGCAAGAACTAATAAAGAGATTCCCTTTACTCAGTTTTCTCTAATGATAACATTCCGTGTAACTGTAGTACATAGCACAACCAGGGTATTGACATTGGTACAGGCAGAATACAGAGTCTTTGCATCACCCCAGGGATCCATCATGCCTTTGTATAGACACACTCACTTCCTTCTAATGACCCTCTCTTAACTCCTGGCAACCACTAATCCACTTCCATAATGTTTTTCAAGAATGTTCCATAATGAGGTTGCCTTTTTTGACTCAACAGAATTCTTTGGAAATTCCTTCAGATTGCCATATGTATTAATAGTTTGTTCCTTTCTATTGCTTAGGAGTGTTTCATGATATGGATGTACCACAGTTTGTTTAAACAATCATTTGCAGATGTCTTTCACATCTGTGTTGTTTCTATTTATTGACTATTATGGCTACGGCTGCTATGAAAATTCATGTATAAGTTTTTGTGTCAACAGAAGTCTTCATTTCTTTGGGATAAACATCCAGGAGTATGGTAGTTGCATGTTTACTTTTATTTTAAGAAACTGCCTAAATATTTCCCAGAGTGGTTGTATATTGCTTTTTATACTCTCATTACCAATTTGTGCGTAATCCAGTTTCTCTGTGTCATGGTCAACACTGGGTGGTGTCTCTATTTTTTTTCACTTTAGCCATTCAGTTAGATATCTAGTGATGTCTCATTGTGGTTTTAATTTGTATTCCCCATTGCCTAATGATGTTGAACATCTCATGTGGTTATTTGTGGTTATTTCCAACCTGTATACTCTTTGGTGAAATGTTTCTTCATGACTTTTTTTTTTTTTGAGACTGAGTCTCACTTTCTCACCCAGGCTGGAGTGCAGTGGTGCAATCTCAAATCACTGCACCCTCCATTTCCAGGGTTCAAGTGATTATCCTGCCTCAGCCTCCTGAGTAGCTGGGATTACAGTTGTATGCTACCACGTCCAGCCAATTTTTGTATTTTTAGTAGAGACAGGGTTTCACCATGTTGGCCAGGCTGGTCTTGGACTTCTGACCTTAGGTGATCCACCCACCTTGGCCTCCCAAAGTGCTGGGATTACAGGTGTAAGCCAAGGTGTCTGGCCCATGACTTTTGCCCATTTTGTAATTGGATTTTTTTTTTTTTTTTTTTTTTTACCATGGAGGTTTGAGATGTTTTCATATAATGTAGATATCCATTGTTGGAACTGTGGTTTGCAAATACTCTTGTCCAGTCACTAGCCCATGTTTTTATTGTATTAACAGGGCATATTGCAGAGCAAAAGCTTTTCACTTTAATAATGTTCAATTTATTATTATTTTTTGCCTGTGGAAGTCCAATTGTTCTAGCACCATTTGTTGAAAAGGCTATAATTCCTCCATTGAATTGCTCTTGTACTTTTGTCAAAAATCAATTGGCTTTATCTGGGTAGGCCTATTTCTGCATTCTGTATTCTGTTTCATTTACTTATGTGTCTATTCTGCCACAAGTCTTAGTTACTACAGCCATATAAAAATTCTTGAAATTGAGTAGACTAATTTCTTCCCATGCTCAGAATTGTTTTAGCTATTCTACCTCTTCTGCCTTTCCTTATAAATCTTAGAATAATCTTATCTACAACTATAAAAATCTTGCTAGGATTTTGATAGGAATTGAATTAAACCTGTATATCATTTTGCAGAGGATTAATATCCTTACATTGTGAAGTCTTCTGACCCATGAACATTGTATGTCCTTATTAGTTACTTAGATCTTCTTTGATTTCTTTCATCAGCATTTTGTTGTTTTCAGCATACAAGTCTTCAACATGATGGGCTAGATTTACACTTAAGGGCTTCATGTTTTCTGAGAGATTGTAAATGGTGTTGCATTTTTAATTTTGTTGTTCGTGTGTTTATTGCTAGTATATGAAATATAATTGATGTGTGTTTATCTTGTATTCTAGGATCTTCTGTAAGTTTTTCTGTCATTGTTTTGAAGAGGGAGTTGGGAATTACTGTGTATATAGTCGTGTCATCTGCAAATAGGGTCAGTCTTTTCCCCTAAGATTGGGAACAAGATAAAAATGTCTTCTCTCACCATTCTTGTTTGACATAATGCTAGATGTTCTAGCCAGTACAGTAAGGTAAGAAAATACAAGACATAGAGATTAGAAAGGAAGAAATAAAACTGACCTTATTTGCAGATGTCAGTCTTTCACCACTAATATAATGTTACCTGTGGATTTTTGTAGATACTGATTATGAAGTTGAGAAAGTCTCCTTCTATTCCTATTTCTCTGAGAAATTTTATCAGATGGTTTTATTAAAATATTCTATGAAATTCTTTTTCTGTATTGAGTTATGTGATAATATGATTTTTCTTCTCTATCTGGCTAATAATGTAGTTCCTTTTTAGCTGGCTTAGAAGTCTGGTTCAAAGTATTGGACCAGTCTCGTATCCTTGAAATAAACCCCACTTGGCCATGGTGTAGCATTAATTTTTATATATTGCTGAACTCTATATGCTAATATTTTGCTAGGAATTTTTTGTCTATATTTCTAAAAGATATTATTCTATAGTTCTCTCTCTCTCTTTCTTGTACTGTCTTTGTATGGTTTTGCTATCAGGGTAAAACTATCTTCATAAAATTAATTGGGATGACTCCCCCTCACTGTTTCACTTCTGTTTTCCAGAAAATATTTTGTAGAATTTATGTTAATTCTTTCTTAAATATTTGGTAGAATATTTTAATAAAACCACCTAGGCCTAGAGATTTTATTTTTAAGAGTTTTTAAATTATGAATTTGATGTATTTAATAGGTATAGGATATACAAATTTCCTATTTCTTATTAGATGAGTAGTGGTAATTTGTGTTTTTACAGGAGTCAGTCAGTTTCATCTAAAGTATCAACATAATGTGTGTAGAGTTGGACACAATATTTCTATATTATTTTCTGAGGTCTACAGAGTCTATAGTGATAGCCCATATTTCACTCCTGATATTGACACTGAGTCTTCACTCTTTTTTGTCAGTCTAGCTAGAGGTTTGCCAATTTTATTCATTTTGTCAAAGAATCATTTCTTTGTTTTATTGATTTTTCTTTTTTTTTCTGTTTTTATTGATTTCTACTCTTTGTTATTTCATTTTCTTCTGCTTGCTTTGGATTCTTTTGCTCTTCCTTTTCTAAGTTCTTATGGTGGGAGCTTAAATGATAGATTTGAGAGCTTTCCTCATTCCCAATATATATATTTAGTGCCATAAATTTCCTTCTCAGAACTGCTTTAGTTATGTACCAAAAGTTTTGGTACATCGTATTTTGGTTTTCATTTAGCTCAACATATTTTTGCAATTTCATGTGACAGTTCCTCTTTGACTCATGGGTTACTTAAAAGTGCATTGTTTAGAAAACTGGAGGAATCACGTTACCTGACTTCAAATTGTACTACAGAGCTATAGTAACCCAAACAGCATGGTACTGGACCAATGGAACAGAATAGAAAATCCAGAAATAAATCCACACACCTACAGTGAATTCATTTTTGAAAAAAGGTGCCAAGAACATACACTGGGGAAAAGAAAGGCTCTTCAATAAACAGTGCTGGGAAAACTGGATATCTACATGCAGAATAATGAAACTAGACTCCTATCTCTTGCCATACATAAAAATCAAATCAAAATGGATTAAACAATTAAATCTAAGACTCCAAACTATGCAACTACTACAAGAAAACACTGGGGACACTCTCCAGGACATCAGTGTGGGCAACAATTTCCTGAGTAATACCCCATAAACACAGGCAACCAAAGCAAAAATGGACAAATGGGATTATATCAAGTCAAAAAGCTTCTGCACAGGGCCAAGCGCAGTGGCTCACACCTGTAATCCCAGCACTTTGGACGGCCAAAGTAGGTGGATCACGAGGTCGGCAGATCGAGACCATCCTGGCCAACATGGTGAGACCTCATCTGTAGTAAAATACAAAAAAAAAAAAAAAAAAAATTAGCCTGGTGTGGTGGTATGTGCCTGTTGTTGCAGCTACTTCGGAGGCTGAGGCAGGGGAATCGCTTGAACCCAGAAGGCGGAGGTTGAGGTGAGCCAAGATGGCACCACTGTACTCCAGCCTGGTGACACAGAGAGACTCCATTTCAAAAATAAAATAAAATAAAATAAAATAAAATAAAATAAAATAAAATAAAATAAAATAAAATCTTCTGCATAGCAAAGGAAACAGTCAACAAAGTGAAGAGACAAGCTACAGAATGAGGGAAAATATTTGCAACGTACCCATCTGACAAGGGATTCATAGCCAGAATATATAAGGAGCTCACACAACTCCGTAGGAAAAAAATCAAATAATTCGATCAAAAAAATTGGCAAAAGATTTGAATAGACATTTCTCCAAAAAAGACAAATGGCAAACAGGCATATGAAAAGGGGCTCAACATTACTGATCAACAGAGAAATGCAAATCAAAATTATAATAAGAAATGAGATAACATCTCACCCTAGTTAAAATGTCTTATATCCAAAAGACAAGCAATAACAAATGGTGGTGAGGATGTGGAAGAGAAAAGACCCCTTGTACACAGCTGGTGTTGGTGGGAATGTAAATTAGTATAACTACTATGAAGAACAGTTTGGAGGTTGCTTAAAAAGTTAGAAATAAAGCTACCATGCAATGCAGCAATCCCAGTGCTGGGTATGTATGCAAAAGGAAGAAAATATGCATATTGAAGAGATACCTGCAATTCCATGTTTGTTGCATCACTGCTCACAATAGCTAAGATTTGGAAGTGGCTTAAGTGTCCATCAACAGATAAATAGATAAAGAAAATCTGGTACGTATATACAGTGGAGTACTATTCAGCCATAAAAAAGAATAAGACTCAATCATTTGCAACAACATGGATGGAACTGGAGGTCATTATGTTAAGTAAAATAAGCTAGGCATAGAAAGGCAAACATTGCATGTTCTCACTTATTTGTGGAATCAAAATCAAAAGAATTGAATTTACAGAGATAGAGAGCAGAAGGATGGTTAACAGAGGCTGGGAAGGGGAGTTCAGGGTGGTGGGGAGGTAGGAATGGTTAGTGGGCACAAAAAAAATAGAACAAATGAATAGACCTAGTATTTGATAGCTCAGTAGGGTGACTATAGTCAATAATAATTTAACTGTACATTTTAAAATAACTAAAAGTATAATTGGATTGTTTGTAACAAAAGATAAATGCTTGAAAGGATGGATACACCATTTTCCACGATGTTATTATTATGCATCACACATTTGTATCAAAATATCTCATGTACTCCTCAAATATATACATGTACTATGTACCCATAAAAATGAAAAATAAAAAAATTACAAAAAGACACAATAAAATAAAATTTTTTAAGTGCACTGTTTAGTTTCCAAGTGTTTGGAGATTTTCTGGTTATAATTTTACTACTGATTTCTAGTTTGATTCCATTGTAGCAGAAGGTACTCTTTACAATCCAAATATTTAAAGTTTGTTAAAGTTTGCCTTATAGCCCAGGATATGATTTACATTGGTGTATATTCCATGAGAACTTTAAAAGAATGCATATTCTACTGTTGTTGGGTGGAATGTTATACATGTTGATTATATTCTGTTGGTTGATGACATCGTTGACTTCTTTTATATCCTTGCTGATTTTCTGTCTAGTTTTTAAATCACTTGCTAAAAGAGGAACATTGAAGTCTCAAACTATAATTGTGGGTTTACCTAGTTCTACTTTTAATTGTGTAAGTTGTTGCTTCACATATTTTACAGCTCTGTGGTTGGTACATACATATGTAGGATTGATATGTCTACTTGCAGGATTGACCCTTTTATTATTGTATATATCAGACTCTGTCTCCGGTAATTTTCTTTGCTCTGAATCCTATTTCATTGGATTTTAATATAGTCATCCTTTCTTTCTGTTGGTTAATGCTTTCACAATATGTCTTTTTCCATCCTTTTACATTCTACTTATTTATGTAGTGATATTTGAAGTAAATTTTATAGATGGCCTATAGTTGGGTCATGTTTTAATATATTTTACCAGTCTCTGTCTTTTAATTGGTATATTTAGATCATTTACATTTAATATAATTATTTATATGCTAGGGCTCAAGCCTGCATTTTTGCTTGTTTTCTATGTTTTCTTCTTGTGTTCCTTGTTTATATTTCTCTGTTTGGTTTTTCCTGTCTTCTTGTGTGTTAATTGAACATTTTATGGAATTCATTTTTCATTTATCTGTGGTGCTTTTAAATGTATGGGCTCCTTGGAGGTTACCTTAGGTAATAAGTTAAATAGACTTTTCTCAGTCTACTTGAATCATTTTATCAGTCCAAATGAAAAAGTTTTATCTCCCTTTATATCCTTGTACACTCCCTTGTTTCTAATATAATTTAAATATTTTCTCTACATTTAGAACTACTTCAGATGGTATAATTTTTCATTCAACAATCAAATATAGTTTAGAAAACTCAAGAAGAAAATGAGACTATTGTATTTACCTTTTTTTTTTTTTTTTTTTTTTTTTGCTTACCACGTTCTTTCTTCCTCCCTACATAAATGTAGATTATTGGTACAGTCCCACAAGTTCCTGAGTATCTATAGGTTTTTTGTTTGCTTGTTAGATTTTTTCTTCCAGTATACTTTTTTCTTTGTTGTTAAGATTGGGTGATTTTTTTTTTTTTCTTTTTTTGTGAGGCAGAATCTTGTTCTGTCACCTAGGCTGGAGTGCAGTGGTGCAATCTCAGCTCACTGCAACCTCTACCTCCTGGGTTTAAACAATTCTCCTGCCTCAGCCTCCCAAGTAGCTGGGATTACAGGTGCACACCACCATGCCTGGCTAATTTTTAGTTTTGTATTTTTAGTAGAGACAGGGTTTCACCATGTTGCCCAGGCTGGTTTTGAACTCCTGACGTCAAGTGATCTGCCCATCTTGGCCTCCCAAAATGTTGTGATTACAGGCATGAGCCACTGCACCCGGTCAAGATTGGATGATTTCTATTGTTCTATCTTTCATTTCATGAATTCCTTCCTTGGACTCTTTCATTCTTTTGAGCCCATTTATTAAGCTTATTTCAATTATTGTATTTTGCATTTCTGAAATTTCCATTTTGTTCTCTTTGATAGCTCCTATTTCTTTACTGAGACATTCTATATATATTTCTTTTCCAGTGGGCTCATGATTGCTTGAGTATTTTTATGATGGTTGCTTTAACATCATTGTCAGATAATTGTAACATCTCTGCCACATTTGCTGTTGGCATCTATTGGTTGCCTTTTTTCATTTAATTTGAGGTGTTCCTGATGCTTGGTATGACAAGCAATTTTCTATTGAAACCTGGATATTTTGGGTTATGTTATGAAACTATGAATTTTGTTTAAAAATCCTATTTTAGCTAGCTTTCTTTAATACCATCCAGGTAGGGAAGGGGTTGTGCTATCTTGCTGCTGCCGACTACAAATAAAAGTCCAGGTTTCCAACTTGGGTTCTGTTGCTACACCCAAGGAGTGTGCTTCTTGTTACAGAGATGGAAGTTCTGCTCCCTGCTAGGCCTCCATTGATAAGTCTCTGGTTGGGAGGGGTTGGAGCAACTCATTACTATTCCTTCTGTGTTCTATACTGACAGTAAGTGGGCAGCAGAGTGTGGCTTACTATCCCCTGGTAGGTAATGCTGAGTTGATGTTCAGGCCCCCTACTTGCTCTTCTCTGCTACTACCCCAGCAGAAAAGCTGGGGTTCCTCAGTATACCTAACAAGACTGTAAGCCTAGGCTCCCTACTCTACTTTTGCTGGCATGAGTGGAGGTAGGATTACTGTCTTTTCTGTAGCGTTTGACTGAAGTAGAGCAGTTATTGTCTAAAAGTTTTATGTCTTTCTAGGTTGTTCTTTTCCTACTTGTTTGGCTAGAAAAAGGAGACTTTTGTTTAATCCTCACCTACCTATTGGTATTTCTGGGTTGCTGGTTTTTCAGTTCCAAATAGGAGTGTACAAAGCAAAAAGGAAATTCACGAAACTTACCCTCATGTTGTTCCTTAGGTTCTGAAGTCCCTAGCCAGTTTCCTTCTTTTCTTCATTTTTCAGAGTTTTCTTACATCTGTTTTATATATAACATGCAGGATTTTTAGTTACTTTGTGGGAGGAATAAGGAAAAGTATGTCTAGTCCATGGAAATCCCAGATATATATTTTATCATTGCTGTTGTTGTATCAGAGGGAAATTCCATTTAGGTAAGTGAATTTTCAAAGGAAAACTTTGTTAGGAATACATAAAATAGTGTCAGGAAATATGGGGCCAAATCTGTCAATCCAGCAACATTTTCGATTGTCTTCCTGGCATCATCTTTTTAGGCAGTCCTCATTTTTCAGTGCCTCTTAACTCATGCCTCATAAATGGTCTTCTTCTGGAGTGTGAGTTGTCTGTAACCTCCCTCTGAAACTACATATAAAGTTTTGTAGTTCGTGCATGTACATGTTTATCTGTACAGGTTATAAACTTTTCAAAAGAGTCTCCAAGGGCATATAGCTTCTCAAAGTTAAGACTCTCTGCTCTAGGAACTGTAAATGTTACCCTTTTTCAAAATACCATCACCATGCTTCCCAGGCAGGCCGCTTTGCCTCTCCTGTAGTATGCTTTGGCATTATGCCATTGAGAGGCTCAGATTAATAGTCTAACAAATGTCATTATGGGGATTTTGCTAAGAATGTTTTCCTCTAGAGCATTGTGTCCTCTTCATGAGGGCCCATGGAAGAAATTCCTCTTGAGCATCATCATCAGGAAGAGCTGAGTTCTGCTTTTCTGCTTACAACTGACATTCTTTAAAAAAATTTCTTTCTATTATAGGCAGTTTGCTTCTTGTAGCCATGTGTTTTATCCTTTGTTTTGGCTGTTGGGAAACTCAGATTCACATTTTGAAACACTCAATTGCCACAGTACCGGATCTAATGGTCTGCATTCGATGGTCTGTATGCTAGTTTTTCCCTTATTTTTATTGCCATATTTTCCTCTCATAACCTCCTTAACCAATAACTCTCTTGTGTATTTATTTCATTCTTTTATATTGTGGGCATTTTATACACAATGTCAAATACTTATAGTAACGAGCAAGAATAGATAGATGGATAGACAAATAGACAAGTAGACTTATCCCTTGAGCAGTGTTGAGGTCTAGTCTATCCAAATGCCATGGCCTCAGCACAGTGACCAGGGTGCCTCGTGCTCAGTCATCATTCCCAAGCTGCCTTTTTACTGTTGCACATACCTGCAAGGGAAGAATGCTTGTCCCTAAGCTGAAGTCCTGCCTTACCCCCAAATTCCCAAGTGGGCTTGTTTGAAGGTGGTAAGAAAAGAGGGTACCTCCTTAATAGGGTAGAAAGAGTGATAAGTCCTGGAGCCTACTTCCTGTCTCTTTTCATCAGCACCACCTGCTTGATGGGCTTTCTTCACTATAGACCCTTCGAAAGTAGGTCCAAAATATACAAGTGGAAGAGAGGAAGCTACCCTCTTCCTATGTTTCCTATCTTCTCTCTAGCCAATCACTCTCTCAAGAGATCATTTTATAGGATCATTTTATTCTGTTCCCCACTCCATTGTCAAGGCAGGTGGAGCTGCAGTGCTTTAGGCGATCACGGCTCCTGGCCACTTGCAGCATGAAGGGGAGTTGTGCTCACTTTGGGGCTTCCTGGTTGTCCCCAAAAAACCACGGAGACTTTCACAACTAGCGTATACTATTTCTAGTATTTACACTTGGTGTCTTCCCCTGCAGAATGGAAATAATAAAATATTAACTTCCTCACAGGGTTGAGGTGACCTGTAACTTCAGTGGTAATCTCCACCTGTAATCCTTACCTATGATTCTCACCTTACAGGTGAAGATTTAAATTAGATAATATAATTAAAATTGCTGTGTAAGTTATAAGACATCATAAAGATGCTAGTTTAGATTACTATCATTATTATTATCATTGCCACCAAACACACCTATTTCTTTCCCACCTGGGAGTCTTGGCTCATACTGTTCCTCTGCAGTGTGTCTCTCTCCTGGCCTCAGGTCAGTCTTAGTCTGTCCCTCAAATACTTCTTACTCCCCAGCCTGTCAGTGGAGTGTCAACTTCTCCTCTATCTCATTTGTGTTCTGTAAGACCTTAAAGAACTAAACTAGTGATTCTCAAACCATAGAGCACTTAAGTATCACCACAGAAACTTGTTAAAATAAAGATTCCTGAACTCTACCCTATTTTTTAACAGGAATCTCAGGCATTTCTAATACAGGTGGCCCAACTGCTAAGCCCCTTCCTGACCATAGAGGATCCCATGGTCAGGAAATATAGGTCTTTATGTTAGTTTGCCAGGGCTGCCATAAGGTACAATGGAGGGTGTGGCTTAAACAACAGAAGTTTACCTTCCTTGTGATTCTGGAGGCTGGAAGTCAGAGATCAAGGTGTTGGCAGCGTTGGTTTCTTCTGAGGGCCGTAAGGTCAGGATCTGTTCCAGGCCTCTTTCCTTGGCTTACAGATGACTATCTTCTCCCTGTGTCTCTTTATATCATTTTCCCTCTGTGGTTGTGTCTGTGTCCCAATTTCCTCATTTTATAAGGACACCAATCACACTGGATTAGGAACCACCCTCATGAGCTCATTTCAATGTAATTTCCTTTTTAAAGACCCTATCTCCAAACATGGTCACATTCCCTTATGAGGGGTTAGGACTTCAACATATGAATTCTAAAGGGGCACAATTCAGTCAGTAATAGTTAGACACCCAAGGCAGTATTTCTGAAGACCCTTTGGAAAAATGAACAGGATTTATGTATCTGTTAGGACTGAGTTTAGCTGCAAATAACAGAAAGAAAACAGCAGTAGCTTAACAAAATAGAGGCTATTTTTTTCACCTGACAATAAATCTCAGGTGAAAGTCCAGAACTGGTTGAACAGTCCATGATACCTGCAGGGGACTGGCTCCTTTTATTATTCTGTCCTGGCCTCCTTATCATGTGACTCTCTTTGGAGGCCAGAATATGAATGCTGCATCCATGGGAATCTCTTTTCCATTCTGGTCAGGAAGAAGGGGTAAGAATAAGACAAAAGCTATGTGTCAGCTGAGTCAGCTGTTGTACACCTATTTGTATATACAAATATATTGATAGGTACATATACAACAGACTTCCGGGAAGTACAGCCCGGAGATACTCACTTCTACCTCATTGGCCACTACTAGTTCATATGTCCATGATAGGTAGGAGGGAGGACGTATGCCAGGAGACTCAATAAGACAAAGAGAGATGCAGAAGGTAGCACAGACAAGGTCAGATGTTAGAAATCAGGAAAAGCAAACAAAACAAAACTAGGATAATAGGGAGAAAGAGAAATGCATCCCAGACAAGAGATGTAGGCAATTAGTGTTCTTTGCGAAAGACCTTGCAGCAAGAACTGTGTGTGGCATTCTGGAGCAGCCATTCCTGTAGATCTAACCCTGGAGCAGGGATGACCTTCACCTTTCTATGGGGCTGGATCTGCTTTCCCAGGTGGAAGCAGTTAGTCACTCTCAGCCAGAATGTAATTGCTAATACCACTCCCACTTACTCGTAAATTGTCCTATAGTTAACCTTCATCTGGGCTCCAGCTGGAAGCCCACTTCTGCTGTGCAGAAGGCACACCCAGCAGTGCTGAAATCTCCCCAGGTTTTGTCTCTGGAATTGCTGCTTCTGACAAGATGGTGCTAGACAGGATGAAAAAGAGACTCCCACTTCTGGCACATATTCTTTTCCACGGTGCACGGGGCTAAGATGATTGAGCAATTATACTTTGACAGGTTTATTTCTCAAAATATCCTAGGATGACTTTGTTGCACACAGCCTCCTCTTCAGGAATCATGGGAAGTACTGCTGATGTCTGTCATGATGTTTGGGTGCAGACAGAATGAGAGTGCACAGCAAAGAGGTTAAGTCAGCCCAGAGGCTCCTCTCTGAGTCAGCACCAGGAGCTGAGACAACTTATCCTTTTAGTGGATCACTTCTTTTCAGGTCTCAGATCCATAATCTCCACTACATAGAGGAAACTCTGATACTAAAACTGCAGGTCTGTAAACATACACCTTTTAGATTACCCATCGATTTCTTGAAAGATGCAAAGAAAGATGAGATGGGTCAGTCCTGCAAGTCCCTCTCAATGGCTCCAAGTATGGTAAAACCTAGAATTGTCCTGGACACCATCATTGCTAGCTAAAGAGCCTTTCCTACAAGGTGGGCCCTGTGATGTGAGGTTCAAGGGCAGCAGATGGTTAAAAATGGTTATGCACAAATATTGTCTGCATGAGCACAGATGGATGCCAGATAATGGAGACAACACCATAAAGAGAGGCAGGAAGTTTGAGCTCTGCTGGTTACCTGTGAGAGTCTCCATACCAGTAACTTTGCCTCTCTGGTTTGATCTTGATGCTTCCTTCAGTCTCCAGGAGACTGCCCTTCTTTCACTCACTGAATTTCTGCCTTACATAATTTTTTGGCAATGCCCAACAGGTAAAGGAATGGAGGCAGAGTGAACCTAGGTCAGGCTAAGAGGTTAGATGTGCAATATTAGCTCTGTAAGGACCCAGAAGACAAGAATGCAGGGTTTTGAATCCAAGAGGAAGTGATGAGTACCAATCCAAGGGTGTCGCCAAATGAAAGAGATAGGAATAACTAAACTGTTTTTCCTACTTTTGCACTCAACACTCGAAACGATACTTCATGTCTGACACCAGATGTGTCAGGGTTTACCAAGCAGTTCTCCAATGGACCTCAACTCCTAAAAGTTAGCCCAGTTCTAACATTATCTACCAGCAGTCAGCATCCATTCCCACAAGTTAAGGGCTCAGTTCCACAAGACTGCCTCCACTTCACATGTCTGTTGTGAGTCTCAGGTTGACCAGCTATAAATCAGGGTTCTCCTCTTTAGGTTCAATTAATTTACTAGGATGGCTCACAGAATGTAAAGAAACACCTTATTCTGTGTACTCATTTATTATAAAGGATATCACAAAGGATACAGATGAACAGTCAGATGGAAGAGATGCACAGGGCAAGGTAGGGGAGAAGGGGCGTGGAGCTTCCATGGATACATGTATAGTTCCTTGCACACCTTGGAGCTATCCAAAGTGTGCCACCCTCTAGGAACTTCCATGCATTCAGCAATCCAGAAGCCTTCTGAACTTTGTTCTTTTAGGTTTTGATGGAGGCTTTATTATGTAAGTATGATTGCTTAAATCATTGGCCATTGGTGAGCAATTCAACCTTCAGCCCTTCTTCCCTCCCCAGAGGTTGGAGGGGTGGGACCAATAGTTCCAACCCTCTAATCACATGGCTGGTTCCCGAAGCTATCCAGGAGCCCACCAGGAGTCACCTCATTAAAACAAAAGATGTTCCTATCACCCAGGAAATTCCAAGGGATGCAGGGGCTCTGTGTTACAAGATCCTGTCTCTCAGGAAATTACAAAGGTCTTAGGAGCTCTGTGTCAGGATGTGGGGCCAAAGGCCAAATATTAGAATAAAAGATCTCCAAGTTTCCCTACCCATAAGAGTTTTAGGAGCTCTATGTCAAGAACTGGACAGCGACATATATATATATATATATATATATATATTTCTTATTATTTCACACCGAGGGACTCACGTGAGGCAGACAAGTTGTTACAGACAGATCTCAGCCTGATCTGTCTGAGGCCCAGATCTCAACCTGACATCAAGCACTGGTGCTTCTGGACTTAGGGAAGTGGAAGTGCCAAGGCAGCCGGAGAGCATCAAAGGAGTGGGGCACAGGCTCCCAGGTCTGGAAGGGTGGCTGACACTGAGACCCCCAGGTGGGGAGGCACGCCAGGTTGAAAGGGCCTGCCTGATAAAGCGTTTCCCTAAAAACCACCAAGGTCAAGGGTCCTAAAATTCAAATGTCTCCAGGGGCAAGGCAAGTAATAAAACAATAGCTAGGACGTCCTTACAGTAAAGCAAGCTAGGTTCAGGAAAAAATTTCTTGAGTACTCTATTTGGAAATTAAGCAGCAACATTGTTTCACTTCCTTCAAAAAAACATATTCTTGCCCCTGGATTGAGATCTTTGCTTTCTAGGTCTATTTTTGTTTTCCCACTTCTAATAGAGATTGTGGAGACGAAAGCGTACATGTTCTTTGAAAAAATGGCAAATCCTGTTGGCCTCTTTCCACAAGTAGTGAGGATCAAATTGTAGAGTATGTCCCCTGACGTATACTGTTTAAAGGAAGCTGACTGCTGTTACTCCACACCTCTAGACTGCCATTATGTTGAACATCGGCTCAATACTGTCAGACCTTCAGATGTTTTTAAGAAAGTCAAAATCCGGATTTTTAGCTGAAATCTCCAAATATTTAAATGTTGGCTTTTAAGAAAAAAAAGTCATAAAATACACACAAAATATGTCAGTCAGCTACAAGTGTGTGACTTCTATCGTGGAGGGAGGCAGTGGCTTTGGCTTTTAGGAACTGGGGAGTGGCCAAGGTAGGGGTTGAAGCTGATTACTGATTTGTCCTAAAAGAACAGATTGCATAAAATTACCTAGATTCTATAGCATCCATTGCTTGATATATTCAGAAGGCATAGCTTTTTGCAGGCACCCCTCAGTACAGCAGGCAGTATTGACAGGTGCCTGCAGACATAAGCTGCCTGGCATCCACAAGAATTTCCCATGTGTATGTAAGGATTGGGTGGTAGAAAGTAAAACATTTTGACATTAGGCTGAGCTTCTCTATTTTCCAATATACTATGCATACTATTCCCCCTAGGAATCAATGCTTATGAATTCATTAATTCCTGGAGACTGTGATATTTGCCGGAATACAAAAAACAATCAGCTCCAACCAGAACATAAATTGCAATGTAGAAAAACTTTTGTAATTTAATTTTCAAGTGAATATAAAGAGGTTGTACGTGACTATAGCTTCAATGCACTAATAATAGGATGCAAATGAGATAGGAACATATTCATTCTCAGGAGGTGGGCAGGAGGGGTGGTGAGGGAGAGACAGCTTGCTGGTTGGAAGAAAGGCCACCTCTGTCCATTCTGTATCTATGTAAAGCCAATAAAAGGAAAGTGAACCAAGTGTCTAGGCTATTAATTACTGACTTAATATTAAGATGCAGATTTCCCACTGCTGAGATCCAACTTGGCTAATTTAATAGTAAGAAACTGTGCCTGTGTTTGTGTACGTGCACAGGTACACTGTGATGTGTGGAGACATCCAGCCACCTTTGCAGGCAGCTGAGCAAACTGTGCTCTGCTGGCTTAGCGTGTGTCTACATGGGCAATCCTGCTTGTTCATTTATATTGAAGACTCATTAGAGCAGTCAAACAACTCTGGATTTGCTTTTCCTGAGCAATTGAACTGAGCAGATAAATTAAATCTGTATTTAGGCTCAATGTAGGATAAGCCATCCCTTCCCTTCTTTTAAGGACTGTCTAAGAAAAGACAGTCCTTAAAGAAATAAGAACACAGCACTCTGAGGTCCTTGGAGACTCTGCTGGGTATCCCACTGTGCAAGGCAAGTCATGCTGAGGGCCCGATGGTGAGGACACTACCTTCCTACTCTGCTCTCTCTCAGACATCTCTGCACCCTGGCTCCCGGGCATCCAGGCTCCGAGGGGATATGGTCATGCTTTGTCCTTTTAAGGAAAAATCCATGTTACAGGAACACAGGCTTGGTAGAAGCTTTCAGGGCCATACTCTCACTTTATGATGCAAAAAACTGAGGGGAGAATGGGTGAGAGCGAGACAGCGAGAGAGCGAGAGCGAGCAAGCTTGTCCAACATCAACTCCTCAATCTAAGGCTTCTGATTTCAAGCTAGCTCTGTTTCCCAAGCTGCTGTCCCTTAAGAAATCTGTTCCTGGCATGCCCCACTTTGGCTCTCTAGGGTCACGTCCACTCTAGGTTGAAATGTTTGGACTTTTGGGGGACTTTTCAGTCTCCTCTAGTCTTTGGAGAACATATGCTTCCAACCTTTCTTTCTAAGAATCATCCAGGAGGCTGGGTCTTCTGAGCTGCTTCAGGGGGCATGCAGAGTGTGGGGTAGGCTCAGTCCTACCATGGGGCCCAGTGGGGTGATGCATGAGCCCCTCCCCTCCAGAGTCGTTTAGAGGAGATGACACTGTTGCTGGGGAAAATGTTTCTTGCACCTCTTTCCAGTAACAACTCCTTTACCCACCCACAACTTCACCACTTTTAGCTCCCCTTCTTTCTGGAAGAGGAAAGTGCTTTCTTCTTTGTGGATAAATCTAGTGTCGCTTGATTAATACATCAGCAATCGACCAGGATGACAGATGTACATAGTGGCTAAAGATGCAGCTGCTGGTGTCAGACCCAGTTTGAGTTCTAGCTCTGACACTTATTAGCTGTGTGACCCCAGCTAAGTTACTTAGTGTCTTTGAATCTATTTTTCTAGACATAACATTGGAAGTGATAATATTCTTGGTTGCTATGAGGATTAAATGCGATAATGCATGTAAAGTACTTAGAATAGTGCCTGGCACATAGTAAGCATCCTGTAAACATTCCTTACGAATACTATTACTATATCTTATTAGTATACTCTCCTCTGCAGAAGCACCTGCATTTTCAGAGAGACCTGTCTGTGAGAAGGTGATGCTTAACTCAACAGGATGCCACACCTGATCATGAGCAGTTGGGTATCAGGCACCATCAGGAGGTCTTTATTTTGGAGGAGAGACTTATTGGAGCACCTCAACATTCTCCCACACTGGATCCCTGGCATTACTCTGTACATAAGGCCAGGCAAGCCAAGACGGCAGATGCCTAGCAAATGGGCCAGAGTTGGCCGTCTTTGTGAACCACAAACAAAGTAGCCCAAGAGGGAGAAGTCACAGCAACAGAGAGCTTGGCTGGGAGTTTCTCGGGAAGCTGGAGGCAGCCCAGGGCCTCGTGTTCCTAGAGCTTTCCGCCTCTCTTTCCTGGATTTTTTCCAGCCCTAAGCGGTTCTATTTTTCAGCTTTGGCTCTTGCCTGACATTTGAAGGATGAGCTTTTAACGATACTAAATTAATAACGGTTATAGAGTGTATTTGAGAAGATCATAAAAAAATCAGTAATGTCATCATGTCAAGCAAAGTTTCTGATGGTTTTTTTAAATTATGCATGTCTTTTATTTTTTTCCCTTCCAACATTGATCCAGAGCTTTCAGAGGGACATTAATCTACCTGACCACATCAGAATCCTTAATTATTCGCGTCCAGCAATATATCTAATTCTACAGAAATTCCCCATGGACTTGCCATTGTTGACGTGGAACCCGGCAGCTCAGCTCTGTCCATCTGCTCACCAAGCCCAGCCCCTCACACCCCTCAAAGACACAAGCTACCTCCCTGACTTCTTCTCTGCTTTGACACACAGATGCCCAAGCTTACAATTCAGGGAAGTATAATTTCTCCTAGTGTGATAACTGTAGAGGCGATTTCCCCCTTGCGGAAGGACAAACTGGGGCTGAGGAAAGGATAGTAAACTTAGGGATTGTGAGCCCTCATCTGCAGGACTCTGGAGCTGGAGACCTTGAGCAAGTTGTTCAGACTTCCGCCTCTGCTTGTGCCTTAGTCAAATGAACTCTGTGGCTGCCTCACTGACCTCAGTGCTGATGAGAGCCAATTAAAGTCATGGAAAGCCCATTTTAGACCAGCAGAGCCAGGGAAGTGCAAAAGAATAAAGAAAATACTAACGCTGGTAATGACAGTCATGAGAATATGAGATAGAGTCACTCAGTGGCCGGTAAGGCCTTTGCTGGAGAGAGTGGAAGCCTCTCCCAGTTACTGAGAGGGGCAGACAAGAGTGCAGAGCTTCATTGCATAGGCGTCTTTTAGTGGAGAAAACAGTTACTATGGTGATGCTTTGTAAAGCCTTCATGGGGCAGCTTTCCAATGCTCTCAAGTGGGTAGGGAGGGAGGCTAGGGCAGAACAGTTCAAATTGGCAGTGTGAGTGAGCTTAGATGCCCCATTCCTCTGTCCTCCACAAGGCGATGGGCAGGACAGGTAGGATCTCAAAATCGGTTCCATTCTGTGTCTCTGTCTCTCTCCTCTCTGGCTTACTCTGTATCTCCTCCCTTTTCCTCTCCCTCCTGTTCTCTTCTCCTTTCTTCCTCCCTCCTTTTCTCCAGTCAACACATGATCTGCTAAGTGTCACTCAACAAGCATTCTAGTGAGAGTTTTGACTGTGTCATTTGAGGACTGGAAATCACTGCTGCCGTTAGGGAGGCTTGGAGTCTAGTTCAGAAGAGAGGACTCATTCAGGGCTACTAGGGAGGGGTGAAGGATTCACCGCCTCAATTTCAGGAACCCACATTTGTCAGGGCATGTTTCTAAAATTATTTTTTACTATGACCTCAAAAAAAAAAAAACCTCTGTGAAACAAACAGTCAAGAGGTTTTGGGAATTTGGGTAGTTAACTCTAGAAGAGTTGAATTTGGACCCTCTGATATGGTTTGGCTGTGTCCCACCCAAATCTCATCTTGAATTGTAGCTCCCATAATTCCCATATGCTGTGGGAGGGACCTTGTGGGAGATAATTGAATCATGAGGGCAGTTTCCCCCATACTGCTCTCATAGTAGTGAATAAGTCTGACAAGATCTGATGGTTTTATAAGGGATTTCCCCTTTCGCTTGTCTTTCTCTCTTGCCTGCCACCATGTAAGGCATGACTTTGCTCCTCCTCACCTTCTGCCATGATTGTGAGGCCTCCCTAGTCATGTGGAACTGTGAGTTCATTAAACCTCTTTTTCTTATAAATTACCCAGTCTGGGGTATGTCTTCATCAGCAGCATGAAAACAGACTAATACACCCTCCAACAGGAGGGGAAGGCAGGCATTACTTGGTAGATGGGGAACTGACTACAAGCAAGGAAATGGTTGGTGCTGCCTGGGCCCATGCATCAGTGGACTGGAAGGCAGGAAGGAGAGAGGCTTTTATGGGGGCAGGGGAGGCAGGTCACCACGAAGAACCACTCAAATGTTCTCACCCTAGCCCAAGGTCAACAACTCATTTCCTAGTTCCTAGAATCCATATTCAGTATATTCTTGTAAGTGAATGAAAGAATAAATGCATGCAGGAAAGGCTGCCTTGAATAAAAGAGGTAGAACAGTGGAAGTACAAGAATTCGAAAAGCACAGCCATCCAAGGGCCGAAAAGTATTGTAGCTCTAGTAGGAGAAGTTTAATAGGGAGAGATGGCAACGCTAGCCCCACAATCGTGCCCATATCAACCCATGTTCATAGGAGAAACTGACCAGCAGTTGAAATTCCAATTCTGACTGGGGAGCTTAAAAAAATATTGATCTTAGCCTCAGTGACTGATTTAATTGGTCTGGGGTGTGGACTGGACTTTGGACATTTTAATAGTTCTCCAGTGATCCTAATGAACAGATAGATAGATTTGGGAATCATCAGTTCAGGAAGAAAATAAGACTAATTGAAACTAGGGTTTGTACTGGGAAGCCATGGTAGGGTGTTTTATTGAGTGACTTATAATAAACCCATTTTCTCAAGAAAATTATAGGTCTGGGAATGTAGGTTTGTTCTGAAAGGAAATGAGAAGTGTCAGCAAATAAATGGGTTCCACGTGTACAGCTAAGTTCCCGTGAAATCCTCTAAGGTCAGTCACATCCTTATATAATCCTAGGCTGGAGTCACAAGGTCAAGTCTCAGCCCTGTAAGGAGCCATAAGACTGCAAGTTAGCAAATGTTAACTCTTATTGCACACCTACTCTCTCAGACTCAGAGAGGGCCAAATCCACTCACACTATATATATTAATGTTCCCAGAAACCCTTAAAGGTGGGAACTCCAGAGTAGACATACTAGAGGCAGTGGAGTTCCAGTTTAGATGTCACTTCCTTAGAGGGACTTCCCTGAAGTCCAGAGAAGTCTTGCTTCAGAATTCTCACTGCTTTCCACTTGCTGAGAGCAATCTGCTAATGACTTCTAATTACCATGTTGTTGCCATCCTCATTGGAGTCCATGAGTGGAGAAAGCCGTGTGTTTTCTTCAACCTCATCTTGGTATCTCTGCTGCCTGACGTAAGGCTTGGCTTCGAGTAGTGGCTCTCTAAGCCTATATAAAGAGGAAGGCTACAAATAAATGAATTAATGAATAGATGAATGATTATATAGTTCCATGCACTGGCACGAATAGGAAGAGAAGCTATTCGGTTGGTATGGAACATATTCCTGGTGTCACAAATGACACTACAGGGGCAGCCACAGGGTAAAACTAAGCCGAATGAGTTTGTATCCAATGTGCCATTCTTTCCCATGAGTCCCTGACAGCCCCATCTTCCAGTCAGCACTACAGGGCCTTGTGGGTAAAGAAATGCACTTTGCTGCCCCAGGGGAGTGAGTCTGAGGCTCTTCAGGCAGCAGCTGGATTTGAAGGCTTTCTTTTCTGCTCTGGGATTAGGGGACCAAAGGACCCTGGACCACAGACTTTAAGGAGGCCCTCACTCTCAGGTGCTCACCCTGCCCTCGCATGCCCCTGAGGGCCAGCGCCTCCTTTAAGTCCTGCCTCACAGGCACCTGTCCTTTCTCACCCTAGTCCAGGCCTTGCTATGACTTCATAAAGAGCACACAGGACTTGGAGCCAAATGAACCTGGTTGCAGTGAGAGGTTTCAGCCCCCATCAGCCAAATGCTCTTGAGCAGGCCTCATCTGGAAAATAATGACTGTGTCTCAAAGGATGACGAAGAGGAATAAATGAGCAATGTGTTTCAATGAGACAGTATCGGTGAGTGAGTCTAATGCTATTTGAACTGGTTTATCAGTTCCATCGCATGCAGTATCCCTCTCGCCCCAGCCGTTCAAGAGGAGCAGCCACTACGATGGGTGGCAGGTGAGGGAGGGTCTGGGAGAGTCGCTGTTCCTAGTGGTGGCTGCGCTGGTCACCGTAGCAGTGCTCCATGTCCAGCCAGCACTTCTGACTGAAAGACCAACCACCTTCCTTTCTCTTACGGCATTCTGTAGTTCTGTCTGTCGCTTGCCAGGAACCTCCTGTCCCACCCACTTTGCCAGGTCTCTGGTTTCTAATGTAGGCTCCATCCTTTCTCCATTTAGCAGCAGAAGTGGGGCACGGCTTGGCGGCAGGGGTGGGTGCTGTGGCACTTCCAGTTCCACAGTCAGCTGTGGACCTGAGCTTTGCAAACTGCCAGGGGATAGTTCATTCACCAGCATTGAGTGGAACCATGACTGGCCACTCATCCGGTCACCATTGTCCAACTGCCGGCCCAGGCCGGTGCTGCAAGATCATCATCACCCCAGAACAAGAGGCATTTCCCTCTCTAACACCTCCCATCATCAGTGGTGTGCAGCAGCTCCACACTGCTGCCCATTTTCCCCTCTTAGAGTTTCCTTGCTGCCCTTCATATATTTGGTGATTTTTGCAGATAGTCCCAATTTCAAATACTCTCTCCCTCTGGAGCAAAGCTTGGCGAGCTCCTCACTCAACCCATCTTCTCCTTCATTTTGTTCATGCTGTCCCTTAGCATGGAGTGGCCCTAGCTCCCATCTGCCAAAGCTAGCAGATGCTGTCGGTGTCCCATTCACATCCCCTCGGGCTACCTGCCCGCAGTCCTCAGCTCTCTGTGTCTCTTGGCCTGAGAACATTCTCTGGCCAAGGGAATGTCAGAAAGTTCCTGACAGGAAGCACTGTCAATTCTATGTGGCACTGGAATGAGCAGATATACACCGCAGCTTCCTGGCCCCTCAGCAGGGTTGAGCCCAGCTGCAAACAAACAGGGGTGGCTTGCACAACAATGGACCCTTTCTGGGCCTTGCTGCCTGTCCTGACTCATATTCTCACTCTCTCCCTTGTGCTTGATGAGAACATCTGCGCATCTCTCAGGCAAACTCCTTTTGCCCAGCCTTTGTCTGCCTCTGGAGGCATTGAGGCTGGAACACCCAGGATGCTCATCCTCCTGGACCCATCGCAGCCTCAGCTCCTCCATGGCCTCATCTACGGGCCTTTCCCACATCCTGTGCCTCCTCCTTACACCAGCATGTCACTGAGACAGCGCAGTCTAAACTGTGCTTACATCCTGCTTCGGGTTACCTTGATGTTATTCTCCAGCTGGGAGGGGCCCACAACTTCTGCTCCTTTGGAATCCCCCAGCACTGGCACTGGCAGTGTATACATGGGGCCTGGGAACACCTTGATTGTAGGTATTCATGGAGGCACAATGCCCTGCTTAGGAGAAAGGCAATGGTGTATCTTTTCATCTGAATAGGACTTGACAGTTTAAAAGCATTATTACATTTACTTGCTACCGCCTTTGATTCCAACAAAGCACAAGTTTGTTACTTTTCTCATGTGAAAAGTGAGGTGGATGAAGCTGGAGGGGTGGTGAGTTCCTCATGGTCACATAGCTAAGTGTTTAGAAGCATGTCGTGAGCTCTTCCCCTCCAAACCTTGCCTCATTCCACGGTGCTGGCTGCTCCCATCTCATATGCAGATGGTTACACTGGGTCCTCACGATGACTCTGCAAGGCTGCTATTATTACACTCATTCTGCAGATGAGAAAATTGTGACTCAGAGTATAAATTGCTAAAAGACACTCGATCAGAAAGTGGCAGCAGTAAGACTTAAAACTCGGGGACTATGCTCCTATGTGGGAGAGAGAGTATGAGAGAAGCCTTCCCCTGATTCCTTCACCAGCCCTGCTTGTTGCTTTTCTAATGGTTTTGCACATGCACGGAGGGGGTTGGAAAAGGAAAAAGTGAATGTGACAATGTAGTCACTCTTTTTTGGAGACGAAGAAGTCTCGCTCTGTTGCCCAGGGTGGAGTGCGGTGGTGTGATCTCAGCTCACTGCAGCCCCTGCCTCCCAGGTTCAAGGAATTATCCTGCCTCAGTCTCCTGAGTAGCTGAGACTACAGGCGTGTGCCACCACACTTGGCTAATTTTTGTATTTTTAGTAGAGATGAGGTTTCACCATGGTGGTCAGGCTGGTCTTGAACTCCTGACCTCGTGATCTGCCTGCCTCAGCCTCCCAAAGTGCTGGGATTACAGGTATGAGCCACCGCGTCCGGCCAACAATGTAGTCACTCTTAATCCCCAAAATCGGTTCTTCCGGCTGGCTTTATGACGCCACGGTGTTTCAAACTTTTACTTTCTCTCTCTTCCAACACAACATGGCTTGTGGGTTCTGCATTTCTCCCTCCCCCACAAATTTCTACCATGCCTAAGACTGAACAGGTGCTTTCCATTATTGCTGAGTTTGCAAAAGCAGACCTCCCCTGTGGGACTGGCAGCAAGTGTTCCAGCCCCACCCCTGCAGGACATGATACTCACAATTCTCATCCACGATGGAGGAGCATTTCAAGCATTTTTTCTTTTTTGAGATGGAGCCTCACTCTCTCGCCCAGGCTGGAATGCAGTGGTGTGATCTTGGCTCACTGCACTCCCACCTTTCAGGCTCAAGAGATTCTCCTGCCTCAGCCTCCTGAGTAGCTGGGATTACAGGCACCTGCCAGCATACCCAGCTAATTTTTGCATTTTTAGTAAAGATGGAGTTTCACCATGTTGGCCAGGCTGGTCTTCATCAAGGTATTTTTGTTGCTTATACCTCTGTGTAAGTATCAGAGCCTTTCTTGGAAACAGTGACAGGAGTAGGCATTGAGGAAAGACAAAGGACTTGACTTCACATTTTTGTTTTGTTTGGTTCCCAGTAGGGTAGATAGGCAGTGAATGTAATTTGCCAATGAACTCTTTGATGAAAGCACTTAGCCACTGTTTGCTTGGCATGCCCAGAATTTAATCTTTTTTTTTCCTTAAAACTCCATATGGAATAATCCAGAGACCAATCAATTAGAGAAGTGTTTTCCACTGTAGTGGAAAAAGTATTTGAAGTCAGCTCAGCTGACTTGATCTCTACAATTTGTTCACTGACTTTATTATTTACTCAATGTGTGAGTCAAGGTAGGTCACTTAACCTTTGTGAGGCTCCACACCCTCATTGATAAGATGACAATAGCATAAAAAAGATTACAGCTGGTATAGAGTTGGTTCTTGACACATATTTGTTACAGGAATGAATGAATGAATTTCAAGGTTAAGAGTATTAAATGAGATAAATGTGGGTGAAATGCTGTAGATTGGCAACTCATCAATGTTTTTCTTTCAGTCTGGTTTAGAAAGCTAAAAGTCGGTAGGTACCACTGAAGGAGATGTTTATGTGGGGAGAGGATGTATGTGGGTTGGGGGTAGGGTGGAAGAGACTGCTGCAAGTGCTAAGTTCTGGAGGAAGAAGCCAGGTGGGAAATCACCTCTCATGGCCTTTAATGGCCTCTCCAGCCAGTGTCCCCAGCTCTGGCTGTCACTTCTTGACAGCCCCAAAAAATCCTAGGGTGAAAAGTTGTTTACATGACAACACTCCATCCCAAGTAAGAGATCCAGGCAGTCACCTTCTCTTCTTCCCTCCCCTTTCAAGCATCAAGTGGGGAGAAATCAGGTTTCTGTGTTCTCTCTCCCAGGAGGTAGCTGTGGCACAGGAAGGAGAGAGGGGATGCAGAGATCCTGAGTGGAGGCATTTCTTTGAGCTACTGACCTCCTGATTCCATTGCACAGGAGGCACAGCCAGAACGTCCATGACTGTAGCTTGGTCCCCATCGGGCTGGGTCTGAAGTAGCCATGGACACACTGTCTTCTCCATCTTCCACCCATATGGCAGCTGCTGTGGGGAGGGGGGTACCACGCCACTCCCATCTCATCTATTTGGTCTCATCCCAAGTGTCACTTCCTCTTGGAAGTCTTTCCTGACAGCCCCTCCTCCAACAGACTAAGGGGCTCTGGTCACGAGCATCCATAGCTGCTGATGGCCCCTTTCCATGGTTTGTAAGGACACTTTGACTGCACTTTTAAGCAAGAAACTTGTCTGCCTAATTTACAGCTGAAATCCTGGTGTCCAGCACAGTGCCTGGTACCTAGTAAGTTCTTAGAGCATGCTTGTGGAGCAACGAGGTCTGTAAATGCATCTACCACTCCTTCCCATCACACAGTCAGGATCACAGAAGGGACCATGTATCAGGAGTTAATGACAGTCGTCTCCAAAATGAACCTACAACCCACTCACTTGTAGATTACTTACGCTCTTGGTGACCTCAAAAGAATATTAGGGGAGTAAAGTGGTACAGTGTCTCTACAACATGAAGCTATTGGGTAATATTGCTACAGATTGAAAGTTTTCTCATGGTGTTTCTTTCAATCCAGTTCTTAAGATCTATGAGTAGCTAATATCAATTAATGTTTATTAAGAATTTATAATGGACTAGGCAGTGTGATAAATGCCTTCTGTGCATCATCCTCATTACATTGTCACAGTGACAATGACACGGAAGCACTACAGTATTTTCCCATTTTACAGATGAAGCTCCCGGGGCTTAGAGAGGTTAAATAACTTGCCTTCTCCCACCAGATCTTACATTCATGGAGCTTTCCCCTATCCAGAGGCACAGTGACCGAGATTGCCTTTTGAGTATCTTCAATGGCTGTACCTCTGTTCAAAGCAAGATTTATTGACGGAGCTAATCAATTAAGCAATCGTTATTTATTGAGTCCCTCGTGAGTTATTCAATATTTATTGAGCAGTCTCCATGTAGCTAGCTAGCACTTGTTCAATGAGCCATGGAGGATACAAGCGAGGTGTAGGATTCAGCCTTCATCTTCAGGGAGCTTGAAATCTAGCAGGGGATCGGAGGGGGGAGGTGGACAATATTAAATTACATGAAGAAATAAGTACTCACATTTTACATCGATCAGTGCAAATGACATATTATATTCAAAGAAAGAGAGGAGACAGAGCCTCTCTAGTATTAAATATAGTGTAAGATTCATGAAAACGGTGGGGCTTAGTATCCTTCAGAAGCAGGTAGCAGTAGGCTAGGAAAAGGGTGGAGAAGAAGGTATTTCAGATGGGAAAAAGCAGCATAGGCAAAAACACAGAATGCTCATGGGATGTTTCAGCACTTAGAGAGATCCCACTAAATGGAGGGTGCTAGCTAGAGAGTTGTTCTTACAGAAAACATTAAATACAAGAACCACAGGCTTGCTTCCTCAGCACCCAGCATGGTGCCTAACACCGAGTAAGCACTCCTTATGTGTTTGTTGAACTGAGCTCATAAAAAAAAATTAAAACAAATAAAGGACACAGTCAGTCCCTGACCTGTACCAGGAACTCAGCATCTCGTAGAATGGAAAACACATGTATGTATCTACTTATGGCACAAATGAAAAGTGCTAAGTGCTGTTGGTACTATGATAAAAAAATTTTTTCTCAGAGTAGGTAATATAATTCCCCCTCTTTGTAAAGCATCTAGAAGTGCTGATAAAATTCAGAAAAGTAACCACATTTTTTAATGCATGCACTGAATTGACAAGAGAACAAGAGAAATCCCTAGAAGTAAAAAATGAAGTGAAAACACAAATCTGAGAATTGGAAGGAGGACAGTTTGGTGAATTTGGATGAATTTAAGTACAATGATGCTCCCTCCCTAAAAAATTCCACTTGCCAGCAGAGGCAGCCCATTCTCCTCTACGCAAAACACCAGCTTATCCTTGCTTAAAGACCAGCTAAAGACCTCACCTACAGCAGTCATGAAGCTATGCTAAAGTCTTGGGCTTCTGCCAATCCCCAGTGATTGGAACCTCTATTTCCATAGTTGTACAGAGGCAAGAGGCGAAATCTGGATCCATGCAAGGGGCTGAGGGAGATGAGTTAGAGACCTCCACACAAAGCCAAGACATTGAGTGATCTCACCCCCAACGTAAGATGGGCTACACCCATGCTGTGTGGGGTGGCCTCTGATCTCCATCAGGCCTTGCTCTAATTGGTGGGCCACAGTACTGTCTGTCTGTGATCTTCGGGGATAAGTGTCAGCTCTCAGCGAATATTTAGTAATCTACCCCACCAAAGGCTGGTTAGTTCCCTTTCTTCCATGCACACAAGTCCTAATAAATGGCTATAGGTCTCTGTGGGTGAAGTTTAGGAAATCAAATATGCAGCATAAACTTGCATCAGGGTTGTAGAGTCCTTCCTTAGAGTCACCTAGTCTTTCCTTTAATCAAGAGTCTCTGGGTTGGTGAACTGCCTCAGTTCTTAGAATAAGGCGAAGGGCCACAACTTTTGGTGCCAAGATTTGGGTCATGGGTCTTAGAACTTTTTCAGTTCTTTATATCAAGTAAAACTTCACTTTCAGCCCTAGAGACTGAGTTAGTAACAAACTAATTTCATTGCTAAGCATTCCACAAATGAATTACGTTCTACCAAAGACTCCTTTGAAGTCTACCCATTATGATTACCATAAGTCAACCTTAGAGATGTTAAATAACTTGCCCTCTCTCATCAAAGAAGGTTATTTAATGTTTGTGAGCCCCAAGAGCTTCATCTGTAAAATGGGAAAATACTGTAGCGCTTCCCTCTGATTGTCACTGTGACAATGCAATGAGGAGGATGCACAGAAAGCATTTTTCAGAAGGCTTAGTGCATTATAAATGCTTAACAAATATTCATTGATATTAGCTGCTCATTAGGCCCTACTGCATTTTTTTCAGCAAAGGTGCCCACTGTGGTTTTGTTGGTTAAGGGCTGCCCCTCGGCTTCTGGCATCACTGGGTACCATCATCCCCATCAAAATTACAGAACCATCTATCATGACCCATCCTTCCTACAGAGAACAGGCATTATAGAGCTTTTCAAAGAGGCTGGCTTCCCCTTCACCAATCTATTTCCCAGTGTGTTTGTTTTGTTTTATTGTAGCTGTTTGGTTTTTATTTCTTTGTTTGCTTTTTGGTGAAGAAAGTGTCCCCTGAGTCCTCCAGGGAGATATTACAGTGAGGATGAGTGGGTCTCACATGCGACACATCCACTCCAATTTGCCCATGTCTTTTCAGAGGTTGGATTTC
This sequence comes from Homo sapiens, assembly GCF_000001405.40. Lineage (NCBI taxonomy): Eukaryota > Metazoa > Chordata > Mammalia > Primates > Hominidae > Homo > Homo sapiens. The sequence goes on along the minus strand of NC_000008.11, from coordinate 20,966,565 downwards.
TTCCTCTATATTATGCCGAAGAAATGTGGCTTCATCATTTACTGTAATTCCACTGATTCCAAGTTGCAATCAACATTCCAAGCACACTGTTAGGGCACTTCTCAGCTGTTCTAGCTAACACACCAAATCTAGACTCTTCATTAAGTGCACTCATATCAATAAATTTGACTCAATTCTACACAGTGTTTCTTTTTCTCTGATCTGGCACTCCTGAAATCTATTGCCACACATACTCCTGTTTTTTCTTTATTTTATTTTTTATTGTTTGTTTGAATTTATTGTTTGAATTAGCTCGACCTTGTCATTCTTTCACTATGTAAAATAACAACCATTTTCCTGAGCCCTGTAGGCAATGGGGAGCGGTGAAGGTGGGTCTTAAAAGACATCAATATACTATGCAAGGTTACTGCTTCAGTGGGGGTTTTTAGCTGACCTTTAAGCAAGGATAGGCTGATGTTTCGGGTAGAGGACAATGGGCTGCTTCTGCTGGTAACTGGAATTTTTTAAGGAGGGAGCATCTTGGTACTTAAGTTCATCCAAATTGACCAAAATATCCACCTGCCAAAGCTCATGTCCCATTCTTCCTTAATCAGTGCCCTCACTTTTACATAAGAAACTTAGAACAGTCATAAATTCAATTTGTGTAGTAATTCTCAAACTACAAGATCAAATTTTGCAATGAATTTTTAGGTACCTTGGTTATATTGCTATGGTAGATGAGATAATATTTTAGTGCAATTATAGAAACATCTGGTTTCCTGACATTACCTTGAATGAGAATTTAAAGGACTGAGCTTGTCATTTTCTTTCTCTAAGCTTTTCGGGACAGTCATATGTATTCAGCCCACCCTACCATCCTTGAAGTTCTCATTTATTATGAAAGTCTATTAAGTAACCAAGAAGTTGGGTCTTCATAGCCTTGCCTTAAGTAGTAGTTCATTTCAAGAATTACAGGTGTTCATCAAGAGACCATAAAGAAATTCAAAAAGCAAGCCAGAACTGTGAGAAGATGTTTGCTACACAAACAGAAAGGGTTAGTATTCAGAATATATAAAGAACTTTTATGAATCTATAAGAAATCAGGACAAAGATATGACGAGGCATTTAACATAAAAACACTGGTACAGCCAAGACAATTATAATAAAGATACTTATTCACAATAGTTATTAGAGGAATGGAAATCAAAACATCTACCATTTAGTGCCATCAAAATCACACACAGAATTTCCTGAGTCTGACAATATCAAATATCAGCAAGGCAATGGAATTTTCATACACCAGAGGTGACAGTGTAAATTAGTCCAACTCCTTGGAAAATAATGTTTTCTGACAAAGCATAAAATGCAAATACTCTACCAGCCAGCAAATCCACTTCAGGAGAAACTCTTGAACATCTGCAAGTATGATTATAACAGAAATATTTATAATAGTAAATATTTGGGGGGAAAAATCTACCAACAGAAGAAGGTATAAATACAGTGTGGCAATGTATAATAAGTGCAAAAGAATTAACCAGAGCTCCCTCTATTAACATAGGTGACCAATGCAATATACTTGGGAGGGAAAAAGCTTGCAAAGCGTGATTCAATTTATAAGACATTCATAGATATGAAAATCCAACAATACATACTTTTAAAATAAATACCTATGGTGCTCATGATGAGCTTGGAGCATTGTGGACTATTTGCCTGACCTAGGCACTTGCACCCACGTGAACTTAAATAAACCTCCATTGTGTTGGTAACAACACCTGCAGCATAAATGCTATGATCCCTATTTTTGCAAATGAGAGACATTAATCATTCACCCAACAGTGTGCAGCAGGTGGTAGTGAGAACTAAAATCCAGATGGTCTGGGTCCAAGGTCCCAGTTTTTCCCACCTGACCACAGCCAACACGTGTGGCCACCTGGTAACCCACATCTCACTCATCTCTCCTCTTCTGACACGTAACATCTCAATGTCTCACTGACTTTTATGCTGTCTTTTACTCTCAAGCCCCTCATGCTGTCTGTCTCTTGTCTCCAAGCCCAGATCTTAAGGGGGTCTTTGGGGGTGGGACTGTGCCTTAAGTAATTGCTATATTTATTGTGGTGTTTAGTACTGGCCTAGACACCAAAGAAGTTCTTATCGATCAATCGATCAATTCATTGAGGGTGAGTTAGAAGAGTGGCTTATGGAAAATCCTCCAGGACTAGAAACGATTGGGCGGGACATTAAATTTCGGAATGAAGTTGGTCATGGGCTGGCGGCAAGCACATGTAGTGAAGGCAGCTGAGTTGCTTACATCGGAGAGCACAAAGATCCCTTTGATTATATAATAAAAGCTATGAACCACTTTCCCAAGAGCACACACATCTGCAAACACACAGACACAAAATTCTGTACACACATTAACCTCAGGATAAGGATCTTGGGATATAGCACTGGCCTGGAATTAGAGTCAAAGTGTCCGGTGATGTCAATCTGCTTTAGGGACCAACTCCATCCTAATGAGAGTGTCTTACCAGTGGCATTTGGGGAGAATTCTGCCTCAAACTCGCCTCTGGCAGTCCTGGATCTCCTTAGTCTCTGGTTATCTCACTTTCTCTTTGTATTAGTTTTTCATATTCACGTTTATCCCTAATCAGGCCTTCATGTATTCTCCCTACCTCACCAACTTTGGCCAGCTCTTCTCACTCTGGTTTCCTGGTCACAGCTTCTTGGACTTAGTGCGCTAACCTCTGTCACTCCCTGTAGGTGGACACTTGGCCAGGCTCAGCCTGAGATTCCAGATTCTCAGCTTCCTTCCCTGATTCGAGCCTAGCCCTGCTCCAATGAGACCTCCCTGGGTGTCCCAACATCAGCACTTTCTCAGTCTCTGATCATCTAAGTAATCTCTTTCATCACCCCGAGGCTCAGGTGCCTTGCCTGAGAATGAGGAAAATGACAAGTATCTCACAGCATTACTGAGAACACTAAATGTGAGCTCTGTGTGTGTGTTGTATGTGTGAAAGTGTGGGGCTCTGACAGAAAAAAAAAAAGAGTGCGACACATTTGCTGATTGAAGGCACTATTTTCTGTTTGTAGCTTCTGCTGAATAAAAGTGCCATAAAATTATTATTATTATTTCCATCATCATCAATAAGAAAACTGGCTGTTGGGTGCCAGAATTCTTTTCACCATACGACAATGGATACAGCTTTATTAGTAGAGGAAATGCCAGCTCTGAGCACGCCTTACCTGGGAGCAATGGAGGTGTCAAAGAGAAAGACTAAGGCCCATATGCATGGCTAGTTCACCTATAGGTGGCCCTTAAGCTGCTCCACACTGCATTTGGCAGGTGTGAGAATTCCAAAGCTTAGAAGGACCCAGGGGCTGGCAGTGCCCAGGAGGCCTCCCTCTACCAGATCTTGACAAAGGCAGGGGCTGTGCACTGGTCCTTGGTGGCCTATTTTTGGGATAATTGCCATGCTGCTTTTTTGGGTGACTTGCATCAAAGATACGGAGATGAAAGTAAGTAAAAAATGGGGAGCTTTGGGCTGGGTGTGGCAGCTAACACCTGTAATTCCAGCATTTTGGGAAGCTGAAGGAGGAGAATTGCTTGAGGCCAGGAGCTCAAGACTAGCCTGCGCAACATAGTGAGGCCTTGTGTTTACAAAAGAAAAAAAAATTAAAAAATTACCTGAGCATGATGGTTCATTCCTGTAATTCCGGCTACTCAGAAGGTGGAGGTGGGAGGACATCTGAGCCCAGGAGTTCATGCCAGTACCCTCCAGTCTAGGTGCCAGAGTGAGATCCGGTCACTAAAAAACATTTTTTAAAATGGTGAGTCTTGTATCACCTCTATACCCCAGGCTTCTCCACAGATACTCTAGCGGCTTCTACTTGAGTGCCTTAGCCATCAGCTCTGGTCCTGGCCTGACTCCACCCTGCCATTGCTGGCCTAATCACAGGCCCTCCTCCTCTTTCTGCAAAGGTCTTCTGCCTCCTGATCCTGAACACTTGTTCCACAGTCAACCCCTTCCCTGCTGGCTAACTCCTTCTTTTCCCTCATCCCCTGCCTGATTACTCCATATGTTACTCTCTAGGCAATAATCCTTTAGGCTATTGTTAGTAACAATTTAATTGTAGCTATCACTGATGAGTTAATATTAGCCATCATTTATAGAGCAAATGCTAGATGCCAAGTCATCTGCTGAGCGTCTTAGATGCATTATCTAAACCTTACATTCCTAAGAGTTGGATTCATTATTTATTAATTATACTTTAAGTTCTGGGGTACATATGCAGAATGTGCAGGTTTGTTACACAGGTACACACGTGCCATGGTAGTTTGCTGCACCCATCAACCTGTCACCTACATTAAGTATTTCTCCTAATGCTATCCCTCCCCTAGCCATCCCCCAACAGGCCCCACTGTGTGATGTTCCCCTCCCTGTGTCCATGTCTTCTCATTGTTCAACTCCCACTTATCAGTGAGAACATGTGGTGGTTGGTTTTCTGTTCTTGTGTTAGTTTGCTGAGAATGATGGTTTCTATGTCCATGTTCCTGCAAAGGACATGAACTCATCCTTTTTTATGGCTGCATAGTATTCCATGGTGTATATGTGCCACATTTTCTTTATCCAGTCTATCATTGATGGACATTTGGGTTGGTTCCAAATTTTTGCTATTGTGAATAGTGCCACAATAAACATACATGTGCATGTGTCTTTATAGTAGAATAATTTATAATCCTTTGGCCCAGTAATGGGATTGCTGGGTCAAATGGTATTTTGAGGAATTGCCATACTGTCTTCCACAATGGTTGAACTACTTTACACTCCCACCAACAGTGTAAAACCGTTCCTGTTTCTCCACATCCTCTCCAGCATCTGTTGTTTCCTGACTTAATGACTACCATTCTAGCTGGCAGGAGATGGTATCTCATTGTGGTTTTGATTTGCATTTCTCTAATGACTAGTGATAATGAGCATTTTTCAAATGTTTGTTGGCTGCATAAATATCTTCTTTTGAAAAGCATCTGTCCATATCCTTTGCCCACTTTTTGACGGGGGTTTTTTTTCTTGAAAATTTGTTTAAGTTCTTTGTAGATTTTAGATATTAGCCCTTTGTCAGATGGATAGATGGCAAAAATTTTCTCCCATTCTGTAGGTTGTCTGTTCACTCTGATGATAGTTTCTTTTGCTGTGCAGAAGCTCTTTAGTTTAATTAGATCCCATTTGTCAATTTTGGCTTTTGTTGCCATTGCTTTTGGTGTTTTAGACGTGAAGTCTTTGCCCATGCCTATGTCCTGAATGGTGTTGCCTAGGTTTTTTCCTAGGATTTTTATGATTTTAGTCCTTAACGTTTGAGTCTTTAATCCACCTTGAGTTGATTTTTGTATAAGGTGTAAGGAAAGGGTCCAGTTTCAGTTTTCTTCATATGACTAGTCAGTTTTACCTACATCATTTATTAAATAGAGAATCGTTTCCCCATTGCTTGTTTGTGTCAGGTTTGTCAAAGATCAGATGGTTGTAGATGTGTGGTGTCACTTCTGAGGCCTCTGTTCTGTTCCATTGGTCTATATATCTGTTTTGGCACCAGTACCATGCTGTTTTGGTTACTGTAGCCTTGTAGTATAGTTTGAAGTCAGGTAGCATGATGGCTCCAACTTTGTTCTTTTTGCTTAGGCTTGTCTTGGCTCTGCAGGCTCTTTTTTGGTTACATATGAACTTTAAAGTAGTTTTTTCCAATTCTGTGAAGAAAGTCAATGGTAGCGTAATGGGGATAGCATTGAATCTATAAATTACTTTGGGCAGTATGGCCATTTTCATGATATTGATTTTTCCTGTCCATGAGCATGGAATGTTTTTCCATTTGTTTGTGTCCTCTCTTGCTTCCTTGAACAGTGGTTTGTAGTTCTCCTTGAAGAGGTCCTTCACATCCCTTGTAAATTGGATTCCTAGGTATTTTATTCTCTTTGAAGCAATTGTGAATAGGAGTTCACTCATGGTTTGGCTGTTTGTCTGTTATTTGTGTATAGGAATGCTCGTGATTTCTGCACATCGATTTTGTACCCTAAGACTTTGCTAAAGTTGCTTATCAGCTTAAGGAGATTTTGGGCTGAGACAGTGGGGTTTTCTAAATATACTATCATGTCATCTGCAAACAGACACAATTTGACTTCCTCTCTTCCTATTTGAATACCCTTTATTTCTTTCTCTTGCCTGATTGCCCTGGCCAGAACTTCCAACACTATGTTGAATAGGAGTGGTAAGAGAGGGTATCCTTGTCTTGTGCCAGTTTTCAAAGGGAATGCTTCCAGTTTTTGCCCATTCAGTATGATATTGGCTGTGGATTTGTCATAAATAGCTCTTATTATTTTGAGATATGTTCCATTGATACCTAGTTTATTGAGAGTTTTTAGCATGAAGGGGTGTTGAATTTTGTCAAAGGCCTTTTCTGCATCTGTTGAGATAATCATGTGGTTTTTGTCTTTGGTTCTGTTTACATGGTGGATTACGTTTAGTGATTTCCATATGTTGAACCAGCCTTGCATCCCAGGTATAAAGCCAACTTGATCATCGTGGTGGATAAGCTTTTTGATGTGCTGCTGGATTTGGTTTTCCTGCATTATATTAAGGATTTTCACCATTCATGTTCATCAAGGATATTGGCCTGAAATTTTCTTTTTTTGTTGCTTCTCTGCCAGGTTTTGGTATCAGGATGATGCTGGCCTCATAAAATGACTTAGGGAGGATTCCCTCTTTTTCTATTGTTTGGAATAGTTTCAGAAGGAATGGTACCAGCTCCTCTTTGAACCTCTGCAAGAATTCAGCTGTGAATCCGTCTGGTCCTGGACTTTTTTTGATTGGTAGGCTATTAAATTACTGCCTCAATTTCAGAACTTGTTATTGGTCTATTCAGGGGTTTGACTTCTTCCTGGTTTAGTCTTGGGAGGGTGTATGTCCAGGAACTTATCCATTTCTTCTAGATTTTCTAGTTTATTTGCATAGAGGTGTTTATAGTATTCTCTGTTGGTAGTGTGTATTTCTGGGAGATCAATCAGTGGTGATATCCCCTATATCATTTTTTATTGCATCTATTTGATTCTTCTCTCTTGTCTTATTAGTCGGGCTAGCGGTCTATCTATCTATTTTGTTTATCTTTTCAAAACACCATCTCCTGGATGCATTGAGTTTTTGAAGGGTTTTTCATGTCTCTATGTCCTTCACTTCTGCGCTGATCTTAGTTATTTCTTGTCTTCTGCTGGCTTTTGAATTTGTTTGCTGTTGCTTCTCTAGTTCTTTTAATTTTGGTGTTAGGGTGTCAACTTTAGATCTTTCTTGCTTTCTCTTGTGGGCATTTAGTGCTATAAATTTCACTCTACACACTGCTTTAAATGTGTCCTAGAGATTCTGGTACGTTGTGTCTTCATTCTCATTGGTTTCAAAGAACATCTTTATTTCTGCCTTCATTTTGTTATTTACCCAGTAGTCACTCAGGAGCATGTTGTTCAGTTTCCATGTAGTTGTGTGGTTTTGAGTGAGTTTCTTAATCCTGAGTTCTAATTTGATTGCATTGTGGTTTGAAAGACTGTTTGTTATGATTTCTGTTCTTTCTTTTACATTTGCTGAGGAGTGCTTTACTTCCAACTATGTGGTCAATTTTGGAATAAGTAAGTGCTATGTGGTGCTGAGAATAATGTATATTCTGCTGATTTGGGGTGGACAGTTCTGTAGATGTCTATTAGGTCTTCTTGGTCCAGAGCTGAGTTCAAGTCCTGAATATCCTTGTTAATTTTCTCTCTTGTTGATCTATCTAATGTTGAAAGTGGGGTGTTAAAGTCTCCCATTATTATTGTGTGGGAGTCTAAGTCTCTTTGTAGGTCTCTAAGGACTTGCTTTATGATTCTGGGTACTGCTGTATTGGGTGCATATATATTTAGGATAGTTAGCTCTTCTTGTTGCATTGATCCCTTTACCATTATGTAATGGCCTTCTTTGTTGGTTTAAAGTCTGTTTTATCAGAGATTAGGATTTCAACTCCTGCTTTTTTTTTTTTGTGCTTTCCATTTGCTTGGTAAATATTCCTCCATCCCTTTATTTTGAGTCTATGTGTGTCTTTGCATGTGAGATGGGTCTCCTGAATACAGCACAGAGATGGGTCTTGACTCTTTATCCAATTTGCCAGTCTGTGTCTTTTCACTGGGGGCATTTAGCCCATTTACACTTAAGGTTAATATTGTTATGTGTGAATTTGATCCTGTCTATTTTGCCCATTAGTTGATGCAGTTTCTTCATAGTGTCGATGGTTTTTGCAGTGGCAAAACTGCACGTTGAGTGCTTCCTTCAGGAGTTCTTGTAAGGTGGGCCTGGTGGTGACAAAATCTCTCAGCATTTGCTTGTCTATAAAGGATTTTATTTCTCCTTCACTTCTGAAGCTTACTTTGGCTAGATACAAAATTCGGCGGTGGAAATTCTTTTCTTTAAGAATGTTAAATATTGGCCCTGACTGTCTTTTGGCTTGTAGGGTTTCTGCAGAGAGATCCACTGTTAGCCTGATGGGCTTCCCTTTGTGAGTAACCCAACCTTTCTCTCTGGCTGCCCTTAGCATTTTTTCTTTTATTTCAACCTTGGTGAATCTGACAATTATGTGTCTTGGAGTTGCTCTTCTCGAGGAGTATCTTTGTGGCATTCTCTGTATTTCCTGAATTTGAATGTTGGCCTGACCTGCTAGGTTGGGGAAGTTCTCCTGGATAATATCCTGCAGAGTGTTTTCCAACTTGGTTCCATTCTCCCCGTTCCTTTCAGGTACACCAATCAAATGTAGATTTGGTCTTTTCACAGTCCCATATTTCTTGGAGGCTTTATTAGTTCCTTTTTATTCTTTTTTCTCTAATCTTGTCTTCTCTCTTTATTTCATTAACTTGATCTTTAATCTCTGATATCCTTTCTTCCACTTGATTGATTTGGCTATTGATACTTAGTTGGCTATTGATACTTAGGTATGCTTCATGAAGTCCACGTGCTGTGTTTTTCAGCTACATCAGGCCATTTATGTTCTTCTCTAAACTGGTTATTCTAGTTAGCAATTTGTCTAACCTTTTCTCAAGGTTCTTAGCTTCCTTGCAGTGGGTTAGAACATGCTCCTTTAGCTCAGAGGAGTTTGTTATTACCCACCTTCTGAAGCCTACTTCTGTCAGTTTCTCCACCCAGTTTTATTCCCTTGCTGGCAAGGAGTTGTGATCCTTTGGCAGAGAAGAGGCATTCTGATTTTTGTAATTTTCAGCCTTCTCGCTCTGGTTTCTCCCCATCTTTGTGGATTTATGTTGGTGACCTTCAGATGGGGTCTTTCAGTGGACCTGCTATTCCTTTCTGTTTGTTAGTTTTCCTTCTAATAATCAGGCCCCTCTGCTGCAGGTCTGCTGGAGTTTCCTGGAGGTCCACTCCAGACCCCATTTGCCTGGGTATTACCAGCAGAAGCTGCAGAACAGCAAAGATTGCTGCCTGTTCTTTCCTTTGGAAGCTTCATCCTGGAGGGGCATCTGCCAGATGCCAGCCAGAGCTTTCCTGTATGACGTGTCTGTCAGCCCCTACTGGGAGGTGTCTTCCAGTCAAGGATACAGGGGCATCAGGTACCCAACTTCAGGATGCAGTCTGACCCTTAGCAGAGCTTGAACGCTGTGCTGGGAGGTCCGATGCTCTCTTCAGAGCCATCAGGCAGGGACATTTAAGTCTGCTGAAGCGTGCCCATGGCTGCCGCTTCCCCCAGGTTTTCTGTCCCAGGGAGAAGGGGGTTTTAATCTATAGGTTGACTGGGGCTGCTGCCTTCTTTTCAAAGATGCCCTAACCCAGAGAGGAGAAATCTGGCAGTCTGGCCACAGTAGCCTTGCTGAGCTGAGTGGGCTCCACCCAGTTTGAACTTCCAGGTGGCTTTGTTTACACTGGGGGGGGGGTAAAACCACCTTCTCAAGCCTCAGCAATGGCAGATGCCCCTCCCCAAGCTCGACTGTCCCAGGTTGATCTCAGGCTGCTGCTGTGCTGGCAGTGAGAATTTCAAGCCAGTGGATCTTAGTTTGCTGGCTCTGTGGGAGTAGGACCTGCCTAGCCAGACCACTTGGCTCCCTGGCTTCAGCACCCTTTCCAGGGGAGTGAATGGTTGTCATGCTGGTGTTCCAGGTGCCACTAGGGTATGAACAAAAAAACAGCTCTTGCAGCTAGTTCAGTGTCTGCCCAGATGGCTTCCCAGTTTTGTACTTGAAACCCAGGGTCCTGATGGGGTAGGCACCAGAGGGGGTCTCCTGGTCTGCGGGTTGTGAATGCCATGGGAAAAGCACAGTATCTGGGCCGGAGTGCACGGTTCCTCATGCTCAATGCCCCACCCTGTTTTGGTTTGCCCTCTGTGGGCTGCACCCAGTGTCTAACCAGTCCCAGTGAGATGAACTGGGTACCTCAGTTGGAAATGCAGAAATCACCTGCCTTCTGCATCAATCTTGCTGGGAGCTGCAGACTGGAGCTGTTCCTCTTAGGCCATCTTGCCAGCCGAGACCTTATCTTTCTTTTATAGATGCAATGTCTGAAGTAAATTGCAGCACCTGCACACCACATCAAGTTGGTTGACTTGAAAGTCTTTTCCTCTTACCAGTATTTCTCCACGTGAGAGAGATGTGCCCTCTTTTAAGGGAACAACATTTTGCGTGGATCCCCTTAAATAGTTTTAAGACATCTGAAAACATAAAACTAGATATTAATTTATTATACTTATGCCCTTAAATAGTTGTAGCACCTGAGTCTGTCAGGATAGGCAGTAATAACAAAAGTCCTCAAATCTTAGTGGCTGCAAACATGTATTGTTTCTTGGAATAGCAGGGAGCTCATCTGACCCAGCAGCCACCAATACTGCACCAGTCAAGTCCTGGCAAGAGACAAAGAGGACACCTAAACTAAAGACTTTGAGGAGAAGTTTATTATTTATTTGTACTACTTACCAGGCAAAGAGGGGGGTTAGGCAAAGTGGTAAGAAGTTATAGTTTAGTACCAGCAGGCTAGAAATGCCTAGCCACCCTTACCCTGAAGGGACAAGGTGGGGAAGCAGTTACCAGCACCTGGACAGTGACTGACTGACAGAGGGTTGCAGCCAACCCAAATGGACCTGGCACACGGAGCCAAGAGACTTATGCCTACTCTTTTGACCCCATTCGCCTCCTGCCCTGCAGTTTCCTGCCAGAACGCCCCATTGGCCAAATCCAACCGGAAGTTAGAATGGAAGGGAGACCATGGACCCATTTTCTCCAGACCTGCTTCCAGCGAAGGCACAGAGGAGTTGGGACGCACCTGGAGCAGCACACAGGGAGATACTTAGTGCAATCTCAAACGTTGCTAGAGGCAAAAGCGGTACTGGAGAGACTCACACTGCAGCTAAATGCTATGAAGTGTCACTTCGCACTCACAACTCACTGGCCAGAACTAATCATGTGTTCTGCACAACAGAAGGGGGCCCCACCGTGGCATTTTACCACATGTCCAGAAAGAGAAGAGCAGGCTGTCTGTGGCAGCCACAAACCCAAAACAAATTTAAAGATTAAATACAAAGAAGATGACAGAATCCAAACAATTCAAATTAACAAAATTAACTCAATATTACAGTCGGTATTGCTTTGCTAAAACTCAGTCAACCACCCAGGACATGAGCACATCCAACAGGTCCTCTGAGTTTGGCTTGCCTCTGCTTCCACCTGCCTTGTGAAAGTTCAATTCTCCCACGAACACACCAGCATCTATGAAGTCATTTGGTTTTCACTTGGCAGAAGTGTGCCATTTACATTGCAATTTCCCCTCTGTTCTTTTCTATCTAGGCTGCGTCAATGATTGTAGTGCTAATTGTTACAGACATGACCACAATGCCAAGGCGAATGGGGACAATGAAATCCATGGCTGGTTTTAAGGTAGTTATCTATATGGTCGGGAAAAATGCTTATATTAATTTTTTTGGATTGCTATTGAATCGAAAACAAAGTTAAGCAATTCTCCTGGAGAAGCCAGAGATCCCTTAGAAACAGCTTCTACTAGTCCTTTCTTTTTCCTCCTTCTCACCCCAGCACAGGAAAGGCGGAGGTGCTAATACCCTAGTCCCCCTGGCAGGTGTATCTCTTGGTCCTTCCACCCTTATTCCTCTGCTCTCTCACCTTCTCCTCTTTGCACTGCATCAGTGCCCTCCTTAACTCAAGAGCCCTGGCTTTTCTGTATCCTGAGCTGCTTCCTGACTCAGGCTGATCCAGAAGGTTCTGTCTCCATCCTTGCCCATCAGCCCTGATGCCTGGGATACTCTCTTCATTCTTTCCAACCCCAACTATATTAAGTAATCCCTGAGTCACACATCTGAACATGTTTCTGCCATATAACGACAAGCTGAGGTTTCCTGAGAACATTTTCTTACTCACTACAACTCTCTACTGATATCACCCTCTCACATCTGCATGACCAGAGCAGTCCAGGTCTCCAAGCCCTGTATAGTACATACCTACCTTAGAGGCCTCTGGATCGGCTTCAAATGATCTCTTCACATTCCAAAATTGAATGCAACATTTTATGTGTAGGTATTCTAGTACATCTTGTTTGTGGGAGGAGAGGTTGTCCAGAATTTCATCAGATTCTCAAAGAGGTCTGGGACCTAATGAATGCTGATGTCTTCTGTTTTACACTGTTCATTTAAAACTTCATGATACTCATTTCCATTTTACAGAAAACTTCTCTATACTTCTGTTAAAACAAAATAATGTAAGATCCTCCATTTATATATGTAAAATATATATATATATATATATATAGTAGAATGCAGACACACTATATCAAATACTGTCTGTGGTCTACATATAGCCAAGTGTCCCTTGTCCTTCCTGTAAGAACCTGATTTTGAACGGGTTTTCATTCTCCAGTGCATCAGATACTTTGGCTTCCTTCTTCTTCCAGTGGTTAATCATGATTCAGCTAAGCTATATGAGTATTCTATTGTTGCACAACAAATTACCACCAACTTAGTAGCTTAAAATAACACATGTGTGATGTCACAATTTCTGTCAGTCAGGAGTCTAGCCATGGCTTACCTGGGCCCTCTTCTCTGGGTTCCACAAGGCTGGACTCAAGAGTCAGCCTGCCTGTGTTCTCATCTGGGAGTCTGGAGAAGAATCAGCTTCCAACCTTACTCAGGTTGTTGGAAGAATTTATTTTCTTAGGTTGTGGAATATAGGGCTTTTATTCCTTGCTGGCTGTTGGCTTGAGGCTGCCCACTTAAAGAAAACCTTTCCACCTGGCTTAATTCATCAAGCCAGCAAGCAAAAAATCCTAGGGAGACAGAGCCTTATATAAAGTGACGTAATAAAATCACAAACGTGACATTCTAACAAAACATACTCAAGGATGTGACTCACACACCTTTGCCACCTTCCATTGGTTAGAAAAAGTCTCCTATCTCACACTCAGGGCAGGAGGGATTATACAAAGGCGCGGATAGTGCGGATACCAGAAGACAGGCAATATTGGGGGGCCACCTTAGGGTTTGTGCACAACATAAACCAGTCTGATGATTTTCATTCTCTTGACAGTGACTCATTTATTCATAAGCTTGGGACTCACACATCACCAATGAGAACTGAGAGGATGTCTTACGTTTCCTTCCATCTACAGGGCAGGTGCAGAGGATCCAGCATGTTATTCTGAAACCCCAGAAGACGCTGCAGCTACCAAATAGAAGGAGCCTGGATCCCTGAATGTCTTCATGGAACAGAACATTCTCCTCACTCCAGTCTGTTTGAACCAGAATATGACCTGAGCAAGAAATAAGCCTTAATTATATTTGACCATAGAATTCTGGTGATATTTCTATGGCTGTAAGTCCATGTTGATTAATACAAAGGGATGCTGTAAAGCCTCTTCTATTAAAAAAAGTTGCCCAAGGAGTGAAAGGAGAGATATTTTCTGTAATTAAGATTTTCATAATACATAGAACAGGCTATAGCACCTGGCAATCAATCATATGGGGTACAACAGAAAGAGGAAACATTCCTGCTATTAAATTAACCAAACTGGAGTTCTTGTTATATAATATAGTAAAATTTCCTCAATCTTTCAGCCACCTTTAGTTCTGTAATCTATTATTTCTGGGTAAAAGCATACCATTTGATACACAATCCAAACCCAATTCTTAATTAATAACGTGTATCCACTGTATCTTACCACATCCCAAATCATCTAATACTTAACCACCTAGTTTCTATGTTCCACTTACATCAAACATATTCATGTTTGGAAAATTGAGCCAGCATCTACTGCCTTATCAGCTGATGCATAACAATTTACTTTGTCTGTGCTCTATAATAATGCAAGTCTGCTTGGAAAGATAACACGTTAAAGGGTTATCAGACCCTAACACCTTCGTATAGATGAATTTATCAGATCCTCTGCTAAACCACTTTCGAATCCTTGGCCAGTTCTCTACATTTCATGAAGAGTTAGCATAGCCAGTCCAGGAGATATTATCTTCAGGATGTGGTCAGTTGTGGAAAGGAAGATAGCTCTGAGGATCTCTTTCCAGGGAAAAGAAAGACATGAGGATTGCTCCAAAGATCCTCTTTCTGGGGGAAAACGCACATACTACAGAAAGGCTACAGAAAAAAAAGCACTCCCTCAGCAACATATTCACAATCTATTTTGTTGGAATTACAGGCCAATCCTTTTCAGACAGTTGAGTCCAGAGAGGACTGGGAGACTGCCTGACCCCATGGGGTGCTTGACAAGGTCAGATTCCAGGGCCTGGTAGGCTGTTAAAACCAAAGGGGGCCAGTGCTCATGGACAGTGAGTTAAGAGGCTCCTGACACTGGGGGTCCTTTCAGAGCACATACAGAAGGAGGAGTGTCCTTCTGTTACACAACCTGAATTACTGGAGAAGGGCCCGCTGGTGTCGTTCTCCTCAATACAATGCACCTCCTACAATGCACCTCCACTTCTGGGAGAGGGGAAGGGGGAAAAAGAGACAGAGAAGGAGGGAGAGAGAGAGAGAAAGAGAGCGCTGTCTCCCTCCCTTCCTTCTTCCTTCCCTTCTCTCTTTCCCTTCCTCTTATCTCTCTGTGGATCTCTTTCAAGTATTCCTAGAAGAATCTGGAGCTAAAATGAGCCTGCGTCTGAATTTTACTCCTGGCTCTGCAACTGATAAGCTATGTAATCAAGTCCCTTCCCTGCTTCTTTCTTTCTCACACACACACACACACACACACACACAGTCTCTCATCAAATGCTTTGTGGGTTCTTACTCTGACAAGCCAGGCATTGTGCTAGTTACAGGAGATAATCTGAAAGAAAATAGCTCCTTCTTATAAAATGATGATAGACCAGGTGATCTCACAGGTATATGTTGATGATGGCTAGTTTAGTCTTGCTAGCTCTGCTCATGCACCTCCCTCCTTCAATCATGTACCTCCCTCCTTCAAATCAATATCCTCACCTGCTTTCCCAAAGCCCTCTTGCTATTCCTTCTCCCTCTGAGGTACCATTTTTAGCCTAGTATCAAAAGGCACCACAGCTCTTTCCGTCCCCCACGCCACCCATCCTCTTCCCCAGCATCAACACCAAGCTGCCCTGAATGCTATGCTTTCACTCTTTCCATCAGCATGCAGTTACTAATCCCTTAATGTGACCGGAGCAGAAGTCTAAATAACTGCTCCATAATCCCCTAGTATTTGAGCATCCAAAATAACATTTGCATTTTCATCAGGGTCTTAAATGGTCTGGTGGCTTTCTTTTTATAAATTAGTAATTTAAGTATTTATTTTTTAAAAATTCAAACACAGATATAGATATGTTTATGTAGGACTACATAAAGATTTATAATTTTATAGAATTACATAAACGTGATTATATTATATATAGCTTTTCATTTTCTTTCTCTCTCTCTTTCTTTTCTTTGTATCTTCTTCCTCTCTCCAACCTCCTCCATACTAATAATTCTCAGCCACAAATCCTCCACAAAACCATGGAACCCATGTTAACCTTTTATGTATCCTTCCATATTTTTCTCTATTTGTCTAGACTCACACCAGTGTCTAATGACATATGTGAAGGGATGTTCTTGGAGTACTCTTGTTCGTGGCAAAGAATGATTGAATGAATTCTGGTACAATAATATATTTCAGTTAGGCTAGGCTGCTTGTTGATATGGAATAAACAACTCCAAAAGCTTAATAACTTAAAACAATAACAATGGATTGATTGCTCATACTATATGTCCAAGTCAAGCCAGTAAAGGACTCTATTCCTCAGGGTCATTCAGGGACCCAGGCTGATGGAACAACTATTACCTTAAATATTTCCAGTTGCTGTGCCATGGGGAAATGAGTTCTGGAGGGTCTCGAACCAGGTGATTAAATGCTTCAAGGCAGAAGTCATAATTCCTTGGCTATGACTAGTCACATGGCCCCATTCAGCCAAAGGTGAGCCAGGAAGTGCAATTCTACCATGTGTCTGGAAGAGAAGAAAAAAAAAAAAGTATTGGTGAATAGCACTAACAACCACTACACACCCTGCACTGTATCTTGTATCTATTAATAAAGAGGAAAGAATAATAGCATGTCAAGCAACTTAGAGGGATTCTACAAGGAATTGTTGAGTGAGAAGATACAGATAAATGAGTAAAAGGAATTGCATTTTTTGAAATGATGGCTCAAAAATCTCTACATATGGATTTGCAAGTGTTTACAGGAATATATATATATATATATATATATATATATATATATATATGCTATAGATATATACGCTTACCTAGTTATTATCATACATTCTTACACCATAATTACCCTGGGGCCCTTGTTAAATGTTAGAATTCCCGGCCCCCAACCCCAATCTAGTGAATCCAATCTGTTCTGTGCATTAGTGAGAGAGCCAGGGCCTGATACCCAAGGCTGAGTCCTTTATTCCACCACATGTAGCCCTCACCATAGTGATCCACTGATTCCTAACAACTTCCTAAAGAAAAATATTGATTCATTGATTTATCCATTTGTCCATCCTTTTATCTACCAAATATTTACGGAGACTCGACTATCTGCAGGGACATTGCTAGATGCTAGGGATGCAGTAGGGGACAAAGCAAACTTGGTCCTGTTTTGATCTTACAGTCTAGGGTAGGAAAAACATTTAAAAAGAGGACACCACATTAATTCACATGTATGTACAAATTGTGATAATGCCTAGGTAGGAAGAGAGTGTCGTGGACAAATATAGTAGAGGGACAACATTTAAATTGGGGAGCTAATGATGATGACTCAGAGCAAAGGCTAAGTAGAGAACTATCGGGGTGGTGACCCTATAGGCAAGGGACACAGAGCTGAGCATAGAGCAGTCTAGGCAGGGGCGCTACCTGTGGGGAGGGCCACAGAAGGGAATAACAGCAGGCAAGTGTGCCTGGAAGACAATGACCTTGGAAACAGTGGTGAGAGATGGCACCAGACCATGCAGGGCCCTGTAGAATGCGGTGACAAGTCTAGGCTTTAAGTGCAGTGGGAACTGTAGTAGTTAGAAGCAAGCAGGTCAGAAAGACTTGATATATGTTGTCTTTTTACAGCAACTTTAGTGAGTTATAGCTTACATACAATAAAATGCACACACTTCAGATGTTCATTTTGATGAGTACATAATACAAATATATATTCAGATATATGTATATATGTGTATACTCACATAAATGTATATATCTTTACATCCACCACTACAATCAAGATATATAAAATATCAGGGCTGGGTACAGTGGCTCACCTCTGTAATCCTAACACTTTGGGAGATCGAGGTAGGAGGATTGCTTGATCCTAGGAGTTTGAGGCCAGACTCAGCAATACAGTGAGACCTTGTCTCTATTAAAAATAAAAATAAATTTTAAAAAAGTGTAGGATATTTTTATTATCTCAAAATGTTTTCTTGTGCCTTTACACAATCAGTTTCCACTCCTGGCTCTAGACAACACTGATCTGTTTGCTGTGACTTTATTTTTATGTTCCAGGGTATATGTGCAGGATGTGCAGGTTTGTTACATAGGTAAACATGATGTGCCACTGTGGTTTGCTGCACTTATCAACACATCACCTAGCTATTAAGCCCAGTATACGTTAGCTATTTTTTTCTAATCCTCTCTCTCCCCTCCCTCTGCCCCCCAACAAACCTCAGTGTGTGTTGTTCCCCTCCCTGTGTCCATGTGTTCTCATTGTTCAGCTCCCACTTATAAGTGAGAACATGTGGTGTATGGTTTTCTGTTCCTGCATTTAGTTTGCTGAGGATAATGGCTTCCAGCTCCATCCACATGCCTGCAAAGAATATGATCTCATTGCTTTTCATGGCTTCATAGTATTCCATGTGTATGTGTACCACAGAGTGGGAGAAAATTTTTGCAATCTATCAGACAAAGATCTAATATCCAGAATCTACAAGGAAGTTAAACAAATTTACAAGAACAAAAAAACAGTCCCATCAAAAAGTGGGCAAAGGACATGAACAGAAACTTCTCAAAAGAAGACATTCATGCAGCCAACAAACATGAAAAAAAGCTCAACATCACTGATCATTAGAGAAATGCAAATCAAAGCCACAATAAATTACCATCTCACGCCAGACATAATGGCCATTACTAAAAAGTCAAGAAGCAACAGATGCTGGTGAGGTTGCAGAGAAATAAGAATGCTTTTACATTATTGCTGGGAATGTAAATTAGTTCAACCATTGTGGAAGACAGTATGGCGATTCCTCAAACATCTAGAAACAGGAATAACATTTGATCCAGCAATCCCATTCCTGGGTATATACCCAAAGAAATAGAAATCATTCTATTACAAAGATACATGCACATGTATGTTCATTGCAGCACTATTTATAATTGCTGTAATGGTTGATCAGTCTTTTCTAGAGATTGATATGAACAGAACCTTATGATGTGTACTGTTTTATGCCTGGCTTATTTCACACAGCAGAATGTGGTGTGAGTAATCCACATTGCTGAATGCATCATGAGCTCATCTTTCTAAATTGCTAAGGAGTATGACATTACAAACCTATGTTTGTAATTTAAAAAGATGATTCCTGACATGGCTGAATTTAAGTCAAGCTGTGAAGCTCCAGGTTACAGCTTGTTTATTCATTCACCTGTTGATTGACATGTGTTTGAAGCTATTATGACACAGCAGTTTGGAGCTATGGTGTGCTTTGTACTTCCTGTCTAAGTCTTTGTGGGGACATTTGTTTTCCTTTTACTTTGCTAAATACTTAAGTGTCCAGTTGGCATCTCATATGGTAAATTTATGTTTAACCTTATTAGAAACTCTCAAACTGTTTTCAAAAGTAGTTGTACCATTTTACATTCATAGCAGCATCATTTGTGTGATTATTGCTCCGGATACTAAGTAATACTAAGGATGATTAGTCTTTTTAACTATTCCAGGGTGTGTGTAATAGTATCCATAGTTTTAATTGACACTTCTTCTGATGAACTAATGATGTTGAGCATCTTTTCATGGGCTTATACAGCATTTCTATATCCTCTTTTGGGAGGTGTCTGTGAAATCATGTGCTAATATTTTTATTAAGTTGTCTTATTAAGTTGTAAGAGTTCTTTATATATTTCAGATATAAGTTGTCAGATATATGTAATATAAATATCTTCTTCTGATCTGCAGCTTGTCTTTTCATAATGGTAGTTTTCAAAGAGCAGAAGTTCTAAATTTTGATAAAGTTCAATTTATCACAGTTTTTTGTGAACAGTTTATGCTCTTTGTGTCCTAAGAAATATCTGCCTAACTCAAGATTGTGAAGGTTTTCTCCCACAGCTTTTTCTAAAAGTCTACAGTTGGCTTTCATATTTAGGTTTAAATCCACTTCAAGTCAAATTTTCAGTGTGGTGAGGATAAAGTAAGGATAAAGTTTCTTGGTTCTTTTTTTTTTTCTTTTCTGCATGGACTTTTAGTTGTTCCAGCACAGTTTGTTGAAAAGATTTTCCTTTCATTCATCAAATTGTCTTGCCTCCTCTGTTGAGAATAAATTAGACATACATGTATGGGTCTATTTCTTGACTCTCTATTCTGCCTCATTGATATATAAGTCAACCCTATGCCAGCGCTATGCAGTCTTGAGTAAAATAGCTCTTCAGTAGGTCTTAAAATCAGCGAGGGTGGGTTCTCCAACCCAGTTCTTTTTCAAAATCATTTGGGCTATTTTAGATGTTTTGCATTGCTATACACATTTTAGTACCAGCTTGTCAAATTCTATTTTTAAAAAAAGTCTGCTTGAATTTTGACTGTGATTGTGTGGAATCCATAGACAAATTTGAGAGAATTTACATCTTAGCCATACTGGTCTTTCAATCTTGGAACGATACGTAGTTGCTCTTGATGGTTTTAAAGAGATTGCCCTTCTGCCCATGCTTATGGCCCACGGTACCTCAAACAACAGGAATGGCTTATGTCTTGGAGGTTCAGAGGAGTCCGTGGTTATTGATTCTGCAGTACTCCTGGGCACATCACACACGAAAGTTTCCTCCTCTCCCAGATAGGGTAGTGGACCTTGCCCATCCAGACCACTTTGCTTCTTACTCTAAACCCCAGCCTCACCTTTAAGGGAAAGTGGAATTATGAGTCTGAGACCGGGGCAGCAGTCTTGGAAGGACAAATTTAGAGAAGGCCCAATGGCAAGATCTTCCAGAGTGTACCACAGGTGCAGTGTGCATAACAGCGGAAAAAATGGAGCTTCCCTGTCAGGAAACTGCATGCATATCCAGGCTCTGCACTTCCCAGGCAGAGTGGTCTTCAACAACCCCGAGCCTGTTTCCTTATCTTTCCAAAGGAACATCTTAGCCAAGCGTGGTCGTGTGTGCCTGTAATCCCAGCTACTGGGGAGGCTGAGGCGGGAGGACAGCTTGAACCCGGGAGACAGAGGTTACAGTCAGCTGAGATCACGTCACTGCACTCTAGCCTGGGCGACAGAGCGAGATCCTGTCTTAAAAATAATAATAATACTAAAAAGGAAATAAACATCTCTAGCTTTCAGTCACTATGGGGAATAAATAAGGTGGCAGAGGTAGGGAGGAAGCTGAGGCTGGGGGAAAGTTAGGTGCAGAAAGCAAAGGCGGGAACAGGAGACAGACAACCTCCTCTCAGCCAGAAACACAAAGGACAGCATCGACAGCCTGGACTAGAACCACACAGAAAGGAATGGGTGAGGAAATGACAGCTTCCCTCCCTCCTGAGCCCCCTGGCTCTGTGTGCTTCCCCTGCACTTTTCTTCTGCCCATCTGCTGTGGAGGAGCCCCATCCTGGGCCTTACTGGGGGCGACGCTGTACAGAGTATGGACAGACAGGGACAATGCCCATGACCAACTCAGATTTCACCCAGGTCTTCCCAGCTACCAGCGTCCTCTCCCACCAACCACCCTCTTCAGTGCCCAGGGACTCAGCATGACACAGCTGGACATTGCCAACCCCATCTGAGAACGTCCATGAGCTTTTCCTTATCATGTCCTCAGCTAGGCTTATGTGTGCATGTGTCTTCCACATGAAGAAAGGAGAGTTCCTTCTCTTTGTCTTCAAACTTGTCTGGCTTTGTGCAGCCCCAGAACTGTGGGATGTGGTGCTGGGTGCGAGGCCTCTCTCTCAGGCTGTGATGGAGAGGCTAGGTTTCCACCTGGTAGAGATGGGGAATTTCCCACAAGCCTGGAGTCAGGGTAACTCATGATTCTTGCATGGGGACGAGACTCAGCCTACTGTCTGGGAAGGGCTGGCAGAGTTAGACCTGGGTGATTTGGGGTGGCAGCCAGGCTGGACACATTCATGTTACTTTAAGGATTTTTCTCTTCCATACAAGGGACCTACCCAGGATTCCTTCCCCTCCATGACTCCTCCAGATGAGGATTCCATTGACTAGACATTTATTTTTCATAGCCCTTTATAGGAATGACATCAAGTGGATGGGACCACACAGGAAAGCCACCTGATGAAGATGGGAGGGGTGTTGGAGGAGAATGAGCGGCTCATCTAGGTCTACTCCCCAGAACCAGGACAGTGGCCCAGATTGGATTTGCCTGAAGACCCCTCGGGGAGAAAAAAGCAAGCAAGTTGTTAGTATCAGCCCTCAGGAGTTCTATTCTCTGTCCCCAGCTCCTTCTCCTCTTTTCTCTCTTCCTTGGGCCTCTTCTGGAGCAAGCTTCAGGCCCCTGAGCAGGCTGAGGGGTTCCGGGGTGAGGTTTGGTGTCTGCCTCCCTCAGGCTAGGGGGAGGAGCAGCCTCCAGCTCCCTCCCTTCCTCTTCCTCTTAGTGCTGCCTTCTCTTTCTCCTCTTTGGCCCCCTTTTTCCCATCAAGGAACTCTCGGATCTGAACAACCCCCCTTAAAGAAGACAGCGCGATTCCATGCATTACTTTTCCCAGGAGTATGTGCACGTCAGAAGAGGAGCCCAGGGTCTCCTGGGCTTAAACCAGATGCACGATGCACCCCTGCACAGATGCTGGCATCCACAGGCAAACATTCCTCCCTAGAATCCCCTTGGGTGAGGCCAGGTGGCTTTTCTCCTAGACAGGTCAGCTGTTGCTGTCTCTCCATGATACACAGCTCATGGAGTCAAGAAGGATAGCACAACACATGTGCCACTGTGTGCACAACTCAGGCCCTGCCCTGTCGTCTCTACATGGGGTTCCACCGTGCACCAGGCCTCCCTCCTGTAGTGAAGCAGCCCCATCCCTTACACGGAGGCTGGGCGACACCTCGAGCCACTGAGACATGTGCCGTCTCTCCTGAGACTGGGAGACTCAGAAGTCGGATTCTACAGTTGTCTGCCCCTCCTCCCAGAGCCTGTTCAAAGTGCTTAATTAACAAATCTTGGGTATCAGGAAGTTATTTACTTGGCTTCCTCAGGAACTGTTCTCTAAAGAGCTCAAAGCACTGCTAATAGATTTTTTTATTCTTTCCATCCATCAAACAGCCTCCCCTCCTTCCAAACTTTACGTCTGCCTGAGCCCTGAGGGATCTGACTCTAATTTGAAGAACTCAGGAGAGACCTTCTAGCTTCGCTATAAGCATCTCTACCCAACCGCTACTATGCCCCACCTCCGCAAAGTTCCTGGCTCCACTTTAATGAAAGAATGATGGGGAAAGAGCAGCATCTGCAGACCCAGGTCTGCAGGAGAATCGGGTCCTCTCTGCTCTTGGAAATGCTGCTTAGCTGCCCACACCATTTGCATTGCTTTTACTTTGGCCACCCCACCCACCGCCCTGCTGAGAAGCAACCACAGCACCTGTGAACCTGCAGCAATCAAGAATAGAACTCACCTGCTGGTCTCTGACTCCTCTTGGGCCACAATCAGCACTTGGGGACCGTGGGGTGCTATAAATTAGGCAGCCTCCCTTGTACCATTGTCTCAGCTATTGCTGGACTCTGCTGCCTGTCTGCCCCCTGTTCCTCTAAACCACATGTCTGCTGTCCTTGCAACATCCTCTGGGCCTCCAGTGGCTTGACTGGACTCCTAGTTTGTTTCCTCTTGGGTCTATCTGTTCCCACTGAGGCCTCCAAATTCAGGAATCCTCCCTCCACACTGCACTTTGGGCGAACTTGAGGGTGCGCTCATAATCAGAGGCACTGCCTGGCGGAGACAAGAGGTGAACAGAGAGCGTTAGCCCAGGACACTGATCTGCATGGCACAGAGATAAACGTTACGATAATCATTACTATTGGTAACATTTATTGGCACATGCATTGTGCCAGGGAATTTGTATTCATCATTGCATAGAATCCTCTAAACCACCCTCTGATGTAGATGCTACTAGGAAGTGGCTATGCAATCGAAACACACAGTTAGTGTTATTTTATCACAGACTGTAATGTACTATCTACAAATGGCTCATTATGTATTCACCTGTGTTTTCAGATATAGAGTCACCCTGCATTATTATGCCAATTTCACAGATGAAGAGACAAAGACTTACAGACATCACTGTAATCAGAGAGTTCAGATTCCAATTCAGGTCTAACTCCAAAAGCTGTGCCCTCAATCTTGTACTATGTGAATCCACCACGTGGGTGCCAGCCCCTATGATCTCTCCACTCCTGAAGGCTGCCCCACTGCACATGCAGAGAGACTCGGACAACCCCATCCATAACGTAACTCAGGGAGGGAGTTCCATGGGGTGTGGGAGTTTTAGAACTAGAGGATCTCAGAATTTGAAAGAACCTTAGGGTTGCATGCAGTGATTCTGAACTGTTTCTGAGCTACTTAAGAATAATGAATGCTATATGCACACATATGCTGTGGCCTACACTTTGGGGGTTCTTGGACCCCAAGAAGCCTGGCCTTGGACCAAAGTGCCTTGGTTGGCACTCCCCTCCCCCTTGCTCCTTTTCTCCATGCATGTACATATCCCGGGTCTGGCTTCTTCAAGCCATTCAGGTTAGATTACGACAAGCTAATGACTCCTATCTAGCCCAAATCCCTGCTTGTGCAAAAATGGAATCAGGCCAGGGAAGGAAAGTTCTTTGCCCAACATCACAGAGTTAGTGGGGCTGGCAGAGCAGGCCTAGAGTCAGAGTGGATCACTTAGGCCAGAAAGTGTCCTGGGTGCTTAGGATCAGCGCCTGGCCCACCCAGGGAGAGCAGCTGCCCCTAGGGCCCCTAGGTCAACCACTTCAAGGGAGGACCAAAGCCTCAGTGTGCAGCCACTAAGCTCGCTCAGGGGTCTTCTGTCTCCCTTGCTGCCTCCTCTCCTGCCAGCCCATTCTCACCAGCTTTGAGGGCTTCAAATTAGACCTCCTGGTCCAGGAGAGAGCTGGAGAAGAGCTCAGGGAGGCTCTTTAGGGAAGAATGAGACAGTTTTTCAGGAGAGACTCTGAGCCCCCCAGTCCTGGGAGCCACATTCTCTATGTAAAGATCACCCTAGCTTCCCAGAGCTGAGGCTGTTCATCTCGGAAGCCATATCCTTCTACTCGGGGATCTAACCCAGGGATGAGGGGCCAACTCCAGCTTGAACCTCAACCCTCTGGTAGCACTCATTCCTCTGGTTACTCAGTGGTTTCCTAGAAGCGCTTACCTCTTCAGCACTGGCTTAATGATCTGTGCACAGCGGGTGCTCAGCAGTCACTTCTACATCTTGCATAGACTCTGAGATCCAGATCAGGAAGGCTTTGGGTACTGCTAGGCATATATCACCCATCCGACGACCCCAGTCCTCCCTCCTGCCCTCTGCATCTGCTGGAAGGTGGTAGCGAATCCAGCTCAGGGGGTGATGGGCTCATTATTGTGTCAGTAGGAGCCACCAGTGTCAGCCATAAATATTAACAGCCCTTGTTATGAACCCCGCTCAGTGCGGCTGCTTCAGTCCAAGTTTACACAGTAAACAGTGCAGTTCATTTATTTGATCGAGGGACACTCTTCAGACGAGCTAATAGCTCTGCGCCCCCACCCCCTGCTTTTCTGTTAGCTCAGCAGGCATAGCTCTGCAGGCAAGGGAGGCTCCACTGCTGCGCAAGGCCAGCGTTGGCTCTGTGACGACCAGAGGCCAGGCCCCTGGGGACAGCAGGCCAGGAGGCACAGGGCTAGGGCAGGGCCTCCTGCCCTTAGAGCTGTGGGACAGCTCTCCTGGGAAGCAGCAGCCTCCACAGCTCCTCTGGGGCAGCCAATTATCAGCACTTATCAGCTCTCGGTGGCTGAATCCAGTTTCTAAAGTATGAGCCGACATGGACACTGGGTCCTCTCATTGGTTTAATGGCGAGTAATGGAGAGAGAGGAGTTAAACACTAATGATATTCCAGCTTCTTGCTTTATTTTTTTCCAAAGCCGACCGCAGAGACTCTTCCATTCCACGTCACCCCAGGATACTGAGACAGCACTCCTCACTGTGAAGGGTGCATGTGCACAGGGGCAGGCTCGGTCCTGCCAGGAGCCCAGCAAGGGCTTGGCCCAAAAGTACAGTGTCAGGGGCTCAGTTTCCAGATTTCCCCAGACTGATACTTGGGCGGAGCTGGCTGTGGACAGGAGGGGATTCACATGTGCAGCTGCGGGGCAATCGCAGTGTCTGACTTTGGAAAATTAAAAGAAGTTGAGATGTACAATGCCAGCCATGAGGTGGGCAAGAGGAAAAAGGTGGGGTAGGGTGGGGCAGTTCCACAGAGGCCTGGCTAGGGGAAGAGAGAGACATAGAAGCAGCCAAAACTACCCCACTACCCAGAAGCGTGGGTTTTGCCTGCTTTTTTTTTTTTTTTTTTGAGATGGAGTCCTACTCTGTCATTCAGGCTGGGGTGCAGTGGTGCGATCTCAGTTCACTGCAACCTCCACCTCTCTAGTTTAAGCAATTCTTCTGCCTCAGCCTCCCGAGTAGCTGAGATTACAGGTGCACGCCATGATGGCTGGCTAATTTTTGTATTTTTGGTAGAGACAGAATTTTGTCATGTTGACCAGGTTGGTCTAGAACCCCTGACCTCAAGTGATCCGCCCACCTTGGCCTCTCAAAGTGCTGACATTACATGCAGGAGACACCACGCCCAGCCTGCCTGCTCCTTTTGACTCCAATGTGATTTTTTTCTTGCTTTCTTCTGTCACTCCCTTTTTTTCTCAGCCTTCGCAACAGGAGCTGCTGTATATGTGTGTGTGTAGTTAGGGGAAGAGTCTGGAATGAATCTGGTTGTTACTTTCCTATTCAGTATATCAGGGTGCGCTCTGGGCACCCACTGATAGACAATCCATGGCCTTGTGCTACCATGCTGCCTCTGCCTCAGCGGTCTTGCCCGGCACCTCAGCTTCTCACTGACATTGGCGACTCCTACTTGGACCCCAGCTGATTTGGTTGTGGCCTGGTCACCATGCCTGAGTCCTATTCATGTGGCTAGAATCCTGCTCTCAAATAACTCCTTTGCTCCAAAAATGCCTCCATCAACCTGATATCTAGTGTCACCAGCTGTCCCATCCTCCTCCCTGTGTCACTTGGATCCTGACAGCTACCTGGACTACTTCTAAATCCAACAGGGGCCCCAGATGCCATGCCCTGGCCTGCCTGGCACCTGCTCAGGAGACCAGGGCAGGTTTCCACAGGGTTGGTTCTAATTTTTTTCCCCATCCTCCATCTCCTGCCCGGCCTGCCTTGCACCTCAGCTGGTCTCGTCTGCTGCACTTTTCTTTCTTGCTTTCTCAGAGACAAGGAAGGGCTCTATTGGACAGGCCCTCGTGTGGAGCCTGGATCTGGCTGCAAAATGCAAACCTGTGATGATCAGAGAGCCCATGGCACTGCCCGGCAGGGGACAATTCCATGGGGTGCAAGGAGGGAGAAGCAGGCCAGACAGCCCTGAGGTCAAATACTCTCCTTCTGCCCGTTCTTTCACCCTGCGAAGCCTCATAAAATGGGCTTCGTAATAGCAGGAAGCTCACTTTCACTCAGTACATATTTGAGGATCTGCTATGAGCCAGGTACTATTCCAGCTACCATGGATACAATGTGAAACACACCCAGAGCCCCGCCTCACTGAGCTTGTTAAATGTTAGTGTTGGCCTGAGGATTACATGAAATGATGCATTCCAATACTTCAGTGAACATCCATTGTTTCACGTTTGTGGGGCTCATGTTCCCGTTTTTCTGAGTGCTATTACCCCCAATTCCTCCTGTGTATAAATCCACCTCCACTCTCATTATTATTGCTTGCAAAGTTGCCCACCCAACACCCCATTCCCTCAGCTGCAGACCAGGGCGGGGACCCACATACTTGACTCATCCTGGTCTTTGGCTGTGATGCTGGTCGAGGATAAAGCACATTGTCCATGTCCAGCCTCTTGGAGTCCTTCCCCAAGATCTTCATTCTGAAGCTGGGCTGACAACCTATCTCCTTTTCTCTTTGTTTACCACTCCTAAAACCAGGGCTTCCAGAACAGTTGGTGGCTTCAGCTCTCCCTGCAAAGGAACCCAAGAGAATGAGCCCCAACCTGGACTCAGGTGCGAGGACAGATGCAGAGCCAGGAGGCTGCAATCTCTCCTGCCTTTTCAAGCTTTAGTTGAAGGATCAATGTTTATCTTTTTTGCTTCTGAGCTATTTTGAGTTAGTATTTCACTTATAACAAGAAGATGTCTGATGAATACAAGTGGTTTCACATAGTAAGCATTCAAAATGTTCCTCTCCCCTAGGAAGGGTGAATGTGCCAAGGACAAAGCGGGATGGAAAAATATGAAAGATTTGGAAAGGGGGAGCTATTGGAAGTTTCTAAGTAGCTGGGCTTGTGTAGTCTGCATTCTTTACTGTGGCTAGTCTTTAGTTAAATTAGACTGAAGCACCAGGACCTCATCAACTTGCTCATTTTTATGTATCTGTAGACACTGACTGTTTCTATCTATCTATCTATCTATCTATCTATCATCTATCTATCATCTATCTAATCTGTCTGTCTGTCTGTCTATCTATCTACCTAATCTAATGCTCTTTTGAGAGTTTCACCAATTCCAGCTGAGCTGAGAGGGAAGGGATTTTGTAATTCTTCAGGATTGCTCAAGACAGTGAGAGCTGGGCACTAGTGTACCTCTGTGAATTTGGTAGTAGTTACAGCCATGGGCCATCTGTAGGAGGAAAAGAACTCAAAGGGGATGGAAACTGGACAGCTGAAAAAAAATTGTATGTTCTTCACACACTGGGGACTGATGTGGGGTGGGGGGAGGGGGGAGGGATAGCATTAGGAGATATACCTAATCCTAAATAACAAGTTAATGGGTGCAGCACACCAACATGGCACATGTATACATATGTAACGAATCTGCACGCTGTGCACATGTACCCTAAAACTTAAAGTATAATAATAATAAAATTTAAAAAAAAATTATGTTCCCTCCTACAAGTCTCTATTTCCTTTTCTTTCTTTCTTTTTTTTTTTTTTTTTGTTCTTACTTTGTTTCTCTCTAACCTCACTTGGGTCCTTTTCTTCTCTGCCCACCACCTCCACACAGGAGGACACCACACAGATGGACACCTGTCCACCACAGGAGGACATACAAGGGAACACATCAGGCTCTAGTAACCACCATTCTAAACAAACACCTGTTCTTATGAGTTAATGTTTCTCCACTTTTGCCTGCAGAAACCATTTCCATTGTAGGGAATTCTAACATCAGCTTTCAGCCCTGGGGTAGCTGGTAAATCAGTCACGGTGGCTCAGCATATCAAAAAACAAGCAGAAGAAGAGCAGAAAATCACCGATACTCACTCAGAAGCCTCCTGCTCCCATCTCTCTGGATCTGCAGCCAAATCCGTGGAAGGAAAAGCCAAGGCTCTCACTCAGGGCAAAACCGTAGCCTTCTTCCCATTCCCATTCCTGAGCAAAGAGCGAACATACTATTTCAATGGCCTGGGTCCTGTTGGTCAGGACTAGACTTGATGTTAATAAGAAAAGAATCAGGCTACAGCTCACAGGGACATGCTGATAAAACATCCATCCAGGAGGAAGCAGTGTGACCCATGATCCCCTGGACTCTATGGTGGGAGAGGGGGAAAAGGAAGTATGTCACCGTCAAATGTCGAGTCACAGCCTCTCTGAGTTTCAATTATTTGTCTGAAAAAATGAAGACGATAGTCTTCACTTCAAGGGATTCAAATTCAATAAAAACAACCCATGTGAAAACACTCAACACAGTGCAGGTACTGGGTGTAAATTGAAATTGGATTTGTCCTATTGACTCATTACAGATACATGCACATGAGCTCATGTGCACATACAACTTCTAGATGTGACCTGGATTCTGTTAACATATTCTCCAATCTCTTTTCAGTTGTTGGAGAAACAGACAGCATGAGCTGCTCCTCAGATGATGTGACTCACCCCTGCCCAAACACCAGTGGTCAGAGAAAAGCTCAGGCTTGTTCACAGTAGCCCCAGAGCTCAGGGGAGTGGACCCCACACGGTCTGAGGCTTTCAGCATAGGAGCTGGAACAACATGAAGTCTTCTGTCCACTCTGAGTTGATTGGAAAGCCCAAACATGGCATCTTGTCTTGTTCTTGATTTTTTTTTTTTTTTTTTGAGACAGAGTCTTGCTCTGTCACCCAGGCTAGAGTGCAGTGGCACCATCTCGGCTCACATCTCGGCTCACTGCAAGCTCCGCCTCCCGGGTTCACACCATTCTCCTGCCTCAGCCTCCCAAGTAGCTGGGACTACAGGTGCCCGCCACCACGCCAGGCTAATTTTTTGTATTTTTAGTAGAGAAGGGGTTTCACCTTGTTAGCCAGGATGGTCTCGATCTCCTGACCTCGTGATCTGCCCATCTCAGCCTCCCAAAGTGCTGGGATTACAGGCGTGAGCCACCGCGCCCAGCTGTGCTTGAGCATTTTATTTCCGGTAACATTTGATACAGGCAAACAGAAAGGACTACAAAAAACAACTTAATTCAAAATGCAATTGTGCTACACACAAAGCAGAAAGGGAGGTGAGGACAGAAGGCAAGGTGATATAATAGTTTGCGACACATGGAATTTGAAGCCAAATCTGCGCTCAAACCCTACAATGCCACCAGAACCCAAGTGACCATGCATATGCTTCAGTTTACTCATCTGCAAAATGAGAATGTCAATGACCCCTTCTTTGTCTATTTTATAAGGTTGAGGTGAGGATCAAGTGAGATAGCATCATTGAAATCACTTTGCAAAATATTATATAGCTAGCAGTTATGACAGTTGTTATTAATGTGGAATGTGCACAAGAGAGTTGGAAATCTCAAAGAGCCGACCTATTACCATAGTCAAACCATTTTCTCTTGAAAATCTCAGATATAAAAGGTTAGGTGCATAATGGCAGATTTCTTGCCCACAGGAACCCATTTTCATGAAAGAACAAAACTTTGAAGGATTCCTTCTTTTCCACCTGTATTCTACAAATAAAGATAGGAAGGAAGGCAAGGCTGTCTTGCTGGCTTCTCGGGTGGAGGACGCTGGGCTGGAGCAGTGCCTACAAACTTTGATCCTGGTGGAAGTCAGGAGCCTCTGGTGAGGCTTGTATATTTCACCCAAAGTGACAGGGACCTTGTTAGCCATTCTTGCATTGAGGAGCTTGATGGATTGAACTCCTGGGGAGAATGTGGCGGCTGTGATCTGCCATAAAGATGATGAATAACTTTTTTTTCTTAAATGATTACTGAAAACTTTACAGCTAGCCAAAGCTGGCTTTCTCAAAGCCCCTGGAGGAGAGCTTTTATAAAGTGTCATTTAATTAATAAGGAGGTTATTGATTGCTGTCATGCATGGAGTACTGCACAAGGGCCAGGTGAGAAAAAGGGATGGAGGACCACAGGCACAGAGAGGAAGGCAGGGGTGGGCCTGGGCCTGGGCCTGGACTGCAGCCTGGATAAAAACCAGGCCCCTGAAAACACTCTAGATTGCCAGTTAGGGGCAAAGCAGTCACTGTTTACCAGAGATGGTTAGAAGTGAAAGAGATGTTCTTATTTATAGCCTGATTTAGAAAATTCACTGTCATTTTGAGATAAAAAGAGAGGCAGTGTGCTGTGATGGGAGGTTTTCCTGGCTAAAAATTAAGGGACAAGAACCCTCTAGTAAGCTATGGTGCAGGCTAAAGAGTTGCTTAACTTCTTGGGTTTTAGCATCCTCATCTCTAAAATGATAGAACTGGACTAAATGATCTCCAGGATTCCAACTCAAATATGAGGGGTTCTCAAAAACTTCATAAAAAATGTGTATTAAGAAAACACTATCTCTTCTCATATCGGCAGGTCCAGGCCCGACCGCCAGACAATGCCACTGCATGGAGTGGCTGCTGGGCCTCTACTTCCTCAGCCACAACCCCATCATCCTGTTCATGGACCTGTAGGCGGTGCTGCCGTGCGAACTCTACCCAGTACAGTTTAGAAATCTGCTGAAGTGCTATGCTAAGGGGTTCAAAGGCCCGCTGCTACAGGAGCCACCAGTTTGGTTTAAGTCCTTTCTGTTTTGCGAGCTTATGTTTCAGGTGCCTTTCTTTCCCATTGCAACCTATGCCTTCCTCAAAGGAAGCTGCAACTGGATTCGAACCCCTGCAAATCATCTACTCAGTTCACACCATGATAACTTTAATTCCACTACTCTCCACATTTCTGTTGGAGGATTTCTCCAAAGCCAGTGGTTTCAAAGGATAAAGACCTGAGACTCTGCATGAACGGTTAACCCCTGTATCTGTCTATGCCCCCTACTTACTCATCCCATTCGTACTTTTAATTTTCATGTTGCAGAGCCCCTACTACAAGTATGAGGAGAAAAGAAAAAAGAAATAAGAGAAACAACCATTGGCCCAGGGTAGAAATGCCTGCAGGGCAGTTGTTTGTTGGATACAATACAGGGAACACTGCTCAGAACCCACATCTTCATCAGCATTTGAAACACTGGCAGCAATGCACAAGAGCAAGATGGTGTCAGAAACCACGTCAAAAACTCACCTTTTTTTTTTTTTTTTTTCAGACTGTCTCACTCTGTTACCAAGGCTGGAGTGAAAGGCAGTGGCATGATCTCGGCCCACTGCAACCTCCGCCTTCTGGGCTCAAACGATCTTCCCTAGCCTCCCAAGTAGCTGCGACTGCAGACATACACCACCACACATGGCTCATTTTTTTTAGTTTTTGTTTTTGTTTTGTGGAGACGGGGTTTCACCATGTTGCCCAGGTTGGTCTCGAATGCCTAGGCTCAAGTGATCCGCCCACCTCAGTCTTCCTAAGTGCTGGGATTACAGACGTGAGCCCCTGGGCCCAGCCCAAACCTTCACCTTCTAAGTGCACTGGGATGAACATACTGACCGGCTTCAGAGTGGGCAAAGAGGTGTGGGCTGGGTTATAGGGAAGTGGTACCAAATACTTGACTATGTGCCTAAGTTCCACTGCACCATTACTAAAAGCAGGACCAAACCAGAAACTGCTAAAGAACTTGGCCTGCTTGACATGTTCATGAGTCACCTGACCCCACAGCATATATGCTTATTATGATTAAACCCTCTACTCCTGATTCTCTAGAGTATATCACCTGTCAGCAAAATGAACAGTGGGATGTTTGGGGCCATTTAAAATGTCAAATTTTGCCTCTTTCGTATTAATTCAAAACTATGTCATGTTTTCTTGTCCTCACCTCTAACCCAAGGAAAAAAGACAAAATACTATGCAAAGGAAGTTTAAACTTAGTTTTCCTTAAGGTTCAGCCCTACAATGACTTTCAGTCAGAAATGGGTTAAACTGGAAAATGTTTTTGTTTCTGTTGCGAACAGATCATCCTAGGAGAAGGGTTTTTTTGGTTTGTTTGTTTGTTTGAAGTTACTTTGCTGGCCGGGCACAGTGGCTCACGCCTCTAATCCCAGCACTTCGGGAGGCCAAGGTGGGTGGATCACCAGAGGTCAGGAGTTCAAGACCAGCCTGACCAACATGGTGAAACCCCGTCTCTACTAAAAAATACAAAAATTAGCTGGGGATGGTGGCAGGTGCCTGGAATCCCAGCAACTCAGGAAGCTGAGGCAGGAGAATCACTTGAACCCAGGAGGCACAGGTTGCAGTGAACAGAGATCACGCCATTGCACTCCAGCCTGGGTGACACAGCAAGTCTCCGCCTCCAAAAAAAAAAAAAAGTTACTCTGTTTATTCTATTTCTAAATCTTAGTCTTCTCATTTGTAGAGGCTACCTGACATAAGTCCCTTTATCTGAAGTCTAGTATCTCAAGCCTGATCTAGAAGTGTGCTCCCTAGTGGCTAACTTCATCCTTCTAATATAGTTCAATCATTCCCATCTTGTTCTCAGAAGAAGGGAAGATGGCAGCAGCTGGGCATAACATAGCCACCTTGTGCATATAGGGTCTCTTCACGTTGGTGCTTGGCATTCCATCAGCTTTCTCTAAGTTTGTACTCAAGTCTGACCTTAAAATGATGTTAGACAATAGGTCCCGGTCAGTTCCCTCTATTTTCACCCATGTTGCTCACAAGCCATACTGGTCTGACTCACGTGTCTGATCCAAATATAGGTACCTCCTGACCACTTAAAACAACAACAACAAAACACTATGCATGGATTTAAAAAAATTTTGGCACCCAAACTCATACTAACTTGTTATAACGTGTCTGAACAGGATCTAGTTTGAGGCACCAAGGAGGAGAAAATATCAGTTTGAAAAGAACCTCTATCAAAGCAACATGAATTTTGCTAAAATTGAAGCAAGAACAAACCTCAAATTTATGGTGAAGCTTGGGTAAAAGAATGGTGCAATCACTGATGCTTTATGAAAAGTTTCTAGGGGCAAATCTCAAAAGAAATCAGCAGTTTACAAATGAGTAACTCATTTTAAGAAGAGATGATATTGAAGATGATGCCAGCAGCAGCAGACCATCCTCATCTATTTGCAAGGAAAAAATTCATCTTATTCATGCCCTAATTAAAAAAGACCGATAATTAACAGCACAAACAATAGCCAACACCATAGACACCTCAGTTGGTTCAGCTTACACAATTCTGACTGGAAAATTAAGGTTGAGCAAGCTTTCCACTTGATGAGTGCCAACGTCATTGTGCCCATGTCAGTTGCCAAGAAAAGCAGAGCTTTCAATGGAAATTTTAAACACGTGGGATCAAGACTGTGAAGCATTTCTTCAAAGAATTGTGACAGGGGATAAAACATGGCTGTACCAGTACTATCCTGAAAAGAAAGCACAATCAAAGCAATGGCTACCAAGAGGTGGAATGGTCCAGTCAAAGCAAAAGTGGACCAGTTTCTTGGGATACTCAGGCACTTTGCTCATTGACTTTCTGAAGGGCCAAAGAGTAACAACATCTGCTTAGAAAGAGAGTGCTTTGAAAAAGTTAGCCAAAGCTTTCACAGAAAACCCTCTGGGAAGCTCCACCAGAGAGTCCTTCTCCACTGTAACAATGCTTCTGCTGATTCCTTTCATCAAATAGAGAAAATTGTGAGAGCTTTGATGGGAAATCATTAGTCATCTTCCATATAGTCCTGATTTGGCTCTTTCTGACTTCTTTTTGTTTCCTAAAATTAGAAGAAGTGTGTAAAGCATACCGGGTTTTCTTAATAATGTAAAATAATTACATTATTAATAATAGTTACATTGTTAATAATAATTAATAATGTAAAAAAGACTGTACTGACATGATTAAATTCCCAGGAGCCTCAATTCTCTAGGAATGGGCTAAATAGCTGATAGCATCGCTTACAAAAAAAAGCGTCTTGAACTTGATAGAGATTGTGTTGAAAAATAGTTTATATTTTCAGTTTTATCTTTTAATTCCACTTTTCCACAAACTTTTTGAAGTTCCCTCATATTCTATTTTATTCTGAATTGCTCACAAGGGAACGGGATAAGGCAAAAAATAAAAAAAGAAAACATTTTGTCTACAGCTTTCTCTGGCTGAGTTCCTCAAAGAGAGAGCATAGATAAATACTGGCATGAGTTCAGCTATAACAATTATAGAGAAAAGGATAAAGTTGAACTCAAAATAGGCATCAGGGGGATATACTGACATTGGCAAACCTTAAGTTGTGTGTTCTAAAGTTTGGGGGCCCATCTTTTTCTTGAGCTGGTGAGCATCTCCTGTTATGGAAATCCAATTTGGGGCTTCCTGATCCTAGTGACATTAAACATTCCCTGACCAAGAACACTAGATTATGCCAGAGAGCTCTCATCCTGTTGGTGAGGCATTATACAGAATGACTTCAGGGGCTTCAAGTTGAAAGATGAAACAAGTTGTTATTTAAGATAAATGGGATTGGGTCTGAATCTTGGCTTTGCAACTTATTAGCTGTACAATTTTGAGCAAGTTGGTGTCTCTGAGCTTAATGGTACTAATGCATATCTGCATGGGTTACCATAAGGATTTAGAAGAATGATGTATGTAAAAGTACAGTGTCTGGAAGAGAGTAGATTCAGTAAAATATTGCTTTTCCTTCTCCTTCCGTGCTTTCTTGCTGTTTTTAAAACTGTAGAAAACAGGATATCTACCTGGTGAATGATGCCAAGGCAGCAGAGAACAGTACACACTGATGGATAACCTCAAGCTACTTGTAAGTCCTCAATCAGCAGCATTAATGACTAAAATAAACCTACTTGGTTTTAACAGCAATTAATGCATGGTTCATATTTGGCATCAGATTCAGAAGACTTGAAGCGAACACCACTTTTCAAGAAAAAAACAACCTGAGGTTTTCGTGGACTGCAAGCTCAGCGTGGGCCAACAGTGTGATAAGGCTGCTCAAAAAAGTTACTGGAACTTTTACTAATGGGTAGTAATTTATGGATCAAGGGAATGTGAGCATATCATTGATTTCTGGTAGATTGTAGCCAATTCTGGATGTCACGCACATTTAGGTACTACATTGGTAAAATTGAAGTTTCTTAAGAGGATAACATCACAGAAAAATTTCAGCACATCATAGGTGTTGAAAAATAGTTATCAGATCCAAAAATATTGAGATTGGAGTACCATAATAGCCATGCCCTTTGCTAGTTAATGTATAGCCTTTGCGCAAAAAAAGAGAAAAGCCGCTCTCCACAAGTAGGGGAAGCCCCATACCAGGTTTCCCACTCACACTACTCTGCACAGCCATATTCCCTTGTTCAGTGCACAACTTACACAATTGTATGTGGCAACCCTGTTGATAGCAAGACTTGAATTCTTGATAAGATGCCTTGTGGAAAATGGTGTAGATTTTTTCCATGTATCCACGCAGAGCAGGACGTGGGCGACTGGTGGGAAGGAGTTATAGAGAGACAGTGTTAGGCTTAAGAGAATTCCCTAATGATGATAGGCTAATGACTGTTATAACTCTAGTGGAGGCCTGAACAAATCAAAAGAAGGATTATATGGATCTGAAGAAAATCAGTCACAGAGGAAGCAGATCCCTTAAATCCAGCAGTGGCACTGCCAGTCCCGTGAATGGGACAGAGGATTCTCGGCCAAAAGAGTATCCCCTCCCAATGGCAAGGACATCCTAACGTGGAAATGGGTGCCAGGAGCTGAGGTCAATAGATTCTCCGTATTCCCCAGGGCACTGGCCTGATTAAGCTTAACATGTGACAGTGATCAGATTGTGGTCGCCTGAGCCACCGAATGGGCCATCCTATTGATGAACTTCTCTCCTCTGGTTCTAAGCTCTCAAGACATTTTTATTTTGATTTGACTCCACATGCAGTTTTACTAACAGGTGTAGTTTCTGGAACAACTATATTTCTGACTGTAAACGGATACAATTTCAGCCTCATTGTAATTTGGTGTCCCCTGAAAAGTGACTGTTCTTACTACTGTAACTCAATCATTTGGGATTCTGGTTATAGACATCAGCTTATTGGATGCAACTGCTTTTCAAATGAGGGTGATGTGAAGCCTATGGCATATTAGAAAGAATCCGCCTTCCTCGGCTCACACATGACTCACTCACTCTGTGATGGGAAACAGGCCACACATGCTGGTTCAGGAGGACAGGGATGAGGACAGCGCTCTGCACACTGGACGAAGGGACTGCATCTGAAAGGCCTTGTCTTCCAAAGCTGGCTGCTTTTTTCCTCTTTGCAATCTTCTGTTGTTACCCTGAGAACCCCTAACAAGTCAGTAAGGGGATCCTTCATTGACTACAGTTAAGGCCTCTGTTAAGGCATCCTCTCTTGAATTAAATATTCATTTGATTCCTCTTTTCTTTTTCTTCACAGTGAATTTCAGTTCTACTCTCAGACACATGCCCAGGCACTTTATCCTTCCATCAGTGCTTATTAGGTCACATTGGAGAAAGAGAGAGTGTCCAGCCCTGTAGGCCTCCTGACTTCCAGGTAGAAGGTGACTCTTCCTCGCTATTCTCCAAAACACAACTGAGTCTACATAGCAGCCCCAGGAAGATTCCACTTCAACCCCTTGGGGAAACGCTGCAAAGACTCAGCCAATATGTGAATCCCAGTGGTAAATGTTTGTTAGGGGCTTACGGATTTCCTAGATAAATCTGCTTCCAGTTTCATCACTGTGTTTACTTCCCAACAGCCCATGAGCAACAGGGGTAGACAAAGAGTGCAGTCACAAATAAGAGTCGGAAAGAGCAGGACGCAGTCCTGAACTGGAAAGGAGGGCTTATCACCTCCTGTGGCTTCAGGATTGAACAGAAGAACCCAGCCAGTGGTACTTACAAAAGATTTATTCATGATAAAACATCAGTGCCTATACTGTGAAGATGCTAAACCTTTACAAGGAAGAAAATACTTGCCATCTGAGCTGAAATAGAAAAATACCCTGTCTGAGTTGGTGGCAGGAAACGATCATGGTTCTGGACATCGCTGATAAGAATTGAGGCAGTTTCAGTGATGTGTGAGTCCTTGACTCTGGAAAATCACAAGTGCCCCTTGGGCTATGGAATGCTGGCCCTAGGCTCCAGAACAGTTTGTGGCTATGGAACTGGTGAAGGAAGTGCCAGGAGGAGACCTTTCATGTGTGTCCACCAAAGCAGGTAAAATTCTGGTGCAAGTCACTCGGGGTCATTGCAGCTACTCTTGCAGTAAGATCCCAAAGAGTGTTCTGGCAAGAGAACATTGCCTGTCTAGGTGAGGACCAATGGCCTGTCCTCAGGAACCAGTAGAAAAAGACACTTGGAGCAAGGTACTTTTCAGAGTCTCTCCTATTTGGATGACCACAGCTCAATGAGGTGGTAAAAACAGTAAGATAACTAGCCAGGAAAGAGAGTTCCAGGGGCTCAGTAGCCTCTTCGCACCAGTGCATTTCTGTGAATTCTGGATTTAAAATATTTCTTAAATAGTTGATTGTCAGGAAACGAAGGGAATTCCTTGGAGGCCGGAAGTTGAAAAGAAAGCGTGAAGGTATGTGTGCCCTGGAGTTGGCCTTTCCTCCTGCAGATCCCTGCTGTCCCAGAGCATCTATTTTATTTTTTATTTTTATTTATCATTTTTTTTTTGAGACAAGACTCTCACTCTGTTGCCCGGGCTGGAGTGCAGTGGCATGATCTCAGCTCACTGCAACCTCCACCTCCTGGGTTCAAGCGATTCTCCCACCTCAGCCTCCCAAATAGCTGGGATTACAGGCATGCGCCACAACACCTGACTGATTTTTGTATTTTTAGTAGAGACAGGGTTTCACACCATGTTGGCCAGGCTGGTCTCGAATTCCCGACCTCAGGTGATCTGCCTGCCTGGACCTCCCAAAGTACCGGGATTACAGGTGTGAGCCACGGTGCCCATCCTCAGAGTATCTATTTTAATAGGCACTGGAGCACCAGGGGACAGGAGACGAAGCCTAGGGCCTGGGCATGGTGGGAGATTCAATAGGTGACCCCTCATAAAGCCAGGACCCTCAAAAAGACACCTAATCAGCAGGGGTATCAGGTATCTATTGCCACAGCACTACTGTGTGGGAAACAACCACAGCTCCTCAGTGACATGCAAGACTAGCTGCTCCTTACTCACACATCTAGCCAGGCAGCCAGGTAGTTCTGCTGATCATGGCTGGGCTAACCCGCACCTGTGCAGGTCATCTGGCTATCCACTCGAACACTGATGGATGGAATGATGGGATGACTCTGTTCAGCTCCATGTTTCTTTCCGCCTCTGCCTGAAACTGGGGCAGGTCTCTCTCAGGGCAGTGGCAGAGGGCAAGAACAGCAAGTAGTGATGCACTTGCTCTTCTTCAAGTCTCTGTTTGTACCACAGCGAGAGACATTCTATTGCTTAAAGAAAGTCACATGGCTGGAATGAACATCAGACGGGGAGGTCACTACAAAGTTTCAGGGCACAGGGTGTGTATATGGAAAGGTGTGAGGGGTTGATGAGCACCCCTCAAAATTCATGTCCACCTGCAACCTCAGACCGCAAACTTATGTGGAAGCAGGATCTTTGCAAATATAATTAGTGAGGGATTGCAAGGTGAAATTATCCCAGATTTGGGGGAGGGAGAGGCTAAAGCCAATGACTGAGAAGAGGATTCAGAGAGATACATAGGGAAAAAAATGAGGCAGAGATAAAAGTGATGAAGTCACAAGCCTAAGGATGCCGAGAGCCACTAGAAGAGGCATCCACTAGAAGAGGCAAGGAAGCGTTCTCCCCTGAGCCTTTGGAGGGAGCACAGCTCTCCCAGTGCCTCGATTCAGACTCCCAGCCTCCAGAACTGTAAGAAAATACATTTCTGTTGTTTTCACCCACCAGCTTTAGGACAATTTGTTGCCGCAGTTCCAGGAAAACTAATTCAGTAAGGATGAAGAACTGGGGCCCTGAATTCAATCAATTGGCCACAGAGGGTAAACTTCAAAAATATAAATTTGCTAAGCAGAAACAATGGTTGGGATTAGGGGCTTTCCTGGCCTTGTACTTGGCTAGAACAAAAAATAAAATTTCCTCAGAGAATTTTTAACTACCAACTTGCCCTCCTACAAGTTAAGGGCTGAAATTCATGCAAACTCTGTGCACTATAACCCCCTCCACCCCCACCAAAGAAACCCCACAAAATCCAAACTCAAAGTTTAATTAAGTGGCCACAAATTAGAAACACCCCAGATGCCTCCCAGAAGCAAAGGAAAATTCTCTCTAGAGGGATGTATGTTAGACACAGGCCACAAAGAATCGCTATACGTAAGTTGTAAAGAACATACTTTCCCAACAGAAAAACACTCATTTTGCAAGGCAACAAGAATCAGCAGAAACATTCAAATGCAGAGTCACACAAGTGAAGAACATAGTTATAAGAAACAGAAATATACAATTTAAATTGTGTTATGAACTGAACCTGTCCCCCAAAATTCATATCTTGAAGCCAGACCCAGTAGTCCTTCAGAATATGACTGCATTTGGAGTCATAATATAATATGACTGTATTTGTTTTTGTTGTTGCTTTTTGAGACAGAGTTTTGCTCTTGTCGCCTAGGCTGGAATGCAATGGTACATCTTGGCTCACTACAACTTCCACCTCCCAGGTTCAAGTGATTCTCCTGCCTCAGCCTTCTGAATAGCTGGGATTACAGATGCCCGCCACTATGCCCAGCTAATTTTTGTATTTTTAGTAGAGATGGGGTTTCGCCATGTTGGGCAGGCTGGTCTCAAACTGTTGACCTCAGGTAATCCACCCACCTCGGCTTCCCAAAGTGCTGGGATTACAGGCGTGAGCTACCACACCTGGCCAAAATATGACTGTATTTGGAGTCATCTTTAAAGAGATGACCAATTTAAAATGAGGCTGTTATGGTGGACTGTAATCCAATCTGACTGGTGTCTCTATAAGAAGAGGAAATGTAGAGTTACACAGACCCAGGGGATGCATGTGCATGAAGGAAAGACTGTGTAAGGACACAGACAGCAGAAGACTATCTGCAAGCTGAGGAGAGAGAACTCAGGAGAAACCAACCCTGCCTCCACCTTGATCTTGAACTTCCAGCTTCCAGAACTCTGAGAAAATAAACGCCTAATATTTAAATCCAGTCTGTTGTATTTTGCTATGGCAGCCCTGGGAAACCAGTAACAACATGTTTAAACAAATAAAAGTGGGGTTTGTAGGTGTGACTTATTAAGCAAGATATTATTAAAATAAAATCAACCTCTCATTTTTACTAGAAGAACCAAAAAATTCTGAAAATTAAAACCATCCTAATTAGAAACAAAATAAATAGCAGATTCCACTTAATCATAAACCTGGAGCTAGATCTAAAGAATACCAGAATATAGCACAGACAGACAGAGAGATAAAAAATAGAAAAGACTTCGTGACATGAAGGTAGAATGAGGAAGTCTAACATGCATATGGTGAGAGTCGTAGGGGAAGAGATAAGAAAGAATGAGGGATCTATAATTAATCATCCCTGGTTGAGACGGTGGCCCATCTCTCCTGGATGTTGCTAGAGTAGGCATGACACAGGTGGCAATGTTTGATATAGACCTGCCTCGTGACAAATAAAGGACAGTAATGGAAGCAGAGGAAAAATATACCTAAAGATACAGAGGCTTGAGAAAGCAGGGTGTCTCCTGGGTGCGAGGAGTTTTGACAGTACTGTAGGGTGTGTGGGCATGTGGCACCTCTGTGGCCATCTGGGGACCAGGGATTTGGAGGCAGGCAGTGGCAAGTGGTCAGATGGAAGGGCTTTTCCTACCGACTATGAGACTCAGGCTGTGTCCTGTAGGTGACGGGAAGTCAATGGACACCTCTAAGCAAGGAAGTGACATGATCAGCTTTATATCTAGGAAGATAAAGCACCTAGAAGAAACTCCATAAGTGCTTGTGGTTTGATCAATGTAGGCTGCTGATACTGATCCCTTTGTTCTTGGAAGGCTGTGGCTAGGATAAGCGTAAGGCCTTCTTGATCCATCTTCTTCTGCAGAGAGAGGATTCCTGAGGGAGTCTCTGCCTTTGAGCACACTGGGTTTCAGGCTGGCAAATTAAAAACGATGACCTCAGGTGCTCTGGGTCTGCAAAGCACCTTTGTAAGACATCGCTCAATTCTTCCCAAGCTTTCCTTCCAAGACAGAAGCTTAGACTAGAGAAGCTCTGTTTCCCCCACTTAATGCCAGGCTCTGCCTGACTTGACTTTAGGACCACACTGTCCAATTCCAGGCCAGGCACAAAATGGATCTCAGAAACCCTCCCTTATTCTCATTTTTCCAGGCAATTTTGATCTCTTCTGGTTTGGTAATTTCCTCTCCTA
Organism: Homo sapiens; assembly: GCF_000001405.40. Lineage (NCBI taxonomy): Eukaryota > Metazoa > Chordata > Mammalia > Primates > Hominidae > Homo > Homo sapiens. The sequence goes on along the minus strand of NC_000008.11, from coordinate 20,923,929 downwards.
TTACTTGGCCTTTTGTTGGTGAAGTGCAGTTGGTAGGTGGACAGAACTAATATTTACTGAGTATGTGCAACTTTGTAGAGCTGTCAGAAGTCTCCAAAGTGCATCATCCCAACTGCTCACCTGGCAGCCTCAGAGTGTTCATATTATTATTCTCATTTTATGAAAAAGGTGGAGCCATTTGCTTACATTCCCGGCTGTAGGAAAGAGTGAGTCTGGGATTCCAACCCAAGTGAGCCAGTCTCAATTGCTCCCAACTGCTCCAGCTACCTTTCTGTGCTCATCTCTTCAGCAGTACCTTAAAAGCCAGTTACCACTGGCAAAATCGCACGCTGTGGGCAAGCTTCATTCCCCGCAAGCTGCCTTCTTCCATCTTTCTGTCTGGTTAAAAGTGGGTCCATGTCACCATCTCTCCCACATGTAGACACATTTGTGATGGATGCATCTTATCTGTTACTTTTTAATCACTAGCATTTATAATTTACTTCTATAACTGATCTTTGTTGCTTACTAAATGACACATCACTATTGTGGGGGACCTGGTAGCTGACACAAGCAAACAGCCCTGTGCGTGAGATCAGGACACTGTTGTGTTCTGCCCGGTTAAGCACACGTGTAGCCTCAACTGATTCCAAATCCAGCCCCAGATGTTCATTCCCTGGAGAGCAGTTTTCTGTAACTGCTCTTGCACCAAGGCTGCATTATTTGACTTTGGTATTTTTCCAAGTGAATAATTTGGACATCTTCTAGGTGCAACGTCTGGCTGAAATTATCTCCAGATATAGACTCCAAAACAGAGAGTCCTCCTCTAAAAATGAGCTGACAACAGGTGCCCACTTCTGTCGTGTCGTGTCTGAGAACAGCATTTGTGTGAATACCATAGACCTTCCAAATCTGAGCCTCTGGGAGCAGTAGCCACCAATCTAAATGTGAACCCAATCCCTGGTCATTCTTATTTAACCAGCCTAATGTTTAGGAAACACTTGGCAAGAGAAACAAAAGACAAAAGAAGAAAAAGGATGGAGGAAGGGGAGGTACAAACATATAGTTAATAGAAGAAATAAGTCCTAGTGTTCGACAACACAGTAGGGTGACGATAGTTAATAATAATTTATTGTGTATTTCAAAATAACTAGAAGAGAGGATTTGAAATGTTCTAACACAAAGAAATAGCAAATGTTTGAGGTGATGAGCCTCCTAATTACCCTGATGTGATCCTTACACATTGCATGCATAATTCAAAATATCATATGTACCTCATAACAACATACAATTATTATGCATCAGTAAAAATAATGCAATCTTTTTAAAATCAAGTTTTTTAAAAAACTGAAAAGAAGGAAGAATGGAAGGAGGGAAAGAAGGAGGGGAGGTCGGCAGGGAGAAAGAGGAACTCGGTTCAAGCTGTCAGATCATCCCAAACCTTGCTTGAGAAAATACATAATTCACCTCTTCTCTAGCCTCAGCATAGCAAAGAGCAAGGAGTGGGAGCACCATAAATATTTTTTTGACTGACAGGATAGGTCTTGACAAGAGAAGATGAGTTCATGTGGGGTTCAGCCTAGGGCTGGAAGGGGCCCTAGAGGAATGTGGCTCTCAAGGGGTTGATGCCTTACCAGGGGTAAGTTTGGGAATCTGAGGAGGCATTATCATTTATCACAATGATTGGTAGAGGGGGCGGTGATTACCAGCATTTAAGGTAAGATGGAAGGCTAGAAACCCTGCAACATTTGGGGAAGTCTTCCCGAGGTGGAATTGTTCTGCACCCCACATGATATCTGTATGTTCCGTAGGTGAAAACCCTGCTTATAATTACCCAGGCCCAGAACTTAACTTCATTGCATGACATAAAACCATAATATGTTTTAAAATATGGTTTTAATATAGACTGTATTTTCCAGAAATGACTTCCTTGTAAATCAAGGAAAGACTGTGTTGTTCAGAAGTTTACCAGGAGTTGTTTACCGTTTGGGAAAATCATGTCATTGATAGCAGTGTGGTCTGTGCTATTTGAATCAATACAACCCATCTAGAACCATCCACATTTTTTTCTCTTTCACTATGACCTGAGATATAGTGACAACCTTTAAGTTCTACCTTATTGCTTTCTAGTATAAATATGCTGATCACGTATATATTGAAAACCTTACATTATAATAATCACTTTTTCCTTATTCTTCCTTTATATCACTCATAGTACATTATACTTTGCAAGTTGTAAGTATAGACAGGTTGTTTTGTTTTTGAATTTCAGTTTGGAATAATTATGGGGCATTGCAAAATATTTGCTATGATATGTTAAAAAGCCACTGATCAATACTCTTATATTCATCGTACATAATCTGAAGTCCGAAAAGGTAGAGACTTATTCAAGGTCAAGAAGTGAGAGGGCTAGAACAGAGAGGGTTAGAAGCCAAGCCTTCTCACTGCTGATTCAGTGAACTTGTCACAAGGTCTCACCTCTCAAAGTGACCAAGAACACCTTTCCTATAGCTAGAACCCTCCTTGTGCTATGCTTCTGAGCAATGTCTGCCAAGGCAGGCACAGCACTGTGTGAGACCTCTTCACCTTCTAAATCATATCTTCTCTGATGTGGTTTGGCTCTGTCCCCACCCAAATCTCATCTTGAATTGTAGTTCCCATAATCCCCACGTGTCATGGGTGGGTGGGACAGGTAGAGATCATCGAGTCATGGGAGCAGTTTTCCACATCCTGTTCTCGTGACAGTTCTCATAAGATCTGATGGTTTTATAAGGGGCTTTCTCCTTCACTAGGCACTCATACTCTCTCCTGCCATCCTGTGAAGAGGTGCTTTCTACCATGATTGTAAGTTTCCTGGGGCCTCCCCAGCCATGTGGAACTATGAGTCAATTAAACCTCTCTCCTTTACTACTCAGTCTTGGGTATTTCTTCATAGCAGCATGAGAACAGACTAATACAGTAAACTGCTATCACAGAGAGTGGGGTGCTGCTATAAAGATACCTGAAAATGTGGAAGTGACTTTGGAACTTGGTAACAGGCAGAGGTTGAAACAGTTTGGAGGGCTCAGAAAAAGACAGAAAGATGTGAGAAACTTTGGAACTTCTAGAGACTTGTTGAATGGCTTCAACCAAAATGCTCACAGTGACATGAACAGTGAAATCCATGCTGGGGTAGTCTCAGATGGAGATGGGGAACTTGTTGGGAACTGGAGTAAAGGTGACTCTTCGTAGGCAAAGAGACTGGCACCATTTTGCACTGGCTCCAGAGATCTCTGGAACTTTGAACTTGAGAGATATGACTTAGAGTATCTGACAGAAGAAATTTCTAAGTGGCAAGGCATTCAAGAGGAAGCAAAGCATAAAAGTTTGGGAAATTTGCAGCCTGACGATGTGATAGAAAAGAAAACCCCATTTTCTGGGGAGAAATTCAAATTGGCTGCAGAAACTTGTATAAGTAATGAAGAACCAAGTGTAATCACTAAGACAATGGGGAAAATGTCTCCAGGGCATGTCAGAGACTTTCATAGCAGCCCCTCCCATCACAGGCCTAGGAGGAATAAATGGTTTCCTGGGCTGGGTCCAGAGCCCCCATGCCATGTGCATCCTTGGGACTTGGTGTCTTGTGTTCCAGCCACTCCAGCTGTGGCTAAAAGGGGCCAAGGTACACCTCAGGCTGTTGCTTCAGAGGGTGCAAGCCCCAAGCCTTGCTGGCTTATACATGGTGTTGGACCTGCCAGTACACAGAAGTCAAGAATTGAGGTTTGGTAACCTCTGCCTAGATTTTAGAGGATGTGTGGAAATGCCTGGATGTCCAGGCAGAAGTTTGCTGCAGGGGTGGAGCACTCATGGAGAACCTCTGCTAGGGCAATGTAGAAGGGAAATGTGGGGTCAGAGCCTGTACACAGAGTTCCCACTGGGGCACTGCCTAGTGGAGCTGTGAGAAGAGGGTCACCATCCTCCAGACCCCAGAAAGGTAGATTCACTGAGAGCTTGCACTGTGCACCTGCAAAACCTGCAGACACTCAACATCAGCCTGTGGAAGCACCCAGGAGGGAGGCTGTACCCTGAAAAGCCACAGGTGCAGAGCTGTCCAAGGCCCATGAGCCCACCTCTTGCATCAGCATGACCTGGATGTGAGACATAAAGTCAAAGGAGATCATTTTGGAACTTTAAGGTTTAATATCTGCCCTTTTGGATTTTGGGCTCGTATGGGGCCTGTAGCACCTTTGTTTTGGCCAATTTCTCCAATTTGCAATGGAAACATTTACCCAACGTCTGTACCCCCATCGTATCTTGGAAATAACAAACTTGCTTTTAATTTTACAGGCACATAGACAGAAGGGACTTGGCTTGTCTGAGATGAAACTTTGGACTTGGACTTTTGCGTTAATGATGGAATGAGTAAGACTGGGGGACTGTTGGAAGGGCATGATTGTGTTTTGAATTGTGAGTACATGAGATTTGGGAGGGGCAAGAGGTGGAATGATATGGTTTGGCTGTGTCCCCACCCAAATCTCATCCTGAATTGTAGTTCCCATAATCTCCAAGTGTTGTGGGAGGGACCAGGTGGAGATGGTTGGATGATGGGGCATTTTCTCCCATTCTGTTCTCATGAGAGTGAGTTAGTTCTCTCGAGATCTAAAGGTTTTATAAGGGCTTCCCCCTTTGCTGGGCACTCATTCTCTCTCCTGCTACCCTGTGAAGAGGTACCTTCCACATTGATTGTAAGTTTCCTGAGGCCTCCCCAGCCATGTGAAACTGTGAGTCAATTAAAACTCTTTCCTTTATAAATTACCCAGTGTTCGGTATTTCTTCATAGCAGTGTGAAAAAAGACTAATACATTCTCCTTTTTTTTCTTTCCCCGTCAGACCCACTCAGACAAGTTATCATCTTCTGATATCTAAGAGACAGATGGAAACCCAACAGAGAGGATGGGTGCTCATTCTAGGCTTATTGATGGTGTATTAGCTTGCTAGGGTTGCTGTAACCAATTACTACAAACTGGGTGGCTTAAAACTGCAGAAGTGTATTGTCTCTGAGTCCTGGAGGCCAGAAATGTGAAATCAAAGTGTTAACAGGACCATACTCCCTCCCTCTGCCCTAGGAAGAGCTCTAGGGCAGAGCCCTTCCTTGCCTTTTCCTGGTTCTGTGGCTCCGGGGATTCCTTGGCTTCTGGCCGAATCACTCCCATCTCATCCTGTGTCTTCACATGGCCTCTAACCTGTGTGTCTGTGTCTGTTTCTTCTTTACTGCTCCTATAAAGACTTGTCATTGCAGTTAGGTGTCACCCTAATCCAGGATAATCTCATCTCGAGACCTTTAACTTAATGACCCTTTTAACGAGACACAATCACATGAGGTTCTCAAAGGACACATCTTTGGGAACCTAGATAAAGGTGTCACCAGTCAACCACTACAGATGGTATTAGCAAATAACAACTGCCTGACCAGGTAAAGATTCAGACTCAGAATTTAGATTCCACATTTCCTAGCTCCTGAGTTGTGGATTCCAAAGTCTACTCAGTCATGGAAATGTTGGGTAGAAGTCACATATAGGTGGGTAATCCATGAATTTACCCAGTTCTGCTCTTCATGTTAGAAATGAGTATGCGGAAGTCCGGAGAAAAGAAGTGACTGACCCAAAGTCACTCAGATATTGGGGTCGGAGCCAGAACCCAGATCCAGCTTTCTGGGTTTACAAACTATGCCTTGCATAAAGCTTGTCCATAAGACAAAGCAAATCCTGTTTCCCGAACCCTCCCCACCAATAACCCTTACTGTATTACAAAAGAGAAGCTCCTATCACCCTGAGATTTGGGCACTAGCCTTTGGCCCTTCCCTGGGAAGTCACGGACCCACTGAGGGGCACAGAAAGGAAGCTTCTGCAGGTTCCTGGGGATTTACAAGATGCAGAAAACCAAGGCAAGCTATTTCTTTTTTGGTGGGGTTGAGGAGGACAGGATCTCATTCTATCACCGACAATGAAGCGCAGTGGTGCAATCACAGCTCACCATAGCCTCAACCTCCCTGGCTCTAAGCTATCCTCCTGCCTCAGCCTCCCACATCGTTGAGACCACAGGCAGGTGCCTCCACACCCAGCTAACTAATTTTTTTTGTTGTTTTTTTTGTAGAGACATGTGTCTCACTATGTTGCCCAGTCTGGCCTCAAACTCTTGGGCTCAATCTATCCTCCCAGCTTGGCCTCCCAAAGCTCTGGCATTACTGGCGTGAGCCACGGCACCCAGCCCTAAGCTCTTTCTTGCCCTAGGCTGCCTTTCCCTTCACAGACACTTGTTCCATATTTACATTCCATTTATGTTGCCTCTTGTTTATCTTGTTACCTAAGTGCTTGGCACAAAAGTAATTATTTTGTTGCAAAAGCCACCGCAGCAACCGGCAAAGTTTAAAAAAAAATAAAAAATAAATAAAAGGCTTTGACTTCGGTGCAGAATTGTACAAATAACTACCCCAACAGAGACATGGGAAATTATGCTCACTGTCAGCCACCACCACCACTGTCAGAAGATTCCGAGGGTGACATCTTGCCATTGTGCAGAGGAAAAAGATCATTTCTTAGCAAAGTGATTTTTGCAGATGCTCTCAATGCTGAATGCTCTCTCCCCACACACTCCCCTCCCCTCCTCCAAATGATCAGTACAGTATCAATTCACATAGCACAGCATGCAAAGCAGATAGAAGGCAACTCCCTGCCGAGTCTCCATCCAGATAATTCTCTCTCTTTCATGCCAAAGCAAACAGTGGGGAGAAAAAAAAAGGACATTTTTCCTTGGGGAAACAAAAAACGACCTTCCTACCCAAATGAGGCATGGTGGGTTTGGAGGCTGTACCCAGGCCCACACGGGCAGGCCCATACTTTCCCCCTCTTGACACGTACTTACAAAGCTATTTTTAATTAGATAGACTTCATTTGACTAACAGCAAAATAGCAATTTCACTGTTTTCGGGGAAGACGAAGGAGAGGAAATGGAATGCGATCTGCTGGGAATTGAGGGGGAATAAGGGTATGTTTCTTCCTCCCTTGAGAATAAGATTTAAAAGAGACTGTGGCCCTCAAATCCTTTTGATGACTGAGCTGCAATGTCAGCTTCCCTGCTCCTCCCATTCCACGCAACGTGCGCAGAAATTCTCGCACTGCTCTTTTCTCTCCACCATCTCTGTCTCCTCTCCTGTTCCTGCCTCTCTTCATATTCATCCGCCCGTGTGTCTCTTCCCACGTGTTCTCTTTTTGGGTCCTCTAGTTTCCTTACTCCTTCCTCTCTCTTAACTCTGAGGTCGACTCCTCTGAGCCACCCAGTTTCCCCCCATACCCACTGCCCTGGTCACAGATGATTTCAAACCTCCTTTTACCCCAGGAATAAACAGGGTGGGCTGTCCGGGGTATTCAGAAGGAATGGAGCTGGCAGAGGCTGGGGTGGTGGGTGAGAAAGGCTTGGTGGATCTGGACTGCAGGACAACCCTTCGCAACTCCAGGCCCGGACCACTCCACCCTTCCTTTTCTCATTAAGAGCAGAAACTCTTGAGCAGGGGCTCCCAAAAGTGTCATTTGTCACCGTGATTGGGCACCAGGGTGGTGGCAGAGAGGGTGCCTGCTAGACAAGAGAACTGTTCTGTCTTTATAAGAGAGTTGAAAGAGAGAAAGGAAAAAAAGAAAGAAAAATTCCACATCACATGAAATACGAGTAAGAGAATTTGCCCTTCTCAGCCCAGTTTCTTTCTGGTTGGTAGGCCGGAGGGGCATGGGGGAGGAGGCAGGGAGAGAATGGTAATTACCAGAGTTTCTCCATTTCTGTATTTTCTTGATGTCCTCAGAGGTTCTTAATGGAGGGTGGACTGCTTGCTGCAGACATCTCGTCCTGGAAATTTCTTTACCAGCAAGCCTTCATATCTGGACTCACCCTCAATCCGTGCAAGGGCTGTGCTCAGATGTGGGGATGGGAGGCACGTTTCGTCATACTGGTACTGTGAGAAAACATTTTAAATGGTCCATTTTCAAGGCATGATAAATCTAAGTACCTGCAGCCAGCCTGCAGATGTGACAAGCCACACAGCTCATGCAGCTAGAAAGTCACGCTAAGTAAACAGAATATAGAGGAGTGGTCAGCCCACAGAAGGGAAGAAAGTTTCATTATTGGGAAATTGAAACTTCAGTGGGGAAGGGGACCAGGGTATAACCTCATAAGGGGGGATAATGAAACTTAGGCAACATCCAGGAAGATTGTTACCCTGCAGTACTGGACTAATGAGGAAGTGGGGGAGTGACTTGCCTGCTAGGAGATAAATTACCCGCTGTAACTGCCCTGGGTGTGCCTGCCTTCCAGACACCCAATCTTGCAAGACCACCATCAAAAGTCTCACTTTGGCTATTCTTCATGTCTCCAAGTACATTCTTTGGGTTTGGACGGGTAAATGTGTTTCTCACAGTACCTAGAGTGGGCTTCAAGCCTCTAGGAAAACACGAGGTACCAGTTACCCAAATGTGGACATCTACCTGGACTATCTCAGAGTCATAAGTCTACCCTGTCCCTGTCCCATCACTGCCCCCTCCTCCTCTCATCAACTTCAGACCCATCTTATTCCTGTAAAGTCCCTGGGGGCTCCACCTGGAGATGCTGACATCCACCTAACCATGCTGGTGACCAGGCCAGAGCCTGGAGTGAGGAAGTCTCTGGGCTTTGGCTGGTGGCCTGCCTTACTCTGTGTCTCCTTGAACAAGTCCCGGCCTTGCTGAGATATAACGTCCTCTTGTTTAGGATGAGACAATAAGTGAACTTTCCTCCCTCAGAGCGTTGGCCTAATCAAGCATCCTCATCCCAAGTTTCATGGACACCGAAGAACACAGCCCCGTCAGGATAAAGGATTTCATCATTGAAAAAACCAGCACAGATGGATAGAAAAGGCTGCTTTGGGGCAGTTGAGTGCATGTGTTTGTGTGTGGAGAGAGGAGGGATGCAATGTCTTATGAAAAGAACTAAGAATCAATGAAAAAGGGAAAAAAAAGAATAGAAGAAACAGCAAAACCAAGACATAACAACTTGAAAGTGGGAAATCTGAAAGCACCTGAAGAATGTGGTTTGATGTATAACTTACAGAGAATCCATGAAAAGAAAGTGAACGGGGTCCCAGGGGATACGGGGAGATAATGATGCTCTCAAGCTATCACGTGTGCCATTCTGCTGTCTGTTGCTGTGGCAAATGATTAAAAAAACCTACAAAATCTGATTGCTCTGCCCTTCCACCAAAAGAGAAAATTCACGACCAAGAACTTCACTACCAAGAGCAGTACCTTTCCACTAATGAGGCAATATTGAGTAAAGCCATTTTCAACATTTATGATAGCTTCAATGAAAATGTGTAAACAGTGTGTTTATTTGGATAAATGAAAATGGTTAAAAATTTTAGGGTGCTGTAGTTTTGATCTGGGGCAGAGGAGGGTAATGACTACTTCCCACAATTCTCTTTATGGAAAATTCAAAAATCTCAGAGACGATGCCTGATCATTTTCCCCCTACCCAGTTCTAGCTCCCAGCCCCCTTGGCTCTCCAGAAGCCTGTGGTGAGCTGTGATCAGCATGGATGTTATCCAAGACGGAAAAATAGACCTGTCCAAAAAGGAACAGCAAAAACAACAACGACAAAACCCACTGTCGAAATTAATGTCCAGTGAGGATGGACGAGGAGAGAAAGACTCTAGCTTCACACGCCGAAATGTGTTTTCCAGACCGGCTAAATGAAGCTCGTGGTATTAAAGGCATAAATCAACCTCACAGCTGTCTGGGCTATACATGGGCAGGTCTGCTTATGAAACAGATGCCATCCCAGAGCCAGATTTCCAAAGGAGGGTCATAAATGTCCAATCCCGAGGCTGGCTCCCCAGAGGCCACCTGATTTGTGCGCCGGCTGGTGGAGTTAAAGAGGTTGGGATGGCATGATTTTTGCCAGGCACATTCCACTACATCATTGCCCCTCTTTGGAAGGTGAGACATCACTTAGGGAAGAGAAAAAGCTAGAATCAGTCTGGATCCTGGGTGGGGCCCAGGGTGGTCTTCAGGTCATCCTCCCTCCACTTCCAGCAAGTGTCATCCACTGCCAACCTCTGGCCCTAGGTCTCCAGTGGATTAGCCCATCTCAGACATTCTGGGCACCACCTATCTAGATTCAGAGAATTCCACACCCCATGCATTGGTCAAGAGCACAGTTCCTGACTTAAAAATGGTCCACAGGGAAAGGCTGGAGACTCATCTCCCTTTGCTGTGCTAAGACCACAAAAAAGCCGCCTTAGGTGGTCAACACACAGCCTAGAAAATTGAAGCCCGGGGTTCCAGGCACTAGTCGTTATTTGTGAGAATCTGTATGCAACCATTTTCCTCTTGGGCCTCAGTCTCCCCAGCTATCTAATGGGTGGGTTGGGCAATACATGATCACTCAGGAGGCCCTGTTCTGTTCCAAGATTCTTGGGAGTCATATCTATGCCATTTCAGCCAGACTGTTATCTCCAAAGGAATTGAATGTCAAAAATTGTCACATCGTAAGTCACACTCAAAACAGACATCAAAATAAATGCTCTGAGTAGTCTCTCCCATTCCTCAGGATGCCTCATGCCATCATGACTCTGTTAAAGAGACTGGCCTGTGGCATCAGCAGTGATCCAGATTTGAAGCTATGCTTCTTACCAGCTGTGTGACCTTGAGCAAGATATCTGATTGGCCTCACTTGCCTGGTTTTAAAAATATGGTTGACATTTTTGACCTCTGAAGAGCACAGTGAAGAGTCAGTGAGATAAGGTGCATGGAAATACCTAGCTCCGACCTATGCTGGCTTCTGCCCTTCTGCTTGGTGTTCTTTTTCCCAAGGAAGCTGTTCAAATAAGTCAGCCAGGAGAAGCCGGAGCACTGGGGTGAGGCGGGGGACCAATCACCTATCCCCCAGCTGCGTCACCTAGTATGAGGAGGGTCCAGGGTCACGCCCTGCAGGCTGAGCAATGAGAACCTGTGCTGTCATAGGGCAGGCTGAAGAATCAGAACCTAGTGGGCTGGGGGGCCGGGGATGCATGGACCAGTCGGTAGAAACCAAAAGGAGAATTGTTGGATGCTCCCCATACACAATAAATAAGAGCTTACTAGGCGCAGTGGCTCACACCTGTAATCCCAGCACTTTGGGAGGCCAAGGTGAGGGGGCAGATCACATAAAGCCAGGAGTTCGAGACCAGCCTTGCCAACATGATGAAACCCTGTCTCTACTAAAAATACAAAAATTAGCCAGGTGTGGTGGTGCATGCCTGTAATCCCAGTTACTCAGGAGGCTGAGGCATGAGCATCGCTTAAACCTGGGAGGCAGAGGTTGCAGTAAGCCTGGGTGACAGAAGGACACTCTGTCTCAAAAAATAAATAAGAGCAGTTTGGCTGCATGGAGATGGGGCTACAGGTCTAACCCAGAAAGAACTAGTGACCTTCCAATCTGAGAACCACCAGCATCCACTCACTCTTTCACCATGCCTGACTAGGCCCCTCCCATATCCCAGGATACGGCAGTAAACAATAGGCCAAAATTATCTGCCTTCAAGGAGCTAACCTTTCAGCAAGAGGATAATGATAAAATAAAGATGTAAGCTGCATAGCATCTCTGGTAGTGACAAGTACTGCAAAGCAAAGAAGAGCAGAGTAGCATGACAGGGGCCAGGGGGTGCAGGGAGAATGTCTTTTGGCCCAGAGAGCTGTTTGAAGAGTATTATCCCTGCGACAGGAAGTGGTCATCCTGGCATCCTGACCTCCTCCAAAAGCTGATATAAAGAAGAAGAAAGGGATAAAGGAGACTTGGCTTTTGTCCTAATGGAACCAAGGCAGAGGGTGGAGGTGAGCTGTGAATATTGGATGGGGATAGCTGGGACGTGGGGCTGGGACCACTTCTCTTTCCTGCCCATAGTGATGGGGATACTGCAGGAGGGGCCGTGTGACCCAGAAGGCAGGTGGAGCTCTAGACTTTCCTGGGCTCCTGACATTGCTCTCTTCTTTCAGTCACTTAGCGATCACTTTCCGTATTCTAGGCATTGTGGGAGCCACCAGATACAGGGCTGCTGAGAGGAACCACATTGCATGGCACTGAAGCACCTTCCAGTTTAGAGGGGAAGATACTCCACTGCTTTCCATGCCAGAAAATAAGACTGAGGGGAGGGAATGGGACCAGCCAAGGGGAGACTGGATCTATCTGGCAAAGTACTGAGCAAATCGGCCCAGATGAGTGGACAGCTAGGCAAAGGGGACATTCCAGGAGAAGGTGCACTGGCAAAGACACAGGTAGTGTCCAGGAAGCTGTAAGAGGTCAGCAGAGGATGACTGGATTTTACCTTGAAACAGGACTAAGACTGGTCCAAGGCTTGTGCACCATGCATGTAAATTTTATTCAGAGGACAGAGGAGAAGAAGCGTTGAAACATGAGGGTTCACTTCCATTCAAAATCCCATTCTCTAAAAACATGAGCATCACCCTTTGTCTGTCCCAGTTTTCCAGGCAGCCCAGCACTAAGGTGTGCCAATGAAGTTAGGGGGTGAATGAACACAGAACCTTGTCGCAGGCCGAAAGTAGGGAGTGGGGTCCCCCAGCCCTGGCCCTGGGCTACTGATTGAATCTTTCTGCTGTCAATCTGGTGGTTGGTGGACTTTATGGCGAAGCCCCTGGAATTTACGAATTCATACCCCCAAAATGTAATTACCACCGACACAAATGAGGAAAGACTCTATAAACACTGCAATTTATACACCTTCTGTGGCTATAGGTCACCTGTGATGCAATAACTGGTACTGTTCCTGGAGGAGAGTGGCTTCATTTTATTGGTCCTGCATGAAATTTACACTCCTCTCTACCTGCAGCAAGACAGATTTACTTCTGAGCATCTCTTGCTATTGTAACTTATTTGTTCCTTTTCTAAGGGATGTGAGTTTTGTGTGTAAGTTTTATGTGTGAGTGTATGTGTGTGTTTGGGGGGCTAGACTGAACCTGGAAAGGGGTTCTCAGATCCATTCACTGAAAGTTTGTTGTATTTCTCATCCACTGGCTTAAGACTGCCCTGTCTTCCAGATTGTCCCTGCTGCCTGCTGTCATTGGGGTTGACCCAGAGGAACTTGCAACTGCAAATTAAAGGGGATGGGCCAAAATTTCTTTTCAATTTTGACCTGTTCTTAGTTTTCTCACTCCCTCACTTCCCAGCTAAGGGGCATCTGAGCTGGCTATTTTATTTTCAGCCACTTGGCTTAGCTCCTGGTGGATGCTCTTGAGACAAGCCCCTTTCTCTTCCCACTCACTGTCTCCGTTTTCTTGTTTCAGGCTCTTTGCTGCAAATGCTGCCTCAATCCATTCATCAGCCCAGCCATGTGTCTCCATATATCTATAGCAACAAAACCCATTTCAGCAGTTTCCTCCTTTTGTTCCCTTTGTTTTACGGCTGCTACTTGTCGTAGAGTTCCCTTTCCCCTTCATTTAACAGAAAGGCTTTCACATTAAAGGAACATTTTAACAGTACAATCAAGAAATAGAAATCCAGTTAACTTCTCTCCAAGCTTCTCTCAAATCTCCCAGCTGTTTCGGTTCAGTCTCTGCACTATCTACCTGGCTTTGTTCCACACACAGCCCTCTCCCTCTACTTAGCATTGGGGACCAGAAAGCTGGGACAGCAGAGAAGGCATAGAGAGGGAAGGAAGGAAGGGCTGGGGACACAGCACCTACCCCCAGCACCTCCCCTATCAGCAGCCTCCATGTTGTTGCCTGGTACAAACACCCTGTTCCCCAAATTTTACCCTCCTGCTCCTATAATCCACAATCTCATTGGAAGACATTGCCCACTGGCCATTTATTGTTTCTCCAAAGGTGCTACGAGATACATTCCTATCAGTCTTTGGCTCTGTCATGGGAGATAAGTGACTTGCCTCTCCAGAAAATGCTATTTTTTTCCTCCTACCAAATAAAAGGTATCAAAAACCCATCATCTTTCCCTTTTTGCTTTGCCTTAAAGGAAGCTTCTAGACATATAATTCCTTTATCTATGTTAGTCAATGGGCATAGTTTATTTGCCCCCTCCCTTTCCTTTAACAGCTTTGCTTTTTCTATGTCTAGTCTAAAAATGGTGTATAGACAATGAAAGACATACATATTGCCAACACCACTGGCATACAGGCAGAGGGGAATTTTCAAGGTGCTGCCTGCAATCAAGCTATGCTTCTCCATTCAGTGTCTTGGTTCCTGTTCATCTGGCACCTGCTGGATAACAGAGAAAAGATGTTCTTTCTCTTCCTTCCATGAGTAGAGAACAACAATCTCCTGATCAGACCCTTGCTCTATCCTTATTCTAGCTCCTAGCTAACATGAAGCAAAATGAACTGATGAACGCAGCTGGTGTTCTATATCAAGGCCATATGGCACCAAGCGTTGGCTGTGTTCTTGCGGAACAATTCTAACAAGCAGTACCAACCGACAGAGGCCCACCAAGCCTGCTGGAAGAAAACAGTGGGATGACCCTATAACTCAAAATTGAAGATAGGATAGGGCATGGTGGCTCATGCCTGTAATCCCAGCACTTTGTGACTCTGAGGCGGGCAGACCACCTGAGGTCAGGAGTTCAAGACCAGCCTGGCCAACATGGTAAAACCCCATCTCTACTAAAATTACAAAAAAAAAAAAAAAAAAAAAAAAATTAGCCGGACATCGAGGTGGGTGCCTGTAATCCCAGCTACTGGAGAGGCTGAGGCAAGAGAATCACTTGAGCCTGGGAGGCAAACGTTGCAGTGAGCTGAGATCACACCACTGCACTCCAGCCTGGGTGATGGAGCAAAACCCTGTCTCAAAAAAAAAAAAAAAAAAAAAAGATGAAGACAGCTGTCTGCCATGCTGACAGCAATGGTTCCACAAGTGAATTGCCTCCAGGGCCTGCACTGTCCTCCCAAGAAAACCCGTCACCCTATCATGGAGTAAGAGGAAGGACACTTTATTTCCTAGAAAACCCTCCCCAGCAAAAGCCCTTTTAAGAAAGGATTTTGAGCTTCCAGGATCAGCAGCACTTGGTTCATATGCTTTTCAGTTCCCATTCTGGAAGTTTAAGGAAAGGAAAGGAGAAATCATCAAGTAATAAGCTGTCAGAGCAAAAAGTCCTTCTGAAAAACTCTAGTTCATGTTCTTTATTTTACAGGTAGGGAAGGGAGGAGGAGAAAGGGAAATGATAAGTGCATGACCAGGGTTATAAAGAGAGGGGTGTGTTCAAAGGTGTCTGAGAAAGGAGCTAGCCAGAGATTGAAGTGAGAGGAGAGAGAGGATACAGGAAGGTCAGCAATGATGTGCGGCGTTTTCTATCATACCAGTTGCTGCCCTGGATAGATAGTGCCTCAACCACCAAATACTTGTGCTCCCACACTGCACTGCTGCCCAGGTGAGGTGCTCCCTGGGCCTACATTCTGTGGTCAGAGACGATACTAAAGCTCCCCACTGCTCCAAAGCTCCCCACTGCTCCAAAGCTCCCCACTGTTCCAAAGCTCCCCACTGCTCCAAAGCCCCCCACTTTTCCACCCTGCATCAGACTTCTGACGTGAAGGTTGGCAATGTCTGAAAGGATAAAGGAGGAGGAAAAGTTCTGCCTAGGGAGCCCTAGGGGGCTGGATCTGATGGCCCAGGAGAGCAGTGACAACACTTGTTGAGAGCCGGAGCAATGGCTCTCAGCAGCTGCAGTCACCCCAGGAATGGAGGAAGACCTTGAGCCACACATGACCCTTAGGAAGGAAAACAGCAACATTCTACTCTCTTAATAATACCTGGTCAGGATAAGAACTACAGCCTCTTATTGGCTACTCAGCTCTTGAACTTCCTCCAAGGTAGCTGGGCTGTGGTTCCAGTTTTACAAGTGTGGGGCACTTGGAGAGAGATGGAGAGAGAGAACTCATCAGCTTGCTGTGTGCTCCTGCCTCTGACTACAGGAATAATTAGAAAATCATTTTTCTTAATGGCTTCAAATGTTCTCAGTTTATAGAGAGACATCCATGAACACTGTGTCAGAAATGAACCCTCTCAGATGGAGAATAATTTGGTTGCCTGACACTGACAAGCAAAGCTAACTTAGCAGGTACTAATGGCCCCTATTCCTCTGCCCAGAACCCACCAAAATGCCTGACACTGAGCAGACTCTTATGGGGCACTGGTTCAGTAGACTGCAGGGTGTACCACAGAGGCTGTGGTTCAGGACAGTGGCCATGACTGTCTGGCTCCTCAAAGCTCCCAGAGCAACTGGGTATGCTTCTGCAGGTAGCCTGATTTGCATCCCAGGATAATTTGTGCTTTTGCATAATTTGGGCAGAGGGCATGACACTGGGAGAGCAAAGGTACTCCTGTTTTCTAGCAAAGCCCTCATCCCTAGGGAAGCAGCCAGCCTCTGCACAAGAATGGTTGGGATGCCACCTCTGAGATGAACTGAGATCCTACTGGTGTCAGTGGGGAGGGAGGAAAAGGAAACAATGGGATCTTCAGGGAGGGCTTTGCCTTCTACTCCCAGGCTTCCTGACTTGCACTGCCAGGTGTGGTTTCCTCCCACTGGGCAGCATAGGAGAGGGGCCTTGTGCCCAGGTGTAGGATGCTCTGAGGACTGTGTTGAGATGCCCTGGGGATGAATGGCACTGCCTGTGCAGCCTTCTGTCCAGGAGTTTTACCCTCAGGTGGCTCAGGGAACAAGGATACCCAGCTCTTTCCAACAACTGCCAAGCACAGGATACTCTAACAATATTTAGAATCAGTGCCAATATCAAAGTAGTTGCACCCAGAGCAGCCTAGCCAAACCCTTAAATATGTACCTGGTCTCAGTATTGATGAGGCCTGACATTTGCATGGTGCTTTAGCCTTAACTGAGGACTTTGAAGTTCATTTAAAAAATGTTAACATGCACAACAATGCATTGGAGATAGGCAGAGCTATAGGCTCCCATTTTAGTATTATGGACAGTGAGATTCTGAAAAGGATTATATAACTTGTTCAAAGTCGTGCAGTTAGGAGGTATTGAAACTGACTCTCCACGGCTCCCTCTCCAACTGCAAGGCAAGGCTCTTTCTTCTAATATGCTGCATCTTAGATGTGGATCAAGTTAATCCTTCCACTCAGGAACCCATTGGTGCAGGTGGGTAGGCCACAAAATTTCCCACAACTGTCATGGATGGTGGAACTCTGCAGCTCAGCAATGCATTAAACAGGCACCCCTTCTACTTTGGAGACCTCATAGTCTGGCCTCCCCATGGAGGGCCTATGCTTTCGATTGGTTCTTCCTGAGTATGGTGAGTGAGCAGTGAGCTGGGGCCGGAGAGGGAGCGGGGAGGTTGATGGAGAGATTGCCTTTGCAAGTGAGAGCTGCGTCAGCCTTTTCTGGCTTCCCTCCAATGCCTGCATCTAATAACTGAGTTATAGTTTTTTCATTTTGATGAATTTATCTGTTCCTGGGGTTTTATTTTGTTTTGTTTAGCCTTTGAGAAGTCAGAGTTTTAAAGCCAGAAGGGCCCTTAGACATCATCTCATCAACCCTTAGTTTGGCAGTGGAGAAACAGACTCAGGAGAGGGAAGGGGACCTTTTGGGACAGGGCTGCTGAGTGCCAGAGCTGGTGCTGAGCCTCAGTTACCTGAGGCCAGGCTTTTCTTGATGCTTGTGACTGAAGATATGGAGAGGAGGAGACAACGCCCTTTTAAGAGATGCTCCCTCCCTGAAACCAGGCACACGACAATCATAACAGGCTGGAGACAGAGCTCAGGGATGCAGCCTGGGAGTTCTTTTCTTTATGGAGAGAGGAACCTGCCCATGATGGGTGTGCCTAGAGGAGGGTGGGAATTCCCAGATAGCAGGAGCTAGGCAGCCAGGAAGCAAGGCATTAGCACCTCCAAAGCAGGAATCATGAATCGCATTCCCTTTCTCCTCCTTCCCTTCCCTCCACGTGCAAGGCAGTGGGTGGTCTGCACATTGAAGCAGATGCAAAGAAGTTTTTATATCTTTCCCCATTTAATTTGCTACAAAAGCTGGGCATGGTGGCTCATGCTTGTAATCCCAGGACTTTGGGAGGCCGAGGCAGGTGGATCACCTGAGGTCAGGAGTTCAAGACTAGTCTGGACCACATGGTGAAACCCCATCTCTAGTACAAATACAAACGTTAGCCGGGCATGGTGGCAGGCACCTGTAATCCCAGCTACTTGGAAGGCTGAGGCAGGAGAATTGCTTGAACCCAGGAGGCAGAGGTTGCAGTGAGCCAAGATCACGCCAGTGCACTCCAGCCTGGGCAACAGAGTAAGACTCCATCTCCAAAAAAAATTAAAAAAAGAAAAAAAAATTCCTACAAGAGCCCTGATGGGGTGGTGGTGTTAACCCCATGTTACAGATGGGACAAAGTAAGCTTAGATATGTGATATAATTTGCCCACAGTGACACAGGCGTGCATCGTATGAGCAACAGAGCTAGGATATGTTCTCTCTGAGGTATGCCTTGCCCCAGGGTCCTTCAGTCAAAAAGGTGGCTTGAATAGAGTCTGTCAGCTTCCAGCCCCACTCTATGCAATTATGGGACATCTATACCCTCTTTTCCCTCTCATCACAACTGATCCACAGGAAGGGCTATGATAATGCTTTAAGATTTCACTTCCTGGGCTTCCCATAAAAGGTTCTAAGTCTGAACAATCCAAGGACTGAAGTTTTTAGTGGAATGTCAGTTTCTACCTTTAAGAATGGAAACTGATTCCATGTCTTTTCCCATTCATAAAGGCAAAAACTGACATTCCACTGAAGTTAGAAAAAAAAAAAAAAGAATGAGAATTGTCACCATGCACTGTTTTCTCAAGAAGAGGCTGTCCTATAGCCAGCTCATTATCTTAAATTTGTCAGTGGCACTAGGTGGCCCTGGCTGGCTGCAGATGTTGAGTCAGCTCCATAGGACCGTCTTTGCAAATGTCATCTCGTGCAAGAACAATAATTATCCTGTCTGTTGCCAGAGAGTTTTAGCATTTACAAAGTGCCTGAATACACCGAGACTTAGAAATGATTATCTCTGTGATAATGGATGGAGAAATGGTGACTTCGTGAGGCCAAATAACTTGCTGAAAGTCACACGATATGAGGCTGAATGCAAACCTTCTCCTGCTAGGCTCTTCAAGGCCATGCAGTCTTCACTATACTGTGGAAACCTCACAAGTAACCACTGGTCTACCATGTCTTGGTACCAGTGAATAGACTGGGTTGGCCCAATAGATGCAAGGCTCCCAGAGAAAAGGAGACAGAGCTGTTAGTGTTGAGGAATGCACAGTGGGGAAACCTGAGCAACTTGAGGGGCAGAGGAGTAACAGGATGTTGGACTCGGGCATCTGCAATGAAGAGCTCACCTCCAAGGCAAAGATGGTGCTTGGCCCATCTCTGGACTTCCCTAGTGAATAACACACAATAGGTGTTGTTCCTCCTTCAGTTTCATTACTCCAATCCCTTCAGAAAATGAACAAATCCTATTTTTTATATTAGGAAAGAGAATCTCAGAGACATCAAGTGGTGGACAGGGTTCATCCATAATAGAGCTGACATAACTATTTCCTCTCTATACTCAGGAATGCCTTCTATGTTTTTGTATAAATTTGGGGGGTACAAGTGCAGTTTTGAAACATGGACGTATTGCTGTCCTTTAGTCTGAGTGTGCGTAAGAGATACCCACAGGCCTAACCCTACACTACTCCCTTATACACAGTTGGATTGCAAGTATGAAAATTATATGCACTGAAAAAATATGGATTAAAGATATCAAAATAATGCTAATAATACACAGTATCAGAAGGGTAGGCTGAATGAAAGTCAGGGACCTGGGTTTAGTTCAAGCCTTGTCATAAACTTGCTCTTATAGACCCTTAAGCTTTTTGAGCATCAGTTTCCCTTTTTGTTCTGGAAATGACACATTCTATTCCTGAGAATACCTAATTCTTAAGTCAACAGAGTATTAAGTGAATTAATAAAAAAACAATAACTTACTAATATTTAAGCACAGGCTTGTCTGCTTCCAAATTCTATGCCATTTATAAAAGAAAACTAATGCCTCCATTTCCTTATCTGTTATACAAAATCATTATTATTTATCCTGCCTAAGTCATAGGGTATTTGTGGAATGAAATGAGGAAAGCTTATGAATGCATTTTGTTAACTATAAAGTGTCTAGAACTCTGCCTAGAACAGAATTTTCTTCACAAGGAGCACCTATTATTATGATTATTAATAAAAATAAAGTAGTATAAAAATATCCATTTTATTGCTTGTTCTTCAGGAGTATTTGCTCTTCTTGCAAACCTGCTAGCAGTGCTGGACATATTTATTGAGTGCTGACCTGCAGCATTGGTGCCCCTTGATAATGACCTGTCACAGTAGATCCTCCTCTTCTGCAAGTTCCTGGATGGGGTCTCCTAGACTGACAGTCCTTGGGAATAGAGTTGAAGCCAAATGTACTTTCTTTAACCAGCCTCTATTCTCAGCAAACACAATCCATCTATCAATGGACATGTTTATCAAGCACTTGCTCCTGTTAAATTGCCTGCAAACCCACTTCCAGGGCAGGTCTTCAAGAACTTGGCTGATCAGCAGGTGAATACATATTTTGACCTCTGAAAAGAAGTAACATGTTCGGCTCTGAAGATCACTGATGGGCCGAGACTGTCATGCTCAAACCTGCCATGGCCTTCCCCAAGACTATCAAAGCTGGTCACTGTCAGAGCTCTCTGGACTGAGTCCAATTCTCTGTGTTTACACTTGAAATAAAGCCCCTTTCATTGTTCTTATACCATTCTGGGGAAGGATGTTACCTCCTCATTCAACTGGAATTTTCTTGAAGACAAGATTGCATATTACATTTCTCTGATAATTATCACAAATTATCCATCCGGATGCTAAGCACTTGTGGTATTTTCCCACTTTTCAGACACAAAGTAGATTACATCAGTCTTTAGAATACAAACTTGATGTTGTGACATTGGACACATTGCTGTGGATTTTCAATTTGTCATCTGCAAAATATAGGGGACAAGAATAGACAATTCCCAGGTTTTGTAGAGTTCTGAAATTCTAAGTTCTTTACTGGTTTGTCAAATGACACACACTTAACCACTACAAGGTCAATGACAGATTCTAGTAATCAATTTCAAAACTAATTCCAATTAAACCCAAATTCAACTTTAACCTTCAGAGCATAGGCAACCACTGATGGTTGCATGTGAGTTGGAGCATTTTGCCATGGCGACACCCAAAGCCTTTACTCTGCAGTGTCATGTTTGTCCTTGTATCTCTATGGCTCAGGTAAGATCTGCTCCTACTCCTTCTCCTTTCTTCCTTGCTCAGTAAATCCTACAATTCCTCCACTAAGAACGGAATGGATTTTAAACATTAACTTGGGTGACTGTGACTCAGCAGGGTCTCTATTTCCATGGGATTTGCCTTTTAAAAGATGTTCGATAGAAAATATTTGTAATGTACAGCCAACAAAGGGCAAGTATCCAAGATGTGTAAGTAATTCCTAAAATTCAATAGGTGAAGAGAAAGACAACCCAAAATTCAAAAATGGGAAAAGACACGGTAGGCATGTTACCAAATAAGATATCCAAATGGACAATAAGCATACTAAAAAGACACTCAATTGAATGGAGCATCAGGAAAATACAAAGTAAACCCCCAAGGCAATAACCCTTCACAGTGACCTGAATGCTTAAAATTACAATATCAAATGTGGGTGAGGAGCAACTGGGATTCTCCTACATTGGTGGTAAAATGCCAAATGGCAGAAGCACTTTGAAAAACAATTTTTAGTTTTTTGTAAAGTTAAACATTCACCTAACCTAAAACTCAGCAATCCCACTCTCAGATATTTATCCCGGAGAAATGAAAACATAAGCTCACAAAAAACGACTTCAACAAAAATATTTATGGCAGCTTTATGCATAATAGCCCCAAATAAGAAGCAACCCAAACTCCTGTCAGTGGATGAATAGACAAACAAATTGTGATATATGAACAAGGGAATATTCTTTTGCAGTAGAAAGGAGCAAACGACTGATACACAAAACAATGAAATGGATGAATCTCAAAAGTAATAGCTGAGTTGAATAAGCCACACCTGATATGGTTTCCCTGTGTCACCACCCAAATCTCATCTTGAATCATAGCTTCCATAATTCTCACGTGTTGTGGGAGGAACCTGGTGGGAGGTAATTCAATCATGGGGGTAAGTCTTTCCTGTGCTGTTCTTGTGATAGTGAATAGTCTCACAAGATCTGATGGTTTTATAAAAGGGAGTTTCCCTGCACAAGGTCTCTCTTGCCTGCCACCGTGTAAGACGTCCCTTGCTCTTCTGCCATGATTGTGAGGCTTCTTCAGCCATGTGGAACTGTGAGTCCATTAAACCTCTTTCCTTTATAATTACCCAGTCTTGGGTATGTCTTTATTAGCAGCATAAGAACAGACTAATACAACACCCAAGAGTGTACAGACGGTCATGATTTCATCTTTATGAAATTCTGAAACAGCAAACCTAGTCTGTGGTCATAGAAATCAGTTCTGTGGTTGTCTTGGGATGGGTATGTGGGTGTCAAGGGGCAAAGACTGGCTGTGAGGGGAAACAACTTTCTGAGATAATGAAATGTTTTCTACCTTGATTGGGTGACGGCTAGCAAGAAGTATATACTATTTTTGTCAATAATTTATCAAACTGCATATTTAAAATGAATATATAATTTATGTAAATTATATCTCAGGAAGTTGATTTATAAAAAATAATACTAGGAGATATTAATACCAATACACATCCATCATGATGGATAAAATATAAAAGACTGACAATATCAAAGGTCAACAAAGATATGAAGCAAACAATGCTCACTCAGAATTGTGGGGAAAAAAAGGCAGGATGATCCACTTGGGACAGTATGCTGTCTGTCTGGCAGTATGTAATGAAGCCGATCATATGCACACCTTATGGTTCAACAACTTCACTTCTACATATATACCTACCAGAAATGCATCTAGACCAGAAGATGTACACAAAAATGCTTATAGCAGCATTATTCATCATAACTACAGATGAAGAATAATTCTACAGCTCATCATCAGTACAGTGGATAAAGATTGTGGTATATCAGACTCTGTAGTCATTTTACATACAATTTTTAGCATTGTGGAGGCTAAAGCAACTCCATCTTGGATGCTAATCTGCCCTGTTGGCTTCTGATTAACCTATGTTCCAGGAAAGCCTCCAAGATTTCTTATCTGTTGTGCCTTGTGTAAGAGCAGATACTTACCATAAATCTTGTCCTTAGCTTAAACAACCTAGGTGTTATTATGCTTCAGTTGTCTTATATATCCCTTCTGAATGACTCCTCCCCTGTGGTATATAAGCCCCAAGTCCTGGGGTGTAGTGGTATGGGGATTCACCATCTTGTCTCACTGCCACCTGAGACACAGATAGCTTCTGTTCATAAGTTCCTGTTAAATGTTTCTTTTTTTTTTTTTTTTTTTTTTTTTTTTTGAGACAGAGTCTTGCTCTGTCACCGAGGCTGGAGTGCAGTGGCATCATCTCGGCTCACTGAAAGCTCCACCTCCTGGATTCACGCCATTCTCCTGTCTCAGCCTCCAGAGTAGCTGGGACTACAGGCGCCCGCCACCACGCCCGGCTAATTTTTTGTGTATTTTTAGTAGAGACGGGGTTTCACCATGTTAGCCAGGATGGTCTCAATCTCCTGACCTCGTGATCCACCCACCTTGGACTCCCAATGTTTCTTTCCAAGAAACTGGATTTGTCAACCTTTTTTTTCAGCCTCTCAGCTTCCTTGGACTTTGGGGCAGGTTTGCATAGACTGGTCCACAACAAAACAAGCAAAAAAAAAAAAAAAAAAAAAAGATCATGAGACAGATGAAGAAACAGGAAAATGAACATGACCTGTAATCAAGAGGAAAACAGTCAGTGGAAGTAGACCGTCTAGAGATCCAGATAGTGAGTGTACTAATACATGATGCAACATGGCTGTACCTCAAAAACATTATGCTAAGTGAAAGAAGCCAGGCACAAAATGTCATCTATTTTTTATTTCACTTATATGAAATACCCAAAATAGATAAATCTATACAGACAGAAGGCAGATTGGTGGTTGTCAGGGTAACTCTACGGGTAGAAGGAAATAGGGAATGAGTAGTTAATGGATTGGGGTTTACTTTTGCAGTGATGAAAATGTTTTAGAACTAGAGGTGGTGGTTGGACAACACTGTGATGGGACTAAATGACACTGAATTGTACACTTCAAAATTATTATTTTTAAGTTTTTATATTTCACTTTGACTTAAAATAATTCCTTGAATGGGTTTGACAGTAGAATGAACACAGTAGAAGAGAAGAATAGCAAACTCAAAGACAGTACAAAAGAAACTATCCAACTGAATAAAGTACAGAGAAAAAAATAATGGAAAGAAGAGAAAAAAGCATGAGAATTACATAGGAGATTGTCAGCTAATATAAAATTTGTGTAATTAAAATCTCAGAAGAAAAAGAGCAAGAGAATGAGGCAGAAAAAAAAACTGTTCAAAGAGATAATGGCTGATAATTTCTCAAAAGCAGTGACAGACAACAACCCATAGATCCAAGAATCTCAGAAAACCTCAAGCAGGATGAAAACAAGAAAGCCATACCTAGGCACATCCTGGTCAAAAGACAATAAAAAGAAAAACTTGAAAGCAGTCAGAGCCAGGTGAGGTTGTTCATGCTCTTTTTTGTCACGAATACAGGTGAAGAGTAGTCACTTCAAACCAATTAGACATTGAGCTAAGTTGGTACTGGGCTGTGGGTTTAGTTTCATTCAGTTCTAACTGTAAGTCTATAGCACAAAATTTGAAAAACAGATTCTTCCCTTTTGGTAGAGAACTTTTCTCTACCCAGACTGTGTCTCTGATAAATCAAAAGACTGCAGGAGATTTATCTCTGACTTTCCAGCCCAGCCTGTTATGCTCCATGCCACTCCAGTGTTCAAGAAAAGCCAGTGGGGAGAAACCCAGGTGAGACATGACTGCAAGTTTGAGGCTCCTCCAAATTCTGATCCTTCCTATCAGCCCACAAGTCTGTTAAAAGTTCTACTACTTTTTTAATCTCTTTAGCTGAATCCCTCTGCCTATGGCAAAAAACAATTCTCAGCCCATACCCAGACTTGGCAGATGACCCACAGAATGACAGTGGTTGCTAATCTCCACCCACATAGCACTCCTTTCCTCTCTCTCTCTCTGTGTATATACAGCTATATGTGTATATATTTGTGTGTATATGTGGGTGTATGTGTATGTATGTATATATATGTGTGGGTATTGGTGAGTGTATATGTATACACATATACATACATACATATATTAGCTGTTAGAGTAGGAGGAAGGTTTGTTCCTACCTTCTATATCCTTCAGGGTTGCATTCCATCACATCATGTAGAAACTGGTTTATGAGATTAATTTTATTAATTCATTCAACTAACATTTATTGTTAACTATCTATGTGCCAAGTATTGTTCTAAGTGCAGCAGCTATTTTAACATTATTAGCCTTAGCAACCGTGTGAACAGTTGTACCATTTAGGGAGATGTAACACTGGGGCTGGAACAAGTTTTTGCACGGGAGGTGTATCAAGAGGTCTGTTTTGGACAAGCTCAGTTTGGCATGCCTATTAGGCATCCAGGTGGAATTAAAATGCAGGCAGCTAGATACACAAGTCTGTAATTTGGAGGAGTCCCCACCTGAATAAATTTTGGGGTCATGAATACATGGATACAATTCAAAGCCCTGGGTCTGAATGAGATCATCTGGGAAATAAGGATAGTAGGAGAAGTTTTCCACAGTACTGAGCCCTGGGAAACCCCAACATTTAAAGATGCAAGAAGGCAACTCAGCCAGCAAAGGAAACAATGAGAAGGCAGCCACTGAAGGAGGAAGGACATCAAGACTAAAGTTCAACAGAAGCCAAATGAAGAAAGCATTTCAAGAAAAGGAATGACCAACTGTGTTGAGTGCTCCTGAGAGAATAAGTGGAGACAAAAAGGTGGCCATTGGTTTGGCAACTGGTAGGCTTAAAAAGAACTGTTTCAGTAATGTGGTAGGGCCAAAAGCCTGACGCAACTGAGTTAAGGAGAAAAACTGGAGGTAAAGAGGTTATAGGAGGAAAGGTCCCCTCGGCCTTTCCATCCCGAGGATGACCTTGGCCAACCCAGTTCTTCCCACATCTCCTTGAAGAATGTACTAAGAATTTAACATCCTGAGATAAGGAGGAAGTGTCTGAAACAATCTAAGCTATGTCCTTGTTCTGAAACATTTGTTCTCATTGAGACAATTGGTGCCCAGGGTATACAAAACCCAGGACAAAGTACTTTTAGGGTAACTCAGCTATGGTCCATTGTGAAGTACATGCAGACAAGATTCCACCCACCTTGGGCACTTTCCTAGGCCTTGAGGGAGTAGCTTACCATGGATCTTAAGCTTCTGTTTATCCTTGATGCCTATCTTTGAGTAATAAATCAGCTTTTCCTGAGGAGAAAAGAAGATTGTGGTATGATCTTACAATGAAATATTATACAGCAATGAAAATGAGTAAACTACTATTACAAGCAACCACAATTTTGAAACATAATCTTGAATCAGTGAAACCAAGCAAAAAGGTACGTCCTCTACTATTATTGTGACAGTAATGATCTATGGAAAGGAAGTGGGGTTATGATTTGAAGGGAGCATGAGGGGTCTGAAGGAGGGCTGGAAATGTTCTATTTATTTTTATGTGAGTGGTACTTAAACGGGTGTGTTAACTTTGTGGTAATTCATCAACCCATTTTCATGTATGCTCTTTTTTAGATATAAACTGTAATAAATATCTTTTACTTATTTAAATATGCTTAAATATTTTATTAAAATTATTTTTTAAAATTTATTAATGCAGTTTTTATGTTTAAAACAAACAAACACCAAGAGGCCCTATAGGGAGGAGCTAAAACTGACTTCATGGAATGCAGAGATAAGGGATAATTTGGGGGAATCATAGCACAAGAGAAAAGGGAAAGATTTAGGGGCAGAGGAGCTGCCTTCCTCATCATTCACCAAATGATGATTAGTAGAAAGGAGTCTAAGTCGCCTGTGTATAGTGCCAAGCCTCCCTGTCTCCTTCCTACCCTCCTGTTTGAGAAACAGGGAAAATCTCCATGTCTCTACCACCCCCATATTTCCAGCAAGGGGTTTACAACCGAGAGATAATCGCTAGAGCCCACATGCTCTGGTTCACTTGGAGGAGACTAACGTGAAATTCAAGTCTCTTGTGGCTAGTTCAGGTTGATAAATGCCCACAAAGCAGTTTTACTTTTGGCAGAGAATTGCATGACTACTCCCTCCCAGCAACAACTCTGTTTTCTTTCCACAGATGAAGCAAAGTAAGGGGGCAGCTGTCTGAGGAGTGATCTTTCGTCACCAACCCAGATCTCCAGCAACAATCAGAAAGCAAGCCACACTGCCATGTTCTAGAAGCAGCACTCTTTTCCATATTCCCACAACCAGGCATCACCTCCTTGGGTACTTTAATAAGCTAACTCCCTCTGCGCTCAGACTAGAATCTGTAGGATTATCAGATTTACAGTGAACATATGTCCATAGTTCTTAATATTGAGGCTCCAGATTTTCAGTTCCATGAAGGATCCTGCTGTCTTGCTCACCATTGTGTTTCCAAAACCTGACCCGTAGTAGGTATTCAACATTTGTTGAATCAATGAATGAAAGGAGGGATGAGAAAAAATGTCATTTTATTAGGACATAGGCTTGAGAAGGACTAAAGGCCTTTCTCCTGGTTGGAGAGGCTTCTGCCTTTTCCTGGAGTGACCACCGGCCAGACTTGAATCACTCACTGACCTGATGTCCTCAAGTTACTTAATTGGCTTTCTAGAACTAGAAACTAGACACAGGCTCATTGCTCCCTAATTCTCTCCCTGCTACCAGCGATATGATGCCTGTCATATGGATTCAGGACGTCAGGATTTAGCAGAAGGAGCAGAGGGTCATGGCCAGCTTGACGCCCATAGTGCTTGACTTCACCTTTGTATCCCTTTGCTCCAAGATAATCCATCTAAGTTTATAAGCACTGGATAGGGGAGCCATATTCTCTCAACTTCAACCCCTCCCTCAAAGCAATTAAATTAATACTTGCCAGTTGCTCTTTAGTGTATAAATCTGCAAGATGAATGTAACAGACTGGCTGATGGGGTAGAGGCTATATTTTTAGACTTTTTTTTCTTTTCCTTTTTCCAAGAGCGATGCTAGCACTACTGTAATGCACCATTTGATATTTTAGCATTTCAGATATTTTACAGTAAATTACTTCAGTTTATGGTACTTTGCTTCCTTATATAATTGTTATAAATAACCTTCAAATGACATAAAAGCCATAAACATTGCAAAACTGAAAAGTAAATTATAGATATTTCAGTGCATACAAGTAGGAACTCAAACACGTTAAGGCAAGTGAGGAAGGTAAGTTTGTTTGTTCTCTCCTTCCCTAACCATCCATCTCATATTTCCACAATAAATAATCCACAGTAAATAAATGCCGAGAAGCAGAAGGGATCCTTAGCATACTTTCCTAAAGACTCAAGTGGCCCTGCAGGTGGAGGCTGGCTCCAGAGCCAAGGAGCCAGAGATCTGCACTCAGAGAGGCTGCGTCTAAGGACACTTTATGGCTGCCAGGAGGATTAAAAGGAGAGTGGGATGGAGACTCAAGAAGGGGTTTGCACCAGGCAAATACTCAGTCTATGCCACACTCCCCAGGGTGACTTACAGGTGCTTGCAAGGGCTTGCTGAACTTCAGGATTGCCCATACATCATCAGTGTAATAGCTACTATTTATTGAGTGCCTACTTGCCATGTCAAGCCAGGCACTTTACAAACATTTTCTCATTGAATCCTTTACCACACAGAAGATGTGCAGCAGAGGAGGACATAACACAGATAGGTAGGAGTTTAAAGGGGAAAGGAGCCACTGGATCTGACCGTCACTTTCATAACAGGCCTCAGTGTTGCTAAATGATATTCTACCTGTGTGTTATGTAATTGAAATATTACTTTATTCAATGTAGATATATAAAATATGGTCTGATTTTTGTTAAACTTTTTCAACGTTTTTTCATTTGCTTAATTAACCAAGACAGTCAGAACATGGATGTGGTTTGTGTTGCTCTCAAATGCTGAGAGACTTTGGTTATATCCCCATTTGACACATGAGAACCCTAAGGCATCACAGAGGTTGAATTACTTGTCCACGATTCTAAGAGGTGAGGAGGGAAGGACATCCACAGCCAGTTCTGTCTACCTCTAAAGCCTGCGATCTTTTCTCTGATGTATGTGCTTCAGGAGAAACTGTCTGAGGCACCTGCTGTGTGAGTCCCCTTTGCACAGTAGGGCTGAACTGTCTAGATCACTGGAACCAGGGGCACTCTCTAATGAGTGACAATCTGTGCCCAGAGTCAACCAAAATTTGTAGTCAGGGTCCAGTCTTCTGTAGAAAGGCAGGCACCCTTCCCTTCACCTCTGTAGCATCACAGAAACACACTTAGGAAAGATAATATCTTAGACTCATAGAACGTCAGAGTTGGAAATGACTTGTGATTTGTCCTTGGGTGTAATGCCCTTGTTTTACAGATGAAGAAACTGAAACAAATAAGAGTGATTTGCCCAAGGTTACACTGCACGTTAGTAGCCAAATTAAAATTCAACCCCAGAGCTTCCAACTCTTTTTGGCCAGTATGTTTTATAGTATACCTTCTAAAATTCTTCTTTCCCTAGAACATCTAATATACATTCTAGAATTCGTTCTCTAGAATATCTTCTTTAAGGTGGATTTCTTATCTGTGACACATTTTTTTTCAGTGGATAATGTGCTTCTTTGGCCCAAAGATGTAAATAATTTTATATCAATTGATGAAGCATTTCAAAATTTTTTATTTAAAAGCATACTGAAAATAAGTCTCATAGCATAAGTGATATTTAACTAGGATTATTTCTTGTTTGGCTCATAAACAGCCTACCTCAAAGCCACCAGGTTGACTGGCTCCAGATGAAACCAGAACCATAAATCTCCAACATATATGTGCCATCTATAGCCTCAACCTTGAACCATTTACTTCAACTTACTCCTGGCAGCCAGCCCATCCTACCCTCAATATGCCTGACTAGGACTGATTGCTGATCTCAACACAGTCATCAGCTTCATTGCTGATTTTTTTTTTTTTTTTGAGACCAAGTCTTGCTCTGTCACCCAGGCTGGAGTGCAGTGGCACGTTCTCGGCTCACTGCAACCTCCGCCTTCCAGGTTCAAGTGATTCTCTTGCTTCAGCCTCCCAAGCAGCTAGGATTACAGGTGTGTTCCACTACACCCAGCTAATTTTAGTATCTTTAGTGGAGACAAGGTTTCACCATGTTGGCCAGGCTGGTCTCGAACTCCTGACCCCAGGTCATCCTTCACCACAGCCTCCCAAAGTGCTGGGATTACAGGTGTAAGCCACCACACCTGGCCCATTGCTGATTTAAATTTGTCTTCAGATTTGACTCACACTGTTGTTTCCCTGAATATGGTCTTTTCTATCATGAACAAGTTTGTTCATCTCTGATAACCCTCATAACACAGCCAGAGGAAACCTGGGTAAAAACCCTTTCTGCAGCCACCTGGCCTCAAAACCTCTCCCATTTGTGCTTCAGTTAGAGTCTGACCTCTAGTTAGCATTAGCTCAACTGGCCAAATTCCACAGAACCAGAAAATCTTTCTGCTGTACCCATCCCACTTCCAGTATGTTATAGCAAAGTATGTTATTGTATGCATTCCATAGACATGTATCCTCTGATTTCTAGCATTTTGTGTAAACTGCAATCTAGATATAGACACTGTAATTTATGTGAAATAATGTATTAGTCAAGGGTAGGCTAACTGCTATAACAAACAATTTCAAAGGTCACTGACTTAACACTGTACAATTTTATTTCCATTTTATGAAATACTCCATTTTAAGTGTTTCTGGTCAAGCAGTTCTCCTGGGTGGCTCTCCTCCATGCAGTGATTCAGGGACCCAGAATCCTTGCAATTTGTGACCTTTCCATCTCTTGTAGTCCTCTGCTGTTTGCTCATATCCAACCAGCAGATGGGGGTGAAGAAAAAGTGTGATGAGATGTGCAGAGTGTTTCATAGCCAGGCCTGGAGGTTACATCCATTTGATCTGCCCACGTTCTACAGGCCAGACTCAGTCACAGCAGAGACTGGGAAATGAGGTCTAGCTATGTGCCCAGTAGGAAAAGAATAGAACTTGAGGAACACAGAGAACTCTCAATTTAGCAGAAACTGCAGGGGAAGGATGGTTACTTGAACACATAGTACGGTAGGTAATGGAAATATACATTTAATAAAACACAAGTTTTATTAAACTTGTTAACTTATGTGATACAGATACTCTTCAAAATAGCTCTTCAGGTTATGAATGTAGATTCATCTCAGGGGTTGATGGATTATGTTGTAGAAACACTTCTGCATTTCAGATTTCTAACCACACTGTGTAGAAGGAGACAGGTATAGACTCCACCTCTTTGCTAAATTTGGAGAACATTACAATGGCTTTAAACTTCTACTAGGGATTGTATTACATGGTGAGAGTCTTGTACTTTATTCAAGTAGTTTAGTTACATACAGTTTCAGGGAAACCTCATTGTCTTTGCCCAAAACCAACTGGAAGAACGGTCTTCTAATGCAGTCTCCAGCAATGATCCAATATGCCAGTTAATATATGAGATTAGAGCTCAAACTACCCCATAAAAATGGTGATTACACTCTCTGATTATTGGTTGATTTTTAAGGGAATATCATGAGTGGTCATGTACTGAGTGAAATTCAAAATTACTCATCATTCTATTCTGCTCAAATATATTCATTCCTTTTTGGCAACTTTAGGTGCCCTTATGGTTTTCCAGGGACCCTGTTTCTTAAAAGGAGAATAGATAAATTGTTAGCTTACCAGCTAACAATTTTTGGGAAGTCATAAGAGCTGGCTTGTCAGTGGACACAGATCATTTATGCTTTGCATTGCATGATCTCTGAGATTCCCCACAAAGGCAAAGATTCCATAAGGCAAAATAACCCCTGAGAGGGTGATACTCAGCCTAAAAGCCAAGAAGAGAAAACAATAATATAGAAGAGGGAGGGAATTACAAACCAACATTAATATGACAACATAACATAACATAATGAACACAAAGTGATGTTGGATAGCTGCTCTCTTTCTGGGTAACCAGATTAGAACTGTCTATTAATGTCTCATTCCTGTGATAATTTGGGAGACTTTTCAGGAGAAACAATTACTGGTTCAAGGCTCTTATGCTTGTTATAACACTGCTTCTTTGATATCTCCCAGCCTCATGAAAATGCTTTGATATGGAGAGGCAGCTGTGAGATCTTCTGGCTCAGCCCCCTCAGTGGCTCTAGGAAACACTACTTGAAAACGTGGTCTAGAGCAGGTGGACCTACTGACCTTGGTGATGATGATGATGATGATGATGATGATGATGATGATGAAATCAGCTTCTCTTTAACATGTAGTTCCCAGTGAACTTTTAAAAATACTATTTTTATTTTTAAGACAGCAAGGGTTTTTTGTTTGTTTGTTTGTTTAGATACAGGGTCTCACTCTGTCTCCCAGGCTGGAGTGCAGTGGCACGATCACAGCTCACTGCAGCCTCAACCTCCCAGGCTCAAGCAATCCTCCCACTTCAGTCTCCCAAGTATCTGGGACTACAGATGCACATCACCACGCCTGATTTTTTTTAAACATTTTGTAGAGATGGGGTCTTGTTTTGTTGCCCAGGCTGGTCTTAAACTCCTGGACTCAAGTGATCCTCCTGCCTCAACCTCCCAAATTGCTGGGATTACAGGCATGAGCCACTATGCCTGGCCAAGAAAATCAGATTTTAAGATAAAATGAAAATGCTGAAAATAAGCCAGTGTTCCACCCAATAAGCAAACACATAACAAACGTATTTTTTTCAATCAACAACTCTTCAGATATTTAGAAATGACCATATATATTCTGTTTGAGTCTTCCTTTATGTTAAACATATCCATTCTCTTGTTCCAGGCCTCATGACATAATTTACGATATGCATTTACTTATCTGTAGTCCTTCTCAAACAAGTTCCCATGAATAACACAGATGTAGTCTGGCCATTTATTGTAGATCTAGGTTTTAACTGCTCTCCTTTAATACTAGACTTCTATTAATAAAGGCATAGTATGTATTTGCTTTTACTGATATGGTCAAAATTGGATAATTTCTACCAAACAAGGTAAGACAATTTTTACTGTACTAAGCAAAGTTGTTTATTTTTATCATTTGGGGGGAAGGAGAAGTAAGCCTCTATAAATGTTATCTTTATTGTATAAAAACGAAGAGAAAGGCAGCTTACAGAGGGGGATGTCATGAAGGATGGCTTCAGCCAAACTCCTACATCTCTATCTAGTCTGTTCCAATCTTTGATATGAACAGGCAACATTTTCTCAATCTTACATGAAGTAAAATGGAAACAGTGTCAAGAACCCTCATTCCAATCAGGCTGTTTTCTCTAAGCCACTTGTTGCAGAAATTCAGGAGCCACCACTTCCAAGGACCTCAAAATGGGATGCAGTTGTTGCCTTTTATAGGCAAAGGTGTAGAAATTGATGTAACAAAAAGTAAAGTCCCTCTTGTTACTGACTACAGGAATCAGACAAGTTATTGTCTTCTTCCTTCTCTAAGCCTTAGTTTTTCCATCTGAAAAATGAGATAACGAATCCCGGCCCTATACCAGCACTGTCCAATAGAACCTTCCCTGATTAATGGAATGTTCTGTATCTGCACTCTCCAACATGGTGGCCACTGCACCCTGCAATCACTTAAAGTGGGATTAATGAGATTGATGAACTAAATTTTAAATTTGATTTAATTATAACTGAAATGACACATGCAATTGAAATGTCATATGGTGGCTACCATACAGGACAGCATCAATCTGGATCTTCTTGTCGAATAAAATAAGTAAACTACATCTGTAAGGTCATACGGGTCATCTGATAGCTTAGGTCCAGAGATCTGGCTGGACTGAGAGGTCATATGATCTCATCTTCTCTATTTCGTCTCTTGGTTCTACATGAGGCCTCCTGACTTTAGAAGAATGAGATTCTACTCTGGAATTCATTGCTAATTGGCTCTGAGTGCAGCTTCTCCTCTCCGGGCTTTATTTTCTTCCTCTATAAAAAGCCAGGGGCTTGCTGAATTTTGCTGAGACCTTTCAATCGGAACTACCTGTGGACCCTAAGGAAACATGGACGAGTGAGAGACAGGCCTTTGGAAGAAAAAAAAAACACAAGCAGGAGGAAGCTAGAGGGCTGGATGTTGATGCTATGGCTGCCATGAGTCAGAAAGAACCTGTTACTGTGGGAAGGGCAGGGCCAGAGGAAGAGAAGAGTAATAAAATGTTACCTGCACAGGATGGTCTGTGAGGCCACCTGGAGGGCCAGGCTGTAAGTGTATGCAGAGGCCCTGAGGGGCTTTCTCTTTTGCATATTTGGCCCCTTTAATGACTGGACCCTGTGCCCTGCCTGAACCAATGGGACCCCGAGAGAAATCCAGTGTGTCAAGCCTGTTGCTCACCTGATAATCCCCTGGGGATGCCAGCTGGCAGTGCTACCTTCAGGGAGGAAAAAAAGAAATAGCTGCTCTCATCTACAGAAGAGCAATATTTTGCCTTTAGAGTTTTTTTTTTTGTTTTGTTTTGTTTTTTGTTTTTTTTTTTTTTTGAGATGGAGTCTCGCTTTGTTGCCGAGGCTGGAGTGCAGTGGTGCGATCTTGGCTCACTGCAACTTCCACCTCCTGGGTTCAAGCGATTCTCGTGCCTCAGCCTTGCAAGTAGCTGGGATTACAGGCACACACCACCTTGCCTGGCTAATTTTTGTATTTTTAGCAGAGATGGGGTTTCTCCATGTTGGCCAGGCTGGTCTCGAACTCCTGACCTCAGGTGATCCACTGGCCTTGGTTTCCTAAAGTGCTGGGATTACAGGGATGAGCCACCATGCCTGGTCTCTCTCTACTTTTAAAACCTCCCTTGTTCCCTCTTTTCCAAAATGAAATCAAGTCCTCATGGCCACCCAATGAGCAGCCATTGGTACCTCCATTGTCAGATAAAACAGTCATGCAAGAGGGAAGAGCCTCTGCTAAGGCCACACATTGGCCAATGGAGAGACAGGTTTAGCAACCGCCCCTCCCACTCCCCCACCGCCCCACAGGTGCCCGAAGTTCTGGCCCAGTGCTTACAGTGCTGCAGTGCGGGGTACCACAGCAACCTTCCTGTTTTGTCTCAGACATGGCTACTAGGTACGTTGCTGTTGGTGGCTCTGCAAGTCCTGGAGGCTGAGCCACTCACCCTGGCCTCCCTGGAGGAAGCTAGACAAGCAACAGGGAAACAGCCCTTCATGATGCCATGGGTAAGACCCGGGCATGGTTGTGTTTGGGACAAAGTTTGGAGAGGAACAAACTACTTGGCTGTGTTTTAAAAAATGGGTAGAGTGTTCATGCCAAGACCCCCATGGAACTGGGGGCAGTGAAGACCCTCCATTCCTTCTTCCTCAGCCCCTCCTTACAAGCATCTCAGCATCCTTCTAGGCATATAGATGAATCTAAGTCTCCAGTCTCCAGGGCTGCTTTTCCAGTCCCTGCCTGGCCCCACTAATGGCTGTAGTCTTTGCACCGTCTGAATCAGCAGGGCCCACTAGATGCATGGCCGAGGCCTTCTGATACTAATGGCTTTGGATTCAGTTCCAGGAGCTATCCCCAGCGGGGATCTCATTCTTGCTATGCTGGGCCTGGGTGTCTCTTGGGCAGATTAGTTTTTGATGGGGCAGGTACTGCACCATTTCCATTAACTACCATAATGCAGACATCATTATCGGCAGGTGCCCTGACCTCTCCTTGCTAATGAGTAGCCATTGATATGTAAGCCACGTAAGCACTTTCCCCTTACGAACCTTCTTCCTTGCTGCACCACCCCCAGTCCTGTCCCCACACATCCTCCCCTCCCTTTCCTGCTGGATGGAGCCAGGACACTAGAGAGCTTGAAATGAGGATGGCCAAGTCACTTAGTTCCCTAGAATAATGAAAAAACACTGACCCAGAAGTCAGGAGACAAAGGTCCCTTCTCAGGGGACATGGAGCAAGACATTCATCTCCCTGGGTCTCTTTTGCTCATTATTCAAATGGGTCTAATAATGACTGTTCTACCTACCTCGCAGGGATATTGTAAGGATCAAATGAGATTAAAAGTATGAAAATGTTTTGAAAAGTTAAAAGCTCTGTAGGGCTAAATGGGATTGCTTTTAAGCCAGATGTAAAGGAACTGAGGGTTTAAAAAGTACTCAGGGAAAGGGGAAATTGGAGGTAAAAAGGAAATCGAGTGTTTTCCATATCTTTGAAACAAGATGGGTCTTCCAAAGGTATCCCTGAGATGAGATGAGATGCTGGGCACCAGCCGTTCACTCCTTGGTGTCCCTGAGTAGAAGCAAGGTGGTGACATGAGAACACAATCTGAATTCTGTTGCTCAGTCAAGTAGTTTAATGAGAAGTCTTGTCCAGATCTACCTCTGTGACAAGCAGGGTGTCTAGGAAGAGGATCTGGTACCAGGGTGAGGATCACTTGTTTGTGAGCTCAGCGCGAGAAGCTGAAGGGATGATGCCAGGGAGTAGCAGCACCTTGAGAAACCAGAGCCAGGCAGGGATTCCCACAGAGCTGACCATTTGAAGGAATCATGAAAAGAGGGGTCTCCAGATTTGAGAACATGGTGCAAAAATAAGGAAACCAGGAGAGAAAGCCAGTTGGACTTCCTGACCAGGAAAAACTTGTGCAGTGGCTTTCAATGGAATGGTGGGGGGCTTCCGTTGGGTGGGAAGGGAGTCTTGAGGTCAAGACTTGTGACTGTGACCAGGCTTGGTTAAGATCATTGTCAAGATGGCAGGAGGGTGTCATTCTCACTGGCTCACTCTCTTCAGGGCTGGGACATGGGGATCAAGGAGAGGAGGAGGATCCTAAGGAGTAGAAACTAAGACAGAGGGGAAAAAAGGAGAAGAATGTGATCAGGACCAACCTGCTAGGTATTGGGCAAAAACAGCAAAGGCCTTTAGCCTTTTCAAGGCAGTGGGGAGAATTCTTAATTTGCATGAGTCAAATTTCAAACCAAGTGCCGTCCATAATCACCAACTTTGCCTCCTCTATGTTCCAATGTTGTGCTAAAAACTATGGCAGATGCAGAGATAAGTAAGTGATAAGATCTGCTCTAAAGGAGCTGATAAAATATTTGAGCAAATTAAATATTTGAGCCACATTTTATTTTTATTAATTTTTTTGCCGTGGAAAAAGAGTATAATTAAGTAGCATTTTAAAGCAAAAGTCAATTTCTATTATAACACATGAAATGCTACTTAAAGAGATCATCAGTGATATAAATTTCTGTGAGCTAGAATGGCCCAGGAACGATTTACTAAAGGACTTGAGTAGGGTTTAGAGTTTAAATCCAGTGTGAACAATGGAGTGAGCAATAAGGTGGAAGCCAGGATGCATTTTACTGATAGAGGAATAGATGAGGATCGTTAATACTTTCCTTCCCCTTCTTTCCTCCCTTTCTCTCCCCCCTTAACTAAACTAACTTCCTTCCCTCCTTCATTACTTCCTTTCTTTCTTCCTTCCTTCCATCCATCCATCCTTTTCTTCTCTTTAGCTCACTTGCTTGCCTTTCTTTCCTTTCCTCCCTCCTCCCTCTCCTTCCCTCCCTCCCTCTGTCTCTCTTTCCCTCTTTGCTTTCTTCCCTTTCTCTTTCCTTCCTTCCTTCCTTCCATCCATCCTTCTTTTCTTCTCTCTGGCTCACTTGCCTGCCTTTCTTTCTTCCTTCCCTCCCTCCCTATCTCTCTCTCTTTCTGTCCCGCTTTTCTTTCTTCCCTTCCCTCTTTTCCTTTCCTTTCTCTTTCTCACTCTTTCTTTTCTTTTCTTTTTCCTTCCTTCCTTCCTTTTGTTCTTTCATTCTTTCCTCTTGCCCTCGGTCTCTGTTTCTCTTGATACATTCAATACCATCTAAGTCTTCTCTACCTCTAATAGGGTTTGATTTCCCCTTCAGAGTTCTATTTAGCATCCATCTCATTCATCAACCCTTGTCTTCCCCACATCTCAGCTTCCAAGTTAGGACATCTCGTTACTGTTACCTGTTCAGCACTCAGGATCCACACATCCCACCTGGCTGCATCCTCTACACAGTGTGTGCACAACACCAGTGGCACTTAACAAATGTTCAATATGATACGTTACCCTCTTCCACCCCAAAGGATTTCGGAACAAAGAGCCTAATGTAAGAACTGCCCCTAGAGACACGTATTTGCAACTCGCTGCGTATGAACTCAGACCAATTAGAATGCAATCTCCACATTAATTTTTTTTAAACAGGACTCTTAAAGCCACATGGTGTTAAAACTGTCTCGCCAATAAGCCACATTAACCAGCTCATCAATTTTTCCCCTAGCCCATCCTCCCCATAGGCAGTTCCACTGGTAGTGAAATGAGCATAATCAATGTGTGCTTATTCACTGGCTTGCAATCATTTGTAGATTACCCACCTCCTCGCCGCAGCAGCTGCTTCTGCCTGCGGCCTGCTGCGGGGGATTTCTCTGTCCTTTAGCACCTTGGCCAGACAGTGGGCAAGCGGCTGAGAGGACGCTCAACATCAAGCCATTAGTGGCTTCAATTAACAAAAGAATGGCAAGGAGCAAGCCGAGGGTACTTGCCTGCCAAGATAGGGCTTGGGGAGCAAGGATGGATCCTCCTACCACCAAGAGTAATCAAGACAGAGCTGGTAAACATTCCTTTCAGTGACCCCTTATCTCAAATGAACTTATGCTGGTTGGGATAGGCTGTGTTGGGGAAACCAGGTAAAAGGAGGGCGTGTAAAGGTGAAGGTTGAAATGTGAACACTGGAGAAGCTTCTTGAGCAATGTAAACACAGATACAACTGCTCATGCTCAGATTCAAATGGTATTCCCACCACCACATCTCCCAGCACTTCACCAGTTCCCCTGGATGCAGCAGAATTCAGTTTTTTTGGATTTGCTCCAGGAAAATCTCTAGTGCACTCTGGCATGTTATGGGTGTGCAAGGAAGACTTCCAGAGCTCTGGTTCTGGTCTGTTTGATTGCTGGGGAAACTGGTTGCTGGACCTGGCTAGCCACCAGTAGGAATCTAGCATCTCTTCCACCACATATTCAGATTCTTCAGGGTCTTGGCCAGGAATAAGAGTTTCTGAACAAAGCTTTACGGAGAGGAGATAAGCCAAAGGGAGGGGCCAGGGTCAAAGGGCACAGGTGCCATCATCTTAAAGAAGTCCAAGTGGCCGTCCCTTCAGGAGGCAGTGATGAGTTTCTTCATCTCTTTACTCCTTTAGCATGAGCCTGAGAGTCAGGCAGCATCTCTCGCCTCACGCTACAGCGTGGCTATAGCCTATCACAGTACAACTCCTCCTGGCCTTCAGCCACCAACAGTTATTCTGCAGGACTTTCTGAGCGGCACTCAGATCATTTTGGTACTGACAAACTTCCAGGACAAAGTGCCCTATGGTGGTAGAAAATGTGAGAAGGTGGCAATGAAGCAGAGCACTGTTGCTCCGAAAGTTATGTACCATGCCAGAATGCAGTGAGCGAGACCATGCCATCAGTGATGCGGAGGCTTAGTGCTAAGTGTATTTTATTAGAACCATATTAAAAAACTCTAGTGCTCATCTCTCTCTGAGTGTTAAGTTGTAGATAAAAACCTAAAGGACTCTGGTTAATATTCTCCCAAACCAGTGTCCACACTCAAAGCTTTAGTCCACAATCAGGCAGCTTGACAGTGCTTGGAGACAAGGGGCCTCATCTACAAAGGGTTGCAGCAGAAGGAATGAACAAGAACCAGTGTGCAGGTTAAGCATAGCACTTCCGGGAGGACATCTTACAGAATATTCTCACATCCATATAAGTTGCGAGGCACGCGAGGGGAGGTAGGCAAGGAACAGGTAACCACATCCTGAATGTTTAGGAAATGGGAAAAGAGAGCAATTTTACCTTGTGTTTAAGGAGACGGTTCTGGTGTAAAAATACAGAGAATCCACAAAGTCACTATAGGCCTTGTAGACTGCTGGTGGACTGCCCGTGACCATCCACGGTGAAGTGTGGGAGCCTCATGCTCTTGGGCAAGGCCCCTCCCTGACATCAGAAATCCTTAGCATCCCTGCTTCCCAGCATCCTCCAAGGTGTCTCTATGCCCCATAAAGGTAACATTGTACTCAGGTGCTTACCTTAGCCCATGCAGGATCTCCTCTGTTAGGGTTGCTAGATCTCCTGAATCTCTCTAGGGGAAGGAGGCCCCAGAGCTGGTATTTCTTCTCCATCCTCTTACTCTGTGATATAGTTTAGATGTTTGTCTTCTCCAGATCTCATGTTGAAATGTAATTTCCAGTGTTGGAGGTGGGGCCTAGTGGGAGGTAATTGGATCATGGAGGTGGATCCCTCATAAGTGGCTTAGTGCTATCTCCTTGGTGGTGAGTTATCTCTCTAGTGGTTCACATGAGATCTGGTTGTTTAAAAGAGCACGGCACCTCCCCTCTCTCTTGTTGTCTCTTGCCACATGATGCAGCTTCTCCCCTTTGCCTTCTGCCATGATTATAGTTGAGACCCTCAACAGGAGCAGATGCTGGTGCCATGCTTTCTATACATCCTGCAGAACCGTGAGTAAACTAAACCTATTTTCTTTATAAATTACCCAGTCTGAACTATTCCTTTATAGTAATACAAAAATGGACCAGCACATTCTGGCTCCTGGGTCTGGATATTATCCAGTTAGCTTGGGTTGCCTTATGCCAAAGAACTGTCAAAGTCCAGGAGGCCTAAAGGATGGCCACTGGGCCTGGCAGTACAAGAGGTCCCAGATCTTCTTTGTCCCAGGTCTTCCTTGGCTGCAGAGGTATGAGAGCTGAAGTAACTCCCACAAGCCTCAAAGATGACCTGGAGTGTGAATAGCTCCACTGGGGAACAGGAGAAGATCTGGGGCAGAGGGAGATGTGAGGATATCTGGATGTTTTGAAGCTGAGATTCTCCCCAGAATGACCTCGCTCCTGCCACACAGTGGGACAGCAGTATTCCATGGTGCAATGAGGACCCAATCTTCTGATTTATTTTGCAAGAGAAGTAACAAATCTTTCTAAGTTGAAATATTGACTCTTCACAAAAAGCTATAGGTGGTAGTAAACAAAATCTGTTTTCCAAGTGCACACGGCCCCCAGCACCTCAGTTGGCAATATCTATTTAGGGAACACAAAGTCACATCGAAGGAAACAAAGAAAACCAGGATTAGGGTCAAGGAAACGATGGTCTTAACAACATTAGCAAT
This sequence comes from Homo sapiens, assembly GCF_000001405.40. Taxonomy (NCBI): domain Eukaryota; kingdom Metazoa; phylum Chordata; class Mammalia; order Primates; family Hominidae; genus Homo; species Homo sapiens. Next base: position 20,882,407 of record NC_000008.11, on the reverse strand, counting down.
AAAAATATGATTTTTTGTTCACTATATAAGCAGAGGACATCCAGCAAATATGCTTCAAAACCATCATAGACAACTTCCTCAAGCAGAATCTTCCGATGATTATTTATTTATTCTTTATTTTTGCTGTCCCTGATATAGCTTGCATCAGCATCTTGACATGTATGTATCTTTATAATACGTTCCTTATCTGTGAGGCTTGATTGGACTTGCAAGGTCTTGGAAGATGAACAGGGCCAGGTGGTCATTTGCAGATAGCTCAAACTCCCTGCAGGAAGGAAGCTTCCCTCTCATGGGCCATAACACACAGATATTTATACTTATGCTTCAATATGTATATGTGCATACATATATAACTATTGTAAAAACACACAGGCAAAGCCACCAGCCAGCCACAGGCAGAGTTATGAACTTTGAGCTGGTTTGTGAATTGCTCCATAAAAGGAAAAAAAAAAAGGAACAAACGTTCTGAGGAGCAACCCAGAATTGCAGCAAAGCTTGGTGATAACAGCTTGCATTTCAGATCCCAAATGGAATGGAAATCAGCAATGAGGCAGCATCTTTGGAGTGGGGTTGAGGAACACAGTATAGGCTTCTCTTCCCTGAGAAATGAGGAGGCCTGGGTTTTGCAGCTAATCATGAGATTGTTTGTAGTAGGCAGAGGATGGAATGTCTGCATTCTTTTTCCCATTAGCCACCCTCAGAAGCCACCCTGCTGAGCGTATCAGCCATCCCAGGCCTAATGAGGCCCTGCCAGAGGGAATCCAGAAAACTATTGGGGAGCCCAGGCTTTTACATTCCCTGAATGGCGCATCACGAGGTTGATTTATGTCAAGCTCTGCAGAGATAATTCACTGCCAAGGCAATTTACTAATCCTTTAGATTATGCATTTTGTGTGTCACCCAAATTGGCTCCTCCGTGCAGCGTGGCACTCAGGGGACCATAATTTGTTTGTACATATTCCAATCAGGAAGAAGATTCATAAGCTACTGTTGAGGAAGAATGGATCACTTGCTTTTGACTTTAATGCAGAGAGGTTGGCTCCTGGGATTTTGGAATAAATATTTGATCTTTAAAGATCATTTTGTAGCTTGTAGCCGTCAACCCAGCCAGGTTTTTAGTGTTTGTTTATGGTTTACACCATATGATTCAATAAACTCTGCCGGAGACACATGTGCATAATTAAGTTTAAAAGCCAGCCCCAACTATACTGCAGGACTTGCTGCTCAAATCACAGTTTATGCACCAAATTCTATTTATTGCTATTGAAATTTTCTCCCCCACACTCAGTGACTCAGAATCTGGATGACTGCATGGGCATCTCTGTTTCCTTTCTGATGGCAGTCTTTCTCCTGATGTGAATGCTCCTCACACGTTCTTCCCCATTAGGCTAATTTCCAGTGGTAGATTTAAAAAACACAAATGTCAGCGTCTGCCCAAACCACCAAATAGGACCCCTATTTCAGACACAGCACTTACTATGTTGTGCTTAGTATCAATATCATACAAACAAGAAATGGGGCACGGGGGTTGTTTACTATTCCCATTTCATAGTCTTATAGGATGAGGTCTAAGAAAAATAATAGCTCATTCTTTTTTGTCTTTTCTTCAATCAAAGCATCATAATAGATCCTTCTTACACAGTAGTTACTATGTTCCAGGCTCTGTTCAAAGTGCTCTGCCAAGATCAGCTCAGCTAATCTTCACCAACAATAATATAATGTAAGTACTATTGCCCTCTATGAGGAAACTGAGGCACAAAAGGTTAAATGAGTTAAGCTGGTTTCTATGTTAACCACCGTGCCATATTGTCTTTCAGGCATATTTGTATCACAGGACCAAGCAATGAAAACAAACATCACACAGTAAAGCACAAACTCTAATCAACTTAGCTTAGGGTTCACCTTACTTTGCAGCTCAGCTTCAAGAATGAGCTCAAGAACGTGCTCCACCAGAGCTTACAGTTTCATTATTAGAAAATAAAGGTTCTGAATTAAGTTACTCTCTTTCTGTTTACTCTTTAAGAATAGAGCACTTTCTGGCAGAGATGGAATACGCCTCCTTAAGAACTTATTTATAATATCCTAGTGAATCTTTTCTCAACTTAGATGAGATGAGGAAAGTCAAAACCATTCATTCATCCAACAGATATTCATTGAGAACCTATTACGTGCCAAGTCCTGGACCGGCCACTGCTGACCTGGTAATGTGTAAGACACATCCCCTGTTCTCAAGAAGATCCTATTGATGGGATTATTTCTCCCAGCCCTGGCTCTATTCGGGACCTGAAACCAATGCTCCGGAGGCTGGAGCAATACTGGAGAAGACAAGGAGAACAGGCACCATCTGAGAAGAGCAGGATGACTTCTAGTAGCGAGTGCAGTTTGCCAATGTGGATCCTAAAGCTCCAGAGGCCAACTCTACTCATTGTTCACTTTGTCTCTTTTGGGAACTTGTCTGAACCTCCTCACAGATGACTGCAGGGGAAATGAAGAAGTGTGAAAGCAAGGCAGTACAGACACCAAAAAGAGGAGCTGTCATTCCATCTTCACTGCCAAATGTATGCAGGGCAAAAGATCTGCAAAGAATAGCAAGCTTGCATTGTGTACACAGAAAAGAGTGATGGAATTGCAAGAGCAGGTGACATTGTCTTTCTCTCTCTCTCTCAATATTTATTTCTCTCTCCCCTCTTCCTTTCTCCTTCTCCTCCTCCTCTTCCTTTTCCTTCTTCTTCACTCTCTTCCTTCTTTGCTTTCTCCCACGTTCTTTTTTCACTTTCTAAACAAGCAGCTTTCCTAGATTCTGTGTTTTCTACCAAATTTATGAAATTCCGCTGAAGATTATTTTTTATATCTGTAATATTTCCACCTGACTAATTGCATTTAGTGAAAAGCTGACACTAGACAATTTCTTGGGCTCATTCAATGGTGGATTTATTAAAGCCCTAAATCATCCATCATCTCAAAATTTGGCAGGTTATGTTTATACATAAATTAAATTAACAAGTGTGTGCTGTGCTGGGTATTTGTGTGTGGGAGGGAATGCAAATACAGACATGTAGACGTCCATCTGTAGCTGGGGATCTGCTCCACAGTGAAAACGCCCTGACCTGCACAGCCTCCAGAGTTAGCTAACACACAGTGACTTTTTCAAAACAGATGAACTCAATTCGTAACTGAGAACTAGATCTGATTTAATCAGAACGCCCAACTTTTCAATCCAAAGGTAGATTTCATCTCACTGGCAAGTGTGATGTAATGAAAAACAATTGGCCTGAGGTTAAAGTTGCACACAGCAGCCAGGAGATCTGGGTTTTAGTTGTGCTCTGACACTGACTTCCTGTGCAGACTTGGCCTCACTTTCTTAGTTTGGGTTTTGGTTTTGTCAACTGTGAAATAAACAGACAAACACTAGAAAGGTCACAAGCTGAAAGTTGAACAGAGAGAAGGTGTCTAGCAAATACGGGTCAGTATGAATGCAAAGAATGAAAGGTTAGTGCTTCTTTCCATGTGTTTACCCACTGGTAATGGGGAGCCGTATCTTTTTCTCAGAACTGAATTGACAGATATCAGTGCAAAAATGAGCCCTTAGCTTTCTGATTGACACATGTGAAGAACTGAAATATCACTTTAAAAAGCTACCCAGTAATGGGATTGGTGCTTTAGGGAGATCAAGAAGAGAGAGGTAGAAGATGAATCGTATACGTTTGCAAGCTAAGTAATCATCTTCATGTTATTACTAGGAAATATAGGGTGACTTCTTATTATTATTGATAGTCTTAATAATAATCACCATCACCGCCACCATCAATAATATTTCATCAGCAGAAAATATGGGGCAAATAGAGATCTCATGATATGCAGAGGAAAATCAAAACTCTACTAGAAAGAACAGGTTATCTTCACTAGACATTGCAAGTGTATTTCACCAGTTAATTGTGGTATTTATCCAGATCTGGCAATAGCAGTTTGAGGATACAGTGTTAGATTGATGCTATCATCGACTGTTATGGAACCCTAGGATTAGAAAGGACCTCATCATAACATCTCGTCCATTCCCCCATTTCATCTAAACTGAGGATGGCAAATATATTTTAATATCACATGCCACTCTGATTGATTGACAATGGCTGCCTAGAATGCTTCATTGAGAAGTGTTTTGAGGCTACTTATAAGCTCCAGGAGAGAGAGGGCTGTGATCAATTAGGTGTGTCTCCCTTGAGCACCCATGGGAAGATTAAGCACTCATGCCATATATTTGCCATTCTCCAACATCACTATTCTGCAAAACAAGAATTATTTTTCTGACTGTAAAGTTACTTTTGAAAGGACCCTGTTTCCCTCTAGAATTCCTATCATATGGCTTTCATTTTGAGAAGATGGCTCTTTATGTAGAACTTCAGTCCATTAAGATACAATTTAACCTGAATTTCTCTTGCATAATTCTCAGTAAGGATGGAGTAACCCTGGGCACATATGCCTCCTGAGAACAGAGATTGTTTTATTTATTTATGGGCTCAAAATCCCAGTGTTGGTGTCAGGATCTCCAGCACATTCTGGGAGCTGCCTGTATAAATCTTGGTAGGGTTGCCCACTCATGTCTCTTTTCTTATAGGATTGAGGAGGCTTTAGGGGAAAAAAGTGATCCTAAGGGAAGAGACAAAGGGACAAATAAGCTTAGTCTAGTAAGAAAGCCTTAGAGGTTGTTGAATAGGAATGACTCTGAGAACCACACGATACTTCCCTTTACATCTACCTCCCAACCCAGCCCACCACAGACTGTTCTCTGAATCCTGATGGCTGGGGAAGGAAGAAATCCAGATTATTGAAATCAGGGTTTCCCTTCAAACTCTGTAAATTACTGGCACACAGGAGTTCTTCATTGATCCCCCATCTGACATGCAAAATACAAATGGAAGAGAGGTATTTTCTTTCACAACAGTGTTGGTAAAACTCCTCAATAATCTCACTAATCCTAACAGAACAGAAGGAGCACGCTTACTGAGAGGTTGCGATGCACCTGGTATCAGGCTGAGTGTTTACATACATTTGATCCTCATAGCAACCTTATCTAATATAAAGCACTGTTACATAAGGTCTAATGTAGTCCAGGTAGAAAATGGCAAATCAGGATTTGAACACTGGGTGATGGACTCTATGGCCTGTATTCTTGATGCTGCTTTCCTGCTTCCAGGAGTGGTACCAGCAGAAGCAGAAGGGCTATCCAGTGGGTGGGTTCTGCTAAATGGGCTCAGGTGATGGTAGGGAAATCCCCGCTTTGCAGTGTTTGCCCATTTCTATGGTGTACATAGGCCACCATGGCCATCGTCTAGCTACCAATGTGAACGTGGAGTCAAGAGCACATTCAGCTAACTCTCTGAACCAGCTCCTGCCTGTCACTGTGTCGCGTGGCCCTAATGGCACACCGTGAAAAGCTCTGCACAGGCAGTGGGTGTCAGCAGGAGTGAGGCTGGTGCTGTAGGAAAAGGCGATGTCTGGCATCTACCTGAAGGCAGCCACGGAGAACAGGCTAAACACACTTTATGCCGAGAAAATGGCAATTGTCAAACACAGACACAGAGCTCTATATAAACCCCTCATTATTTAGAGGAGAAACTGAGGTTCAGACAGAGGAAATGACTTGTCCACGTGCTCTGTGTGATAAAGCTTGACTTGGAGACAATGAGTATGTTACTTACTAGCCATTTCTTTTTTTGGTCCCTTCATACTAAAAAATCTCAGGAGGTTTTTAAGAGCCTTTTTATAGTTTCTGTATAGTTTGGGAACTCTGCCAGCCTCCATGTATTTTCCATACTTCTCTCTAGGTCTCTAAGTTGCACTGTCCTCATATGGACTCTAAGAATCTTACTAAGCAGAGGATGATGGAAAAAGAGGAATCCCTGCCAGTTGTTGGCCGGAGGCTATTGATTCTGCACACTGATCTAGGCTCGATATCTGGCTTTCCAGGCTCCAATATTACATCTCTGTAAAAGAGTTTGAATTTTTTGACCCTCCTTTTAAATCTACATTGTCAGGGCTTCCTGCCTCCAAAGCAGGACTGCATGCCTCGCTGCACCCAGCTACTACTGCCCAGACTTCCAATATCGTGCTAGATGAAATGAATTAGAGACTGATTCAGCCTGACTTCACCCAGGGGCTGGTGATTTCTGAGATGGAGTCAAGCCCTTAATGTAGCCTGCTCCTGCTTTCCCAGTCTATTAGTCCCTCTTTCTTTCCCTCCAACACTGTGCCCTCGACACAGCTGGTTGCAAAACAACTGGAGCGAGAGGGAGGAGAGAGGAACAGTTAGTTTAAAGGAGCTGATTGGATGTGTCCTCATTGGAAAGTGATAGGCAGAATAATGGTTCCCCCGAGGTGGCTGTGTCTGATTCCTGGAAGCTACGAATGTATTACCTTACATGGCAAAAGAGACTTTGCAGGTGGAATTAAGAGTCTTGAGTTGGGGAGATTATCCTGGATTACCAGTGGCCTAATGTAATCACAGGGGTCCTTATAAGTGAGAGGGGAAGCAGAAGGTCAGAATGATGCAATGAGAAAAGACTGGAGCTGCCGTTGCTGGCTTTGATGCCAGACAGAAGGGGCCATGAGCCAAGTCATGTGGGCAGTCTCTAGAAGTAGGAATCACAAAGAAAAAGATTCTCCCCTAGAGCCTTAGGAAAGAATGTAGCCCTTCAAATTTATCAATGTTATCCCAGTGAAACCCAAGTCAAAATTTTGACTTATTGTATGGTAATCAACTCGTATTATTTTAAGCCTCACATTAGGATAATTGTATAGTCATGAACTTGTGTAGCTTTAAACTACCAACTTTGTGATAATTTGTTACAACAGCAATAGGAAAGTAAGACAGGAAGCAATGATTTCAACTCTTGCACGAGATTAAAATTAAGTGTTGGGCTATGCCCTCATTCTGCTATTGGCTTGGGAGTGGAAAGGAAGTTATCTACCACCCAGCCAGCTCTGCTATTTTCTTGGCAATGTCTTAAGACTCCTCTCCAGAGAGATTTTCCCCAGTTGCACAGAACCGAATTAATCATAATCTTAGTTCGTGGAACACTCTCATTTTTGGCCTATGCGTGGTTTCTTTTTTTTCTTTGAGATGGAGTCTTGCTCTGTCGCCCAGGCTGGAGTGCAGTGGCGCAATCTTGGCTCACTGCAAGCTCCGCCTCCCAGGTTCATGCCATTCTCCCGCCTCAGCCTCCCGAGTAGCTGGGACCACAGGCATGTGCCACCACGCCTGGCTAATTTTTGTTGTTGTTGTTGTATTTTTAGTAGAGACGGGGTTTCACCATGTTAGCCAGGATGGTCTCGATCTCCTGACCTTTTGATCCGCCCACCTCGGCCTCCCAAAGTCCTGGGATTACAAGCATGAGCCACCGCGCCTGGCCAGTTTGTTTTCTAAATTAGGATTCCAATATTAGAGTGGCTAGGAACCCTAGCCCGACAGAAAATAATGGGAAGCTTGGCGTAATGTTTACAGTGTACATTTCATAGGCTATTTCTTTTACCTAACAGATGCCCTAATGCTTCCTAGTCCAACTTGTGACCAGGAGGTCCCTCGCACAGGAAACTTCTTCATACTGGCAGACTCCCTTGTAGTTCTTGGGTGACTCGTGTCCAGTTTATGCCTGCTGGACCATCGCTCTGGTACTGGGAGCCTGACTATGTTTTCTCCCTAGCGTCCCAGTTAACCCTTGCCTAGATTGAAGGTGCAATTCAATGTACCACCACAGTAGGAAATAAGTTCAATCATTTATTATTACTTACAGACCTGCGGAGGGCATAATGAGCTAAGAGGGTCCATTTCTGGGTCATGAAAGGCAAGAATGAAGAGTCAGGGAGACAAGCAGAGAGAGAGTGAGAGAAAGAGAGCACCCAGTTTGCTAGGTGAGAAACATGCCTCTGAATTCTTCTCTCTGGCCACCAGCTGGAACCGTTTGTGTATGTTCCCCTTCTAATGTGTAGGCAGCAACCTTTACTCTACTGTTCCCACTACATGTTTTTATTTAGTTAGCTAGTTCTGTTTCATAGTGTGACAAGCACTTACAAATCCTCTACCCAAAACAAACAATAACTTAGCGCAGCTACATGGCACCCCCATTCCCATTCTACACTAGAAGTGACCATCATTCTGAATCATTTTTTCTCTTTTGGCTTTCTTTTTGTAGGGTTTTATTTTATCTCTATATTTTCCTAAACAGTAATTACTTGTTGATAGCTTTATAAGGATGTTGCGCTAGGTTTAATTGTTTGGGTTTTATCTTTGGTTAACACTAGATTACTGAGATGCATTCATATTGTTATGTGTCACAGCTATAGAATATTTCACTGAATGTACATCCCGTGCTTTATTTACCTATTGTCCCACAGATGAGCATTTGGTTGTCTCCAAGTGTTTCTTTTGTGAATGGCGCTGTTATGACTATTCTTGTCCATGCCTCCTGTGGCACATTCACAAGAGTTCCTTCTAGCAGTAGACCTAAAAGGGCAATCTCATGAAAATCCTTTTGCATAGATTTTGGGTGCTCTAGGGCCAAAGTTAATGTGGGTGGGACGGGTCAGTGGGTGCTCTTGCTGAAGATGGAAGTGGCTGAGTTTGAATAGCTAAGACAGTCAAAAAGGCAGGGGCAATTACCACTGAGTCAATTCCAAGGTCTCAGTCATATTACAGAGGCTCCCTCCAAGGTGAAGAGAAGTAGGAATTCCATTTAAGAGCAACCAGAATGAAGAAATAGAATTTCTTGTTTCTGTTTTTGTGTTTTGAGACAGAGTGTCACTCCGTTAGCCAGGCTGGAGTGCAGTTCTGAGATCTCCAATCACTGCAACCTCCGCCTCTCAGGTCCAAGAGATTCTCCTGCCTCAGCCTCCCAAGTAGGTAGAATTACTGGTGCATGCCACCACACTCGGCTAATTTTTGTATTTTTAGTAGAGACAGGTTTTCACCATGTTTTCCAGGCTGGTCTCAAACCCCTGACCTCAAGTGATCAGCCTGCCTTGGCCTCCCAAAGTGCTGGGATTACAGGTGTGAGCCACTGTGCTTGGCCTGAAACCGACACTTTTAAGAAAGAGTTGGGTCCTCATGCTAAGGAGAGAGAGGCTGGCAGCACTTTTGAGGCAAACCCTACGGACATCCTCGTCCCTCTTGTCCCTCAAGAATTTTATCAGGAACTCCTATGCATCTGCCTTAATTCTAATCACAAGGGGGCTTAAAAGAAATATGGCGCTCATTCACCATTTGCAGAATACTCTCACTGTAGTTTCCACCTAACAGGAAGGCCAATTCTCTAGTCCTCCCAATTGGGAAGGCCATAAGGAAATTTCTTATTAACTATCTCATGCTCAATGCTGTATCATCAGGGCACCAATGAATAAGCATCTTTCTTTGCAGGCTTCCAGTCACCCCATATGTCTCCCATTAGAAGCAGCATCTGTAGGCATCAAGGGCATGATAACCCATGAGCACTAGCAGCAGGTGCAGCTCCTCTGTGCAGGGAAGATGCATCTGGACAGGAGCATATCCTTCCCACCGGCCTCCCAATGACCAGAGTTGACCCTGCCTCTGCTGCAACCCCACATCATCCCACCCTTCACTGCCCTATGAGCTGAAAGCTTGCTTCCCTCTGTTGTGGTTGGAGCAGGCAGGGGCTTCGCAGAAACACAGAGGCTACGTGACTCTGGAAAACCATGATTCTCTGGGGAAGACAAGAGACAGTGGTCACTGCTGCTCTAAAAGAAATGCTTTTCAGTGCTTGTATCTTTCTTTCTCTTTATTCTCTGGCCCCCTTGACTCTCAACTGCTACTCCCGCCCCACCTCCATTCTTCCCTCAGACCTGCCATGTCCTCACCTCAGCAGCCAGAAGTGACCAGAGGCCCCGAATGTTAATTCCCCAAAAGAGGCCCATGAGCAGGGATGATCATCCCACCAATGCTCCCTCTTGGAATGTCAGCAGCCACTGTGACAGTTCTGGGAAACTGGGACAAAACTGGGGAGGGCACTGTCAGACTTGTGAATGTTTTTTCAAAGAGGGTATGGGAGCAGATTTGGGGATGCTTTTTCAAACAGAAGAAAAAGGCTCCAGGGCCCTGGGCTATTTGATCAAGTGGGAGAATTGGAAGGGTTTGAATGCAATCTCCCTGCTGGAAGCTGGGTGGCTGGGGGTCTCAGGACAGCAGGTTGGAGCTGCCAAGAGAATGTGAAACTTTGGAGAAAACTTCTGGCTTCTGGGCTCAGGCTGTGATGGCAGCTGTTCTGGGATGACCCCTGCACACCCTGCCCCTGCCATCCTCCCCATGCCCTTCCCCACATATACCCTTTGAAAATGACAATGTGTGGTTTTTTGTGGATTCAAGGAATGGGAAATCTGAAAGGAGCTTATGGGGTATGGTTCCTGATCATATCAGTTAGAAAACCAAGCACAGGAGTAAGATGATGTGCCCGAGATTGAGTGGTTGCTTAGGAGCAGAGAGAGGAATAGGGAGGTCCCGGCCACCCAGCTGGTGTGCTCTTTCCTGCTTTTGACACCTGGAGAGCTCACAAGGCAGTTTTGCTGGGGAACAAAGCACCACTTCCTACAACATGAAGAAAACTACTAGACACTGCACTTGTGTCTCAGGCACTAGAGAAAGAGAGACCCAGGGGAAAGAGATTTGGTGCCAGGTGTGAGAGAGGGCACAGGACAGGAGATTGGAGCTCTGGATCTTGTTCTTTCCACAAATATTTGTTAGGTGTCAATGTTGTGTCAGCAGTTGGCTACGTACAGTGGCGAACAAAGCACTGGGTGGCAGCAATGGGTCTCTTGCTGTGTCTGTGGCTCAGGAGATCCAAATCCCTCAGGAAGCTTACAGTTTAATCAAGGAAAGGGAGTCCTTGAACACCCATTCTGTGCCAGCCGCTGCTAATGGTGTCATAGCCTTCATCTGACATGTATCTACACCTCCATGAGACAGAAACTGTTATTCACAAGAGGGGAAAATCGATGCAAGACAGCCAGCTAATAAGAGGTGAGTGAACAAAGCCAACCAAAACATGCCTGATACCAACACCTGGAGAACATTCTAGCCAATCCTGAGCAGTATTTAAGGAAGTGCCATGCAATTTGTGAGTCTAAAGAAATGAACAGGATAGAAAAATCTAGCTGGGCACATATATAGGAAGGGTGAGAACTTCATAGAAAATCCGGTAAACAAGTCACTGAGTGTGATTCTCAATTACTCCTGTCTTGGTTTCCTCACCAGGCCCTGTCCCATTCTTCCCTCCCAGCACCCTGCAATTTGTAGATCTTGATAAGGAGCTCTATGCCCTCTATAGACTGCCCATTTAGTATTTCACTTGGACATACCAACTATACTGGGAAAAGATTGGGAGGAGCATTACGCTGTCATTACAGAAAATTAGGCTAACACTCAACTTCCCAGGCTGATTCAGCTGGTTTATAATAAACATAGAGCAAGAACCCAAGTCTCTGATATCCTAATCCAGAGCTCCTTCCACTAACCTGGAATGTTTCAATAGCGCTGCCTTGCATTTTAGCACATACCCAGTGAACTTGTTCCTGTCCTATGAAGGATCATCTATCTACTCAAAAGACCCAGATCTCTGCAGGTACAGTGCATATATATTAAATGTGTCCAAATTCTATCACTTCGTAACCATTTGTGGCAGACTGAAAACCATGGCCACCGTCTTCTGCAGCTCCTACTATCAAGAAGTAATGTCTATTTTCCCACTCCTTGAATCTAAGTTGTCCTTGTGACTTTGACCCATAGAATGTGGTGGAGGTGATGTTACAGAAGCCCCAGAGCCAAGGCATCATGGGGCCTTACAGACTCTACCTTCCTGTAACCTGAGGCCACCATGCTCTGAAGAAGGATGAGAGGATATCTGAAGGACAAGAGATCCATGGACCGAGACAGACCATAGAGACAGAAAGGTCCAGCTGAGCCCCTAGGCCTGTAGGTAAAGCCATCTGAGATGAGCACAGAGCAGCTTCAGTTGACCTATATCCTGCTTTTTATTGTTATTATGATTTTTGCTATTTTAAGCTTTGTGGCAAGCGTACCAGAGGCCTCACTTTACATCTACCCTTTCCTGCGTCCTCATGCTGGCACTGCCATTGTCTAGCTGAGGGACTCAACAAAGCCATTTCAGCTCCTTGGGCCTTTACTTTCTTACCTGTATAGTGGGGCTGATACATAGTATCTACCTCATGGGATAGTTTTGAATATATGATGAGATAATCCACATGGAAATGATTTATAAACTATTAAACAATATAGAAATAAAAAGCCTGGCACTACCAAAGCACGTGGAATATCCCACAAAGATCACATGATCAGAATTTATAAGAGTTTTTCATAAACTAACTGACAGCACTACTGAAAGGAAAATAAAGAAAGCTCACAGCCAGAAGCTATTATGCCTAAATCCTTAACACATCAAAATTACAGGCTTTTATGCATGATTTGGTACAACCTAAGACCCTCTCCAGGAAATGCCTTGTGGTCAGCAGGGTAGGCGAGGGTTTGTAACATTCAGGTGAGACAGAGAGAAACCACTGAAATTCAGCAGGAGAGAGAAAGGAGACCCTTATGATTATAAATTAATAAATATCAAAACAGCTATTTGAAATGGAAAGGGCTGCAGATACCAGGCATATGAAATGGTTCAGTGTTTCTTTAATACAAAATTAGAGATCACTCATTTTTGAGACTTTAATTTTTTCCACTGACTAACCCACGATACTGGCTTATTAGGAAGGAGCTGATTTCATCATCATATCTTTATGTTTTTCTCCCACTCTATTCTTTATCTTTGGTCTGAGAGAACAGGCTCATTCAAGTGCTCCTGTACCGCAAACCTTTTCACGGAGCAGAATTAGAAGCAGAGTCCATCAACTAACATTACTTTAGACCAAAGTGAGACCAAGTCTGATTCCTGATTTCATAGGTTCGAAGAGGTCTGGTAACTTGCCCATGGTCACAGGTCACATTGCTAGTTAATAGGAAAAGGGTTCAACAACTAGGTTTTTGCCCACTTGGTTGGGCCACTCTGGAAGAAAATGAAGCACATGACTTCAGGATTTCCAGTTAAATGATAAAAAGAGCAGGAATACCATTCAGGCAGAATTAGGACCTGTCGTTTCCTAACCAATTACTACCTTGATTCTGTTAGCTTTTGTCTGGGAAGGCAGCAGAACACTGTTTATGGTGAGAATGACTAATTTCATACACAGTTTAACTAGGTGGTTCAATCAAACTGTTCTTTCCTATGAAATTTGATGGTGGGAAATGATTACCATATAAAAAAGGTTTCACTCTGTTTGATTGAGTGATTTCTATAAAGCGTCTATAGCATAATTTCATGGCTGTGAACGTTAATTTCACAACAGCCAACTGTAATTGGGTTCCCAGGCAGAAAAACGGAGCCCTCTCGTCTACAGATTTTGACTTTCTGGTGTGGGGAGGAGGGGACATGGCAGGGAGGGAGTGGAGGGAGGTGGGAAGGGAGAATGGATGGAACCTCACTTGAATGTGCAGATAAAAGTTTAACTTTCTGCTCTGAAAACTCCTGCAATAAGAAACAATAAATTGCTATGCTCATTCGCTTCTGTAAGTGATGATGAGCTGCAAACGCACGCTCAGCTGGGTTTATTTATAAGGGGAAGAAAATTGTGCACTGGATCACCCAGGGAACCTGACCATATTAAATACGACAACATTTGCACAGATTCTTGCCTGCCTCTCATTTCCTTGGAACCTCTGGGTCTTACTGGTAGGGGGGGATACCCCTGAACCATGGGGCTGAGGAGGGCCCCTGGCATCTGACGTCCGCAGCACTAAGGGACCAGAGGGTGATTCTGAGCAGATATTTGCCTTAAAAAGCTAATCTCCCCACCCAAACTGTACTGCCTACCCATTTTTCTCCTGCCTTTTAAATACTGGGGTAATTCGTCAGGGGAGATTGAAGAATAAATTCTGATTTCTGCAGATAATTTTGCCCAAAGAGAATTGCCCAACTTAGAAGGGTACTTTGTCGTCGTTGTTGTTGAATTGGGTATGTACCAGGAGGGAGAGTCAGACTCAGAGATATTGAGGAGATTCAGACCCACGGCTTTTGCAGTGAGCTCTAGAATTCTCTCGTCTCCTCCAGTCCTGGATTCACTGCTCTTCTTCATTGCAGTGGGGCAGAGCAGCTGGAGAGTGAGGATGAGCCTTTAAGGGGTCTTGCAGAGCTTCTTGCACAAAATTATGTCCCCACCACTATGAATAATTCTATCATAAGAGCTCCATTCCCTGGAGTTTAAAATAATTTTTGGTTTGGAAGAATTGTTTTTCAGATGGCAAACATCTCTAGAAAAAGCAAAAACTGTAAACCTTTCTTGGTTAATTCTAGGTCCCTGAGAAATGAAACCCAGGATCGAGACATGGTTCTAGGGAGCTGGACACTCGAATCTGGAAACAACGCACTAATAAGAAGGGTCTGGGCAAATGCTGAAAGGGAATGCCATTCAGCTCCAGTTAACTGTTGGTGTCCCAGGGCCAGTGGACTCTTCCCGGCAGCCCTGGGCCACCCATCTAGAGCAACTGGGGGGAGGTGGGGCAGGATGAAATCGGATGACTCCTCTCTTTGGTTTGCAGCTGACTTCCACTTGTTATCATCAAGCAGTCCAATGGGACATTATCCTGAGGGACGCTCCCAGCTCAACAGCCTGAAAGGAGAATTCCATCCAACAGCTTTCACGGTACCTGCCCCTCCTGAGTCAACAGACATCTGCATCCAGGGAGGGTTTGAAACCCTTCTAGCTCCTCCTCTCCCCAGTCTTCCTATCTTTCTCATCTATTGTCATTGTTGGAAGTGAATCCTATAAACAAACTTTTTTTTTTTTTAATTTACAGTAGCCCTAATTGAATTGTCTTGTCGCATTGTTATGGAGAAACAAGGGTAATTTCCTGTCAGTTATTGAGCTATTTAGCAATTATTTCTTATCATTAGTTTGCAAATTCAAACAGCATCAAATTCTGTTTGCCAAGTTAGAAAGGCATGGCATCACAGGGTACTCTTTGCAGATGCCAGGCCTGTTTATTAGGCATTTTCAGCCACTATCTCCTTCCCTCCTCCCCTCCTCCCAGCCCGTTGGTCTGCAGCAGCTTCTGCAGGAAAGGTCAGGGCCCAGAGGAAATCTGCCTAATGGGTATTTATCTCCTATTGGCTCTCTCATTAGCTAATACAGTAAGCTGTTTCCCATGGGAGTGATGGCCCCAGCAGGGAGCTTGGAGTTGGCATGTGCATCCACCACCACTGGAATTCGGTCACCTGGCAGGCCAGCTTCTACTAAATAGCTAGGAAAGATGTGGATGTGAGCATTCCACATGCCAGCTTTCTCAGTCTGCTCTCTCTGCTTACACCAAGGTCTGCTTCCCTACATCAAAATCGCACTTAATCGCTCATGGCATTCATGCCCAAGAATGCCATAGACATGGTTCCTATCATTAGGAATACAGACATGGGCTGCAGAGGAACATTAATGCAAGCAGAAAATAGTCAGGAGCAGGCTGTTTTGCAAGGGAAGTGGTGGCATTAAGCAATTCTCACCAAGCTTTTCACCTACAGTACTTGCTTTCAAGTGCAATTACGTGATGTTCCCTGAAGACAGCCCTGGAGAGGACAGGGGTTACAAAGTGCACTCTTCAGTGACACCCATAAGAACTGCAACTATTTCCTTGTCTTGGTGATGGGGCTAAGAGGAATTTGTGGTCTGAGGGAGCTACTCTTAATTTGGTATCAAGGGCTAAAACCAACGCTTTTTCTCCCACCCACTGCCTTCATGAGTCACTGGGAAGCTGCCTGGTTGAATCACAAGGTCCTCTGTTCTCTCTACCCCACCACCCACAGCCCTCACTCCCAAAAAGCCAGTAAAATGCTTGGTACATGTAGAAGCTGACAGTATGAGAATTAGCAATGAAGACAAGGACAAATGGTAGTGAGAGTGGGTTGGTTCTTTTTGCTGACTCTATTCACTATTTCTGTGTGACAAATTACTCCAGTATTTAGCATCTTAAAACAACAAATATGTATTATCTCATTGTTGCTATGTGTTAGGGAAACATGGTAATTTGGTTGGGTGTCTCTGGCTCAATACTTAGGAGGCTGAGGTTGAAGTCAAGCTCTTGGAGGCTGCAGAGTCATGGAAGGTTGACTGAGTTCAGGGCACTTACTTCTAAGTTTACTCATGCGGAGGTGGGCATGTGGCCAATCCTGGTACCTCATTCTAGGGTCTTCTCTCTGGGCTGCCTCACAAGAGGGTAGCTGACTTTTCCTAAGCTGAGCAATAAGGAAGAGAACAAGAGAGGGTGCCCAAGAAAGAACCCACATTCACTTTGTCACCCAACCTCAGAAGTGATACCCCGTCACTTTTCCCATCGTGTATTTGTTAGAAGCCAGTCACCAGCTCCTGCCCACACTCAGAGGGAGGGGCTTGCGCAAGGACGTGAATATCTGGAGGCAGGACCACTGGGAGTCCCCTTAGAGGCTGCCCACCATACTGACCTTCAAGAACTCAATGTGCCTCTGGATTTTGCCCTCCTATTTTTTTCTTTCCTTAATTAACTAATTTAACAGTAATTTATGGAACATCTACCACACAAAATGCCTTGTGATAAGTACCATGGGAAATTCAACACTTAATAACAGAGCTTCTTACTTCCCTTACGGGGCCCAAGTTTATGGGTGAGATAAGGTGAGTCTGTCCACAAGCATCCCAAAAGTAGCTTGAGTGCTCAGTAGAGGAACACACGGTGCTCCAGTGACCCTAAGGAATGAAGGGATTCTTTGCAGGACTGTAATCCTGGAAATCTTCCTTCACTCTTTCCATTTCACAAACATGAAGAGAGGAAGAAAGGATGGAGGGAAGAAAGGAAAGATAGAAAGAAGGAAAAAGGGGAAGGGAGAGAGGAAGACAGGGAGAAAGGGAGACAAAAGAAAATTGTGCCAACTTTAGCTTTCTAGATTCATACTTTTTTCATAAAAATATTTTAGTGATTCTTCACTACTATATATATATATTTATATATATTTATATATATTTATATATATATATTTATATATTTATATATTTATATATATTTTTATATATATTTATATATATATTTATATATATATTTATATATATTTATATATATTTATATATATATTTATATATATTTATATATATATTTATATATTTATATATATTTATATATATATTTATATATTTATATATATTTTTATATATATTTTTATATATATATTTATATACATATTTATATATATTTATATACATATTTATATATATTTATATATATTTATATACATATTTATATATTTATATATATATTTATATACATATTTATATATTTATATATTTATATACATATTTATATATTTATTTATATTTATATATATTTATTTATATTTATATATATATTTATATATATTTATATATATATTTATATATATTTATATATATATTTATATATATTTATATATATTTATATATATTTATATATATTTATATATATATTTATATATATATTTATAAAATTTTTTTTTTCGAGACAGAGTTTTGCTCTTGTTGCCCAGGCTGGAGTGCAATGGCGCGATCTCGGCTCACTGCAACGTCCACCTCCTGGGTTCAAGCAATTCTTCTGCCTCAGCCCTCCAGAGTAGCTGGGATTAGATGCACCTGCCACCACACCCAGCTAATTTTTTCATTTTTAGTAGAGATGGGGTTTCATCATGTTGGCCAGGTGGGTCTCGAACTCCTGACCTCAGATGACCCACCCATCTCGGCCTCCCAAAGTGCTTGGATTACAGGAGTGAGCCACGGCTCCTGGTCCTCTACTACATAATATTTTATAACTTAGATGGTATTCAAAGTTTTCCAACTTGTTCTTCCATTACGTTTCCCCTCACTGCTCCCCAACCCCCTACACAAACACTTAAATGGTAATAAGTAATAATTGATGGATCCAGGATTTTAACCCAATCCTGCCAGTTTCTAAAGCTCAGATGGTTTCTACTATACTACCCAGCTCCCAAAATCAATATAACTTGACGACCAGTCATGGGTAGTGGGAAAAAAGACCAGTTTGATGGTCACTTCAGAATCTTCACGTGGAGTGAATCAGGAAATGGTAATGCCACTGATGGAGGTAGTGAGGTTAACAAGGACAGCGTGTTGAAGAGGTGATTCTGGACTTAGCACTTTCAGATTCTGACTAAACCTTTGAAACTTATGGCCTGAAGTGAGAGTGAGCTTGGAAACTGTGGAAGACTTTCAGAGTTGTTTACAGAAGTGATAATTAAGTTGTAGGAGCTGTTGAACTTTCCAATACTGACAAAACCAACATTGTAAGCTATAAACTTATAGCTTACAAACTATATTTGTGGCCTACATATAAGAGACCATAAAAAGGTTAAGCAACAGAACCCCAGGTGACTGCATTTAGCCAGACATTGTTCAATATAAAATAGAGGTAGCCATGGAGAAATTACCTTTCAATAATCAGAGGACTCTTTCTAGTAGAACTCAACCTGGAAGGGGTTCTCTTCCAGCAAAAGACATGGAAATCCATATGAAACTTTATACTACTTCTAGTGGACAGCCTCTAAAATGGCCTCAAGTGATCCCCACCTCCTGGTATTCACACCTTTAAGTAACGTAGAGAGACCCCATCTCTACAAAAATAATTTAAAAATATTAGCCAAGCATGGTGGCACACGCTTATGGTCCCAGCTACTTAGAAGGCTGAGGTGGGAGGATCGCCTGAGCCCAGGAGGTAGAGGCTTCAGAGAGCTAGATTGTGCTAATGCACTCCAGCCTGGATGACAGAGTGAGATTCTGTCTCAAAAAAGAAGGAAATATATAGAGCTATGAAAATGTATATATTTAGCATCATGGGCACTGCTGAGTTTGGCCCATGTGCCACAGAAAACAGAAATACTGAATTTCTGCAATTAAACAGCCCCAATCGAAGGCTAAATATGTATTGACATGATCTAAGTCTGAGAAATGAAGCAAAAGGAAAGGATTCAAACAAAATTCCAGAAAATCTTAAGTGAGAAGAATTAGAAATAAAACCAGAGTACCACTGTACTTATGTCTAAGTATCAATTAAAGTGTGTGGTTCATATAGTAAGAATCCCAGAACCAAACTGTAATGTCTTTCTACCATGACGTGAGTATCTAAACAGCAATCTATTATATTAGCCTGGGTATGATATAAAAAGAGAGCTAACCTGTGTATAAATGCCTGCTATGTGACAGGCAGTCTTTCAAGGGCTTTACCTATCATCGGCGACCTCATGAGGCAGATCCAATTATTATCCTCACATTGCAAATGAGAAAACTGAAGCACAGAAACTTTAAATAACTTGCCCAAGCACCCAGCTAGGGTGACCAGGGTAGGGCCAGGATTTATACACGTGTAGCCTTTGGAATTCTTGCTGCTAACACTATGCTGAGATACGTTTCTGATGAACCTCTTTGTGGAATGGTGAATAAAGGAGCTGAAGGCTGTAAACGGAGGACACTGCTTAGCTTTCCAGAGAGTGTAAAAGACAAGAGAAGAGCTCACCCTTTGGGAAACCTAGACGGAGGGTAGGCTGGACTTCTATTACTTCTCGAGATCTGCTCTCTGCCCCTATCCACCCAGCTCTGTTCTCTGGAAAACTGAATGATATGAAGTGCAACAAATTTCTCTCTCGTCTCGGTTTCTTGTTGGATTTGGTAAACAGGAGGCCAAATGAAGCAATGTGGGAATTTGTTACCAAGGAAAGGCACCTCGATTCCTTGACTACCACAACACTGACTGTCTAATTTTCTTTCTTCTCAAATTGTTTATTCTGGTTCATCAAAATTTTGACTAAAATGCCAGCTACGTATAATGAATTTTCCTTATCAGTACATATTCCCTAAAGGAGCTATTTCACTTCTGAACATTATACAAATTAACAATTACTTTCAACAGCATAAATACACATAATGTTAGCTTCCCTAGGGCCACCAGAGAGCTGACATGTATGAACTGCAACAACTTTCTTATCCTCTGGCTTTCTGTTTAGATTTGGCCAACAGGAGGCCAAATGAAATTGTATATAGATTTATTACCAATGAAAGCCACCCAAATTTCAACAGTGGTAACAAGGGGAGGCCTGCAACTCCCCGATTATTGGGTCATCGTGGATTGGTTGCATCCCCTCTAGAAGATCTGTGCTCCTGCCTGGCAGCTTTGTCTTAGAGCTACCTGCTCCAGGACCTGGTAACCACTCTCTACCTCTGCTCTTTAAGTCCCATGCTTGGGAGCTAGTTCTGATGGTATTATACTATCCCTCATGGGTCCCCTAACCCTGCCCCTCTGTACATTTTATTACAATCCCTTTATTAAACTCTCTTCTCCCCTTTGAATGTGTCAACTGCCTTCCACTGTGACACTGGGTAGGTCTTAAGGTTTACCTACCACATCTAAGAACCTTGCCTAGAGGTTCAGAGGAAGGAAGATTTCAAAAGTAGCACTGTTTAGTGTTACCCACATTATCTTCTCATTCTGTCCCTCTGGGTCTTGAACCAAGCTTTCTTGGAGAGATGGACATAGGGCTCCAATATGAAAAGGTGTATTATCAGAGGTGAGTAAGAAAACAAAACAAGAGGCAACCTGGCAGCCAACTGGACAATTGTAATAGGTACTCAGGGGCACCTTGCAGACAAGCCCAGAGCTCTGTAAATATAAAAATTAACATTTGTAGAGCTGTTTCTCCAGCTCTTTTGCTAGAAAGGACTATAAACCAGAGAATATTGTCATTGTGACCAATTTCCCATGATTATGATCTCAATTGATATGACCCAGGGGAAACTAATGTATGTATTTATGCTGTTGAAAGTAATTGTTAATTTGTATAATGTTCAGAAGTAAAATAGCTCCTTTAGGTATGCTGATAAGGAAAATATATTATACATATGTTGACAAAAAAAGCCAAACTCTAAAAATATTTGAAAAGGTATATTCTGAGCCAAATGTGAGGACCTGTGACCCAGCCTCAGGATGTCATGAAAACAAGACCTTAAGGTAGGTGGGTTACAGCTTGATTCTATAAATTTTTGGAAGATAGAAATTATAGACAGAGACACAAATCAACACATATAAGATATACATTACTTCGGCCCACGAAGGTGAGACATCTCAAAGCAAGAGCTTCAGCTCATAGTTGGGTTCAAAGATTTCCTGATTGGCAAACAGTTGAGAGAATTAAGTTTTGCCTAAAGAGTTGAAGTCAGTAGAAAGAAAAGCTTCGTGTTATGTAGATGAAGCCTCCAGATACCAGGCTTGAGAGAGAATAGATGGTACATGTCTCTTATTAGATCTTAAAAGGTGCCAGACACTTAGTTAAATCAATCTTGGATCAGGAAAAGACCTGGAAAGGAAAGGGGATTCTCTACAGAATGCAGTTTTCCCCACCTCAACAAGTGATTTTGCAAGGCTATTCCAAAATATGTCAAAAAAATATATTTTGGGGTAAAATACTTTGATTTCCTTTAGAGCCTGCTATCTGTCATGTGATGTTATACCAGATTCAGGTTTGAGTTGGTATCTTACTGCTACAAAAAGTCTGTTTAGTCAGTCTTAGGATGTCTGTTTTAACGTTAAAGCTGGTCAGTTGTGTCTGAACTCCAAAAGAGAAGAGATTATAATGAAGCATGTCTGATCACCCCATCCCCTCATTGTTTCCTGTCATGGCCTGAACTACTTTTTCAGGTTTCTTCGGAATCCCTTTGGCTGAGAGGGGAATCCATTCAGTCAGCTGCAGAGCTTAGAGTGTTATTTCTGGTTTACACACAGCTGGCATTTTAGTCAAAATTCTGATGAACAAAAATAAACAATTTGAGAAGAAAGAGAATTAGATAGTTGGTGTTACGGTAGTCAAGGACTTTAGGTGTCATTCACTGGTAATGGATCTCCACATAACTCATGTGACAAAGGCCACTATTAGTTATTCCATTGAACAGCAGGAGCTGGAGCATGAAAAGGGTAACGATCAGTTCAAGTTCATTCAGAAATCCTTGACTCTACTGTCTCAGCCTCACTCTGAAATACATTTTTATAGGCCAAGGATCAGCAAACTTCAACCAGCAATCCAAATCTACCTCCATGCCTATCTTTATAAATAAAGTTTTATTAGAACACAGCTATACCCAGTTGTTTACATATTATCTGTGGCTGCTTTCCACACTGTGTCAGAGTCGAGTGGCTACAATAGAGACTGTATGACCCACAAAACCTAAATTATTTGCTCTCTGGACCTTTACATAAAATAATTTGTGACCTCTAATCTAGACCACCAATAGTTTTGTTTCTTCCTGCCCTTCTTAAAATTCTGATCACAGGCCGGGCGCGGTGGCTCAAGCCTGTAATCCCAGCACTTTGGGAGGACGAGGCGGGCGGATCACAAGGTCAGGAGATGGAGACCATCCTGGCTAACATGGTGAAACCCCGTCTCTACTAAAAATACAAAAAATTAGCCGGGCTTGGTGGCGGGCGCCTGTAGTCCCAGCTACTCGGGAGGCTGAGGCAGGAGAATGGCGTGAACCCGGGAGGCGGAGTTTGCAGTGAGCCGCGATTGTGCCACTGCACTCCAGCCTGGGCGACAGAGCGAGACTCCGTCTCAAAAAAAAAAAAAAAAAATCTGATCACAAAATATCAAATAGTAACTTTCCCTTTCTTCCTTCTTCCCCTTAGACTCTGTAAAGATAGATTATCTGTACACTGTGAAACTTGACTGAACAACTCAGAAACAGCAGGACGGAAAAGGTCAGGATCTGTGTCCACCTAGTTCAAAAGGAAATGATTTTACTTTCTCTAAGCTTTTGTTGGTCACAAGAATCCCTTCACGCTCTAAAACTATGAATGCGAAGAGTCTAAATTATAAGTTTTGTAAATAACTACTGTTGTGTGTTGAGAAAAAAAATGACTTCTTTAAAAAAATTACTGAAGCAATGGAGTAATTGTCTCAAAACTGCCCTTTCAGATGAATCTTCCTACTCATACCAATATCACACCCAAGGCATTAAAAATTTCTCCTGTCTAGTGATCTAGAGCTAGAGATATCACATGGATAAGAAAAAAGCTATGAAAAATTAGTAATAGAAATAACTGTATAATAAAATTTATGTAAAATTTGAAATATGAACTACACATTTGTAGACATGCATATAAAACTGCATGAGAAAGATAAGCATGGAATTTCAGAAAGAGGAATGTCTGATTGGGGAAGGAAGGGGAATATGATCTGGAATGGGTACGTGGGAAACTTCAACTATAACTTATAACTTTTTAATGGGTAATAGAGAAAAGATGTTTATTTTTTTCACTCATTCATTCATTTTTTCATTTAAACTTATTGTGTTTATGAGTTTTTTTAAGTATAAGACGTAAACTCCTTAGTCATTGCTGGCCATCTATAAACTCTTCCAGTCTCATTTGCCGGCACCCTCTCCCTCAGCCATGCTAACCTATAAGCTTAAACTATTCCTTATTTCCACTTTGAGTACTTCTTCTCTGGCAATTTTCTTAACACTGCTATCCAATCTGCAAACTTTTTCCCTTATCCTCTTCCTATCCCTAATGTTTTACATATTTCATGGCATTCCCAGCACACAAAAACTGTTCTTTTTTTTTTTTTGAGCAACTATGATGCCTGTTCTCTAAGGCAACATTAGGCTCCTAGCAAAGAAGCTATAGATGACAAACTCTTCAAAAGAATGGGCTCTATGTTGCACATGTCTGTAACTCCCATAATGACTCTTAGATTTTGGATCCTCAGCAGAGAACGATAGCTTAATAGATATTCTAAAAGTATTTAAAATCCCATTAGATTATGGCTTTGGTCCTTTCCCTTTGGTTCAATGAGTTTGGTACAGCCAAGGCTCCGGGGGCTGTAGATGTCCACAGAACCCCAGTTGTTGCATACCATCCTCAGGAGATGATCTCTTGAGGGAACAGTCCCTGTGCAAAAGAAGCCTGGCCGGGCGCGGTGGCTCACGCTTGTAATCCCAGCACTTGGGAGGTCAAGGCAGGTGGATCATGAGGTCAAAATTTTGAAACCAGCCTGGCCAACACAATGAAACCCTGTCTCTAATAAAAATACAAAAATTAGCTGGGCATGGTGGCAGGCACCTGTAATCCGAGCTACTTGGGAGGCTAAGGCAAGAGAATCGCTTGAACCCAGGAGGCGGAGGTTGCAGTCAGTGGAGATGGTGCCACTCACTCCAGCCTGGGCAACAAAGCTAGACTCTGTCTCAAAAAAAAAAAAAAAAAAAAATAGGAAACTTCCTAGGGTTGCTTGGCTCCATTTTGTGTCCTTCTGTGTTTTGTCCTTCTGAAAATATCTCTCTAGAGAATAATGATGTCAGAGAAGATGGCATAATAAGAAGCACCGAGAATCCATCATTCCAATAAACAAAAATTGTACTGACAAAAACTGTTTGAACTATTTTGCAAAGATGGAGTCTATTTGAATGCTTATAGCATCTGGACGAAAGCTTCGCTGGTAAACTGCAATTAAGAGAGAATCTTAAAGGCAGCAAGAGGAAAGCTACTCATTACATCTAAGTAATTTTTAATAAAATTATTCATTTATCATCCAAGAAACCTTGGAAGCCAGAAGATCGTGGGTTGATACACTCAAAGTTTTAAATGGAAAAAAAAAAAAAACTATCAACCAAGAATGTTATATATGACAAAACTGTCATTCAAAAATAAAGAAGAAATCAAGACATTCTCAGATATTAATAAAAAGGTTGAGAGAGTACATTACTACTAGGCCTGCCCTTCAAAAAATTATAAAAGGAGTCCATCAAGTTGAAATGAAGGGAAGCTAGACAGCAACTAGAAACTGTGTGATGAAATAGAGACCTCTGGTAAAAAAAAAATAAGTACAAGCAATTACAAAAGCTAGTATTATTGTATTTTTGGTTTACAAATCCACTTTTTATATTCTACATTATTTAAAAGATAAATTCATAAAAACAATTGTTAATCTGTTACTGAGCACACAATATGTAAAGACACAATCTGTAACACCAATAACAGGAAGAGGTGAAGAGTAAAACTGTGTAGGAGCAGAGTTTTTGTATACTATTAAAGTTGTACAAACAAACCAGTGTTATAACTTTAGGATGTTCAGGGGAATCTCTATGGTAATTGCAAAGAAAATGTCTATATACACAAAAAGAAATAAGACAAAAATGTTGCGACATTAAAAAATTAACTAAACACAAAATAAGGCAGTATAAAGGAAATAAGGGACAAAAATGCTTTAAGACATGAAAAAAAAACAAAATGGCAGAAGTCTCTCTTCATTAATAACGACTTTAAGTGTAATTGGATTAAACTGTCCAATCAAAAGCCAGAGATTTTCAGAATAGAGTAAAAAAGAAGAACATGATCTCACTCTATGCTATCCATAAGAGGCTCACTTTACATCTGTAGACACAAATAGGTTGAAACTGATAAGATGCAAAAATCTAGTCTATGCAAATTATGACCAAAAGAGAATTGGGATAGTAATACTAATATTAAATAAAATATTGGCAGACTGAGGCAGGCAGATCATGAGGTAAAGAGATCAAGACCATCCTAGCCAACATGGTGAAACCCTGTCTCTACTAAAAATACAAAAATTAGCTGGGTGTGATGGTACACGCCTATAGTTCCAGCTACTCAGGAGGCTGAGGCAGGAGAATTGCTTGAACCTGGGAGGTGGTTGCAGTGAGCTGAGATCGCACCACTGCACTCCAGCCTCGCAACAGAGCGAGAAAAAAAAAAATTAAATAAGATAGACTTTAAACCAAATGAGGTAATAACAGACACAAAAAATGATATATTAACCAAAGATTCAATATAGCAAGAAGATATCACAATTATAAACATTTATGCACTAATAACAAGATGTGAAGAAATTGGAACCTTCTTGCACTGCTGGTGGGAATGTAAAATGGTACAGCCACTGTGAAAAACAGTTTGGCAGTTTTACAAACGATTAAACACAGAACTACTATATGACTTAATGAGGCAGGAGAATAGGGTCTGAAGGCAGAGAACCTAAAGCCGATTTGCACTGACTTCCTAGAACTGAATGGAAAGGAAAACCCCATCCCTCCCCACCTAAGTAAGGAAAGAATAGGAGGCTGCTTCCTTTGCAACGCCCACCTTTCCGCTGCGTCACACATGAAAAATGGAAAGTAACTCTGATCGGTCCCCTTCCACAACCAATCAGACTTGGTCATGGGCCGAGTCTTTACTTACA
The DNA here is from genome assembly GCF_000001405.40 of Homo sapiens. Classification (NCBI taxonomy): domain Eukaryota; kingdom Metazoa; phylum Chordata; class Mammalia; order Primates; family Hominidae; genus Homo; species Homo sapiens. The sequence continues at coordinate 20,856,050 of NC_000008.11, read as the reverse complement.
AAGGGTATAACAAAGCAATCAATGGGAAACCTCTAGAGGATATTTAAACCCAAGAAAATTCGGTAACCAGCCCTCTTGACCCACTTGCTCATGCCTGTTCCCACTCTGTGGAGTGTATTTTCATTTCAGTAAATCTGTGCTTTCTTTGCTTCATTCTTTTGTTGCTTTGTTTGTGCATTTTGTCCAATTCTTTGTTCAAAATGCCAAGAACCTGGACAATTCATAGTCAAGAACCTCCACCAGTAATACCAGCAATTCTACTCCTAGGTGTGTGTGTGTACATATATTTCTCTAATATATACCTCCAAGATATATACATCTATATATAGATACATAGATATATCTCCAAAATAATTGAAAGTAGGGACTTAAACAGATATTTATATACTAATATTCATAACAGCATTATTCATAATAGTTAATAGGTAGAAATGACCCAAATGTCCATTAATAAATGAATAAACAAAATGTGTTTATATACACACACACACACACACACACACACACACACTGGAATATTATTCAGCTTTTAAAAAGGCATGAAATTCTGATATATGCTACAACAGGAATATACCTTGAAAGCACTGTGCTTAGCAAAATAAGCCAGCACAAGACAAATATTGTACAATCCCACCTACATGAGGTACATAGACTAGGAAAAGGTAGAATAGTGGTTATCAGGTACTGGGGGGAGAGAGAATGGGGAGTCTGAAAAAAATAAACAGTTTTTGTTGAGGATGATGAAAAATTTCTGAATATAAATAGTGGGGATGATTACACAACATTATGAATATACTTAAAGCTACCAAATTTTATGCTTATGAATGGTTACAATTATAAATAGTGTGTTATGTTATGTCATGTAAAATAATAAATAGTATGTTGTATATATTTTACCATTTTTTTTAAAAAAAGGTGTCTCTGGAGACAACTCAGGAGCAGAAGAGACAGCTTCACAGCATAAGCAGATCACCCCGATATGGGGAATGAAAGGTCTGAGGCGGGTGGAGTTTGAGAAAATGTTGTAAATGCTTAGAAAACAAAAGTCCTCCTTACCATCCCTGTCCAGATCCTGGCAGAATGTGTACAAAAACACATCTTAATCTGAATCCATCCACAACATACAATAATGATGATACTATGCTTCGAAGAGCTAACAGCAAATCTATATACAAGTTAACGGTAGATAACATGCTATAATAAATTGATTTTTGATACAAAAGTCAATTTTATTGTGGAATGGAAAGGCTTGTCCCCATTCCTGGACAAGTCACCAAAAGATAGACGAATGATGGCAGATCAACTGGAAAAGAGTGTGTTATCAAGCTGTTAGAATTGGTTTTTGAATCCAGTAAACCTTCCCACCTTAGCCTATTTACAGCCATATCTCCAGCATCTGGCAGAATGTTGGCACCATTTAGAGACTCAAAAAATATCTCTTGAATGAAGAAATGGCTTCCACTTTAAACTCCTAAAATAGATAATAGTATATTTATGCCCATATAGATAGTATTTGATGAAGTCACTTATGTATAGCTGTGCTCTTGGTATATATGTCTTGAATAATTTCCTAATGTAGGAAATGGGTGACACCAGTTGGAATCCTTCCCAGATAGAATATTAGGGGGCGAAGCCCTCTAGATGCTGTTAAAATTAATTGGTTAGGTTCAGTAGTAACTGGACTTTGGTCTTTATCTCTGTGTAACATCAGTATCCACTTGTCAATTACAGCTTGCATTGATTCCATCATGAGATTCTTTTGTGTATTTAAAATTCAATAATTTTGTTTTCATTTTTATTAAAAACAATCTTTAAACAGTACTGAAGCAAAAGAATTAATTTGTGCTCATGCCTGTATATAGTAACAATGCAAGGATAACAATGATTAAAGATCCTGAAAGGAAGGAGAGAGGAATAGGAAAAGGCTTCTGTAATGAATAAGCGTAATTCTCATTTACCCTTAGAATTGAAGTCCATTTCAACCATAAGAAGAAAATGCATGTTTTATCTATATAACGTTCCGTTATTGCTATCTCACCTGCAATCTATGTCATAAAACTTTAAGGGTGAAAAGTTTTAAGCTATATTCAGAAATGAGGAAGATCCTGCATAAACAGAAGGAACAGGTAGGTTCACACAAACAGGCACATATATCGGCAAGCTGACATGTACAAATATAGACACCATCCAAAGAGGGCTGTAAGGAGAAAACCATGTCAAAGCTGCTAAATTATTCATCACCTGTTCTGCAGAGTGAACACTATCAGGTAATGATCTGTAATTATTAATAAATAATTTAAACTTTAATAGCTCTGAAATGAAATGCTTAATTGCATCACAACATAATTAATGGAATTAGCTGCAATGTTTAAAATGAGAAATTCTTTTGTCAGTCTTTCTTTTTCACATTTTCCTTCTTCCAGATTCTGGTAACCCAGAGGATAAACAGGATGATTAAACTTTAAGTGTGTGTTTGGTGATGTGTGTGTGTGTTTGTGTGTGTGTGTTTCAGCATGGGGATGTGTGTGTGGTTTTGTTCTGCAATTCTGGATATTGAAGGCATTCTAGGAAGCAGAGAAGTGGACTTGGCTAACTCATCTCTGTCAGTAACCCTAGCAGTGATTTCCCTGCAGGTTGGTGCAGTATTTTATTCAGTAAACAGAGAGCACATACCATGCCCCAACCTTTGTGGTAGGCATGGAGGAGGGGATGGTTTGAAAGGAAAGGAAAGGGTGGTGGCTACAAACATATATAAGATGAACTCCTGGCCCTTTGGGGTTTATGATCTCCTGGAGAAACAGTAGTTATTAGAGGCAAAATACTGACTCTAGTTTACAATTTTTTGGTAAAACTGTAAAGGACTGAGACTAGGATCATGAAGACAAAGATCACTACGTACAAGATTGAAGTTTGTAGGCCCCAATAGCTCATGGGGCTCCAGGTGCCACCCAGCCCCTGGCTCCATTAACTTTGTCACTGTTGGGCCCATAGTGGGTCATAGAACTCTGAATATACCCACTTTAGCACTGGACTTCCAGACTTCCTCTACATTCCCTTCTTTCTGGGAGTCCAGGCTCTCTCCTCATCTTTACTATATCCTCCCAAATCATATAGGCCCTTATATCTTGGCAAGCCTTGAAGGAGACCCCAAGTCGAGAAACGATAAGGAAAGTCAGATTTGAGAAGGATAGAGCTCACTGGGAATGTGTTCCCCTGAAAGGGGAGAGTCAGGCAGGAATGAGTAAGCAGAGACGAAACAGCAAGGATTCTACCGGGTGGGGCAGAAGGAAAGGCAAGAGCAAAGGATAAGAGGGATAGCAAATGTGTTCCACGGGAAGGTCCAGAGGGTGGCTGAGAGTTTCGGATGCAACATCCATGTCTAGCAGATTCTGTGCCAGGTGATTTTCTAGGTACTTTACAGACATTTACTCCCTTAATGTCTCAATAATCCTATGAAAAAATCATTACCACTATCATGATGCCTATTTTACCAATGAGGAAACTGAAGCACAAAACAATTAAGTGATTTGCACAGGGACACACAGCTAGTTGGCAGTGGGACTAAGAATGGAACCCAGTAAGAATGGCTCCTCTGTCCACTCGGTTGCATTCTGTGCTTCTCTGAGTTTTAGCAGTCTAAATTTACAAAGGAGAAAATGGAAGTTTACATGAGAAACTTTAAGACTTATCCAAGGCCAAGTACTATGCAACTCTACCCAAGGGTGACTTGGTCTCAACTCTTCACCGCCAGTGGTTGTATTCTGTCCACAGCCTTCTTCCCATGTCATCAGAGTGGAAGTTTAACAGTGAAAAGGAGACCTAGCCTGACTAACTTCATTTTGCTTCTAACCATCACCCATTATATCTCTTAGGTGAACTGCTTTTGCTTATCTCTGCACGTAGGCCAAGCTAACTATAGGAGGCATTTATTTTGTAGTTTAACTATAAAGCAAGGATAATAGTAGTCCTTTCCCAAAACTAACTCCTGGAGAAATAAGGGTGTACACACACATCACAATTTCATGTTAAAATTTCACAGGAGCATCATGATCAGACCAAGGATAAAGAAGTTTACCCTCATTGCTTCTCAGGTATGTGTGGTCATCAGTCACCTTTTGACATTAACCCCCTCCATCTTCCCCTTTCCCCTAACATAAAAGGAGCCCCAAATTAGCTATGGTTCTTTAGGATGCTAGTCCACCATCTTCTCAGTCTGCTGGCTCTCTGAAATAGTCACTTTCCTTGCCCCAGTACCCAGTCTCTCGATTTATTGGCTGTCATGCAGCACATAGTATGAGCTTTGCACGGGGCCACAGAAGGCATGTGCATGCTTCCCTATCATGCAGCTTTGGGCTTGGCCCTGGGGCTTGTGTTGGCCGATGGGATGTTAGCGGACATGACTTGAGCAAAGGGCTGAAATGTGCTTGTGTGTTTCGGCACACTCACTTGTGCTGCCTTTCTCCATGAGTAGAATATAATCTAGGTAGCCACTTGTTCTTAGAAGTTATAAGACAAGTAGAGCAAACCTGGACCCAGTTCTCTACTTGAAATCAGAGTTGAGCAAGCACAACACAGATGAGTTGACCCATGGTGACCTGCAGTGTCTCTAGGGACCCACAGATCCTTAACCTGAACGAGAGATACCCCAGCTGACCTGCGTACTGGTGTGCACGGAGATAAAAGCTTATGGTTATATGCCATTGGCATTTTGTGGTTGTTTGTTATGTAGCATTATTGTGACAACAGCTGACTAACACTGCTCTACCACTCCACCCTCAGTCATTCTCAGATATAGACACTTAATTCTTTTCCATATTAGTTACAGTGGCCGCTTCAAGACAAGTTCCCAAGCTCTTATTCCAACCAGATGGCTTCCCTCAAGCACTCTGTTGTAAAAATTCTGGAATAACCACAGCATAGCTAACAGTACAGCTGGGATCCAAATCCATCTTTTTGACTCAGAACCCTGTATCTCAGCCACTGAATTAGAGACCCCATCAAATATGAATGAACCTCTGCCCAAGTCCCCAGCTGCAAGTGCCTGCCAAGGGCTTCAGGCTATAGCCCTCAGCCTCGCGATTTATCTATACTACCTCTAAGTCACTCACAGTTCCTTATTTTACCTCTTATTTATCTGAAAGCCTGTTTAGTTCTATGCCTGGACTCCTACTCTTTATCTAGCCCTGAAATACAGATAGCTCAGTTTGAGATAACTTTCCATATTCAATTTCAGCATCATCTCTGAGATGCAACTTCTAGTATTCCCTCTTTAGTCCAAACACACTTTGGTCTTAGGTGAGAAGCTTTCTTGCCTATAAAATTGCTCCCGGCCTGGCTCCTCTCTCATTCATCTAGTTCAGGGGATGAGAGATCTTAAGCAGAGATAAAAGCTCAATTCAAACTCAGATTCTACGCAGAGTATTTAGCACATTGACAGCTAAATCAACAACCTTTATATATGGTCAAAAGGGTTTTGGGTCATGCAACAATGGGGTAGGCCTGTTTGGGAGAAGCCAGGATAGAGAATACAATTCAGCAGATACCACAAGAGCAGTATGATCTGTCATACTTATGTGCAGGCAAGAACCAAAAGTCAGCAGGCTGGATCCAGATTCTGGAAGACTAGAAGGAGAGTAGGCATGGCACCTATGAAACAGGACTGGGAGTTCCACCATATTACCCAGTGGGTTCGGCTGGTATGGCTACAGGGGAACTGGTTTGGCCAAGGCAGGGGCAAGGGTAAAGATTATGAGACACCACATTGTGGCAGGGACCTTGCCGTCCTGCCTTACTTTTCCACACTGGCCATTTCACCCTGGCAGATGACAGAGGTCGATGTGAGTGAGCCAGACCGTCTCTAGAGGCGCCTGCCTGTCCTATCTGGTCACAACCAGTCCCCACACCCCATTGCTTTCAGCATGGCTGGGATTATTTTCTCACATTTCCATACGCTTTTATATTTATATTTATAGTACCACACTCAATCATTTTAATTCTAGCTTTTAGTGCCAAAAGGTAAAAGAGATTATTGGACTTCTTTTTCACTGTATCCATCAGAATCATATTTCCCTTTCCCTTCTTCTCAGCCACCAATAAATTATTATTATTATTGTTATTACTATTATTATGAAAAGAAAACTATATGTAGGTCCAAGATTATATCTAATTTAAGGTATGCTTCAAATATGCTGCACATATTACCCCACAAGATCTATTTTCTATCTGTTTGTATAAAATAAGCTACTGGAGGGTAGATGAGATTTTTCCTAGGGTTATCCTAAGAATAGATAGTGTTTAGAATTCAGTCCTCAGCCACTCTCGAGCAGTATTAGTTCAATCAATTCAGTTACAGCTACCCTGACCCTATTAGACTGCAATTACTCACTTAAACAAACATAACCCCTTTACTGGCGTATCAGAATTGGACCTTTGAGAGGTTCTAGTCCAAACTCTTTAGTGGTATGGAAACTGAGGTTCAGAAAAAGAAAGTTGCTTGGTGGTCTGGAGGTTCCACAGGGCCTCTTTTGTTGTTGGGCAGTGGGGGTGCTGGTGGGAGAGGGTAGTGTAGTTTTTAGGAGCTTGGGCTTTGCAGGTAGAAAGCTTAAGTTTGAATTCTACCTCTGACACTCACTAGCCTTGGGCAACTTAACCTCTCTAAACTGCAGATTTCCCATTTGTAAAATGGGGCTAAAATGATATCTCTCTTACAGGACTACTGTGATCTTTAAATAAGATAACTCATTTGACATCTTTACCATAATACCTGGCCAACTATAAGATTTTAATAAATATTAGTTGCTTATGCAAAGCATGTAATGTGTACAGGGGAGGGTGACCAGGATGCTAAGTAGGTTGAAACCAAGCCTTAAAGACAAGAGGGTTTTTGTTTGTTTGTTTTAAGAATGGAGATGCTTAGCTTCAACATAAAAGGGGAAGAGATCACCTTTGTTTCTTTTTTTGTTGGTGTTTTTTTTTTTTTTTTTTTTGAGACATAGTCTCGCTCTGCTCAGGCTGGAGTACAGCAGCGCAATCTCAGCTCACTGCAACCTCTGCCTCCCGGGTCAAGCGATTCTCTTGCTTCAGCCTCTTGAGTAGCTGGGATTACTGGCGTGCGCCACCGCACCCGACTAATTTTTGTATTTTTAGTAGAGGCGGGGTTTCACCATACTGGTCAGGCTGGTCTCAAACTTCTGACCTCGTGATCCACCTACCTCAGCCTCCCAAAGTGCTGGGATTACAGGCGTAAGCCACCATGCCCAGCCTGAGACCACCTTAATTAAACATTTTAGGGACTATTCTTTTCAAAGGGCTTAAAGGTATTCTCTTGGCTCCAGAGGACAGAGTCGATGCCCACAGCTTTGATCAGGTTACTCAATGATTAAAACCTTCAAGAATTCTTGATTATCTGTGGGAACAAATCCAGTAAATCATCCATGATCCTTGGTGATTTGGCCCTTGCAACAGTTTCCAACCTCTGTTCTTATTACTTCCCTTCATGGACTTTGTGCCTCTGTCAAATGGAACTATTTACTCATCCAACCTATGGTTTCTTCTCTTCACATCTTTAACCATTTTGTTGTTGCTTTGCTCTGATTATTTCCACTTATCAAATCTCATTTCCTCTCCAAACCTCCTGACCCATATCCCGAAATAACTTTGCACCCCTGTGGTCTCCCGTAGCATTCATTCATGCTTCTGTGGTGCCTGGGCCTTTATATGTTAGCTTATTTTGGTTAATGCATCCCTCACCAGTCTGTGAGCAATGTGAGGACAGGCTCCGGCCCTAATCTCTTCCTCTCTGGTTCCCCAGCAGTGTCTGACACAGTCTCTGGAAACCACAGAAGTTCTTGGAGTTGGTTACAGCTGCATTTCCCACTGGCTCTTCCAGTTACAAACTTTGACTTGAAGACATTTCCTAAACCTCTGTACCCCTAGCCCTCCTCTACGAACTGGGAGTCATAGAACCTACTTTTGGACTGGGCATGGCTTCTAGAAACGGAATTCCTGCCTTGGCCCCCAAAGCCACCCTGTTTAGTTCTTGAGTTCACTCTTTACTCCTAGCTGAGGCCTCTATCCAAATACTTCTTGACTCTGCCTTGGTAAACTGGGCAGAGGTATGCATAAATCTCATGTGTACCTGCACACCCATTCTTCACTCTGAAAGTCTATGTCGGAGTTAGATGTGAGCAGATTACTCATGCCCTCTGTCTCTAGGTCCACCTTTAACACCCAGACCCTCAAAAACCACACAAAAGGTGAATGAAGCAGAAGGAAAATGAGTGAAAATGAACTAGAGCCAGTGGTTAGGAGTCACGTGAAAGCAGATTCAGCTCAATACTGGGAGATCTTCCAAAACCAAAAATTGCCCCCAGAGGAAGGGGCTCTTCTGAACTAATGAATTCACCCATTGGAGGTCCTCAGGAAGAGGTCAACCAAGCACTTGTCAGCAATACTGTAGCAGACAACCATTTTTTTAAAAGGGGCATTGGTCTGGTGTTCTGCTTCCAGGATTCTTGGATTTGGACAGGAAAATAAGCCTGGATCATCCAGGGACCAAGGCTCATCTAACAAGAATCCCTGGAGCAACGTTTGGTTTGGTTACCTTTTTGCATGTACCTATCTCAAGTAAGTGCTCTTCTATAACCTTTAACTTCAACCAAATAAATCTGCCTAGTGTCTTCTAAAAGCTGAGTGTCCTTTTTTTTTTTTTTTTTTTTGAGACAGTGAGACAGTCTCACTCTGTCATCCAGGCTGGAGTGCAGTGGCACAATCTTGGCTCACTGCAGCCTCTGCCTCTCGGGTTTCAAGCGATTATCCTGCCTCTGCCTCCCGAGTAGCTGGGACTACATGTGCACACCACCATGCCTGGCTAATTTTTGTATTTTTGGTAGAGACTGGGTTTCACCATGTTGGCCAGGCTGGTCTCAAACTCCTGGCCTCAAGTGATCCACCCACCTCAGCTTCCCAAAGTGCTAGGATTCCAGGTGTGAGCCACCATGCCCAGCCACTGATTGAACTTTCACATGCTGTGCCTTTTCCACTACCTGACATGCCTTCTCTGTTTCTTTTCATCAATCTTCATTGTACTCTATTGAGGACCCAACTAAAAGTTCAGTCTCTTTGGTGATGTCTTCTGAAATTACACACCCATTGCACTTTGAAATCTGAATGTTGACATCCTCCCAAAATTTATGTGGTGGAACCTAATACCCATTGTGATAGTATTAAGAGGTGGAGCCTTTGGGGAGTGATTGGGTCATGAGGGTTTCACCCTCATTAATGGGATTAATGTCTTCATAAAAGAGGCTTGAGGCTGGGCATAGTGGCTTACGCCTGTAATCTCAGCACTTTGGGAGGCTGAGGTGGGAGGATCACGAAGTCAGGAGTACGAGAGCAGCCTGGCCAATATGGTGAAACCTTGTCTCTACTGAAAATACAAAAAAAAAAAAAAAAAAAAAAGCCATGCATGGTGGCACACGCCTGTAGTCCCAGCTGCTTGAGAGGCTGAGGCAAGAGAATCGCTTGAACCCAGGGGGCGGAGGTTGCAATGAGCTGAGATCACACCACTGCACTCCAACCTGGGTGACAGAGTGAAATGCCATCTCAAAAAAAAAAAAAAAAAAAAAAAAAAGACTTGAGTGAGCTCCCTTCCCCTTTCCACCATATGAGGTACCAGCAAGAAAACACTATCTTTGAAGCAGACAGTGGGCCCTCACTAGACATCAAATCAACTGGTGCCTTGATATTGGACTTTCCAGCCTCCAGAGCTGTGAGCGATAAATTCCTGTTGCTTATAAATTACTTAGTCTAAGGTATTTTGTTATAGGAGCCTGAATGGACTCAGAAAAAATCTACGACTTTCTGTCTTCAAAATAAACCCATCATCTGTCCTCTGCTCTTCTCCCCCATGGCTACATCGGGTCCCAACCACCATCATTATCTCTTTCCTAGATTACTGCAATGCTTCCTAACAAGTGCCTTGTTTTGCTTCTATCTCCTGGGGCCAGGTATTACAACCAAAATAATCCTTTTAGAACTCAGAAGGTCATGCCACTTTTTTTTTCTCAAAGCCTGCAACTGTTTCACATTTTCCTGGGAGTCAAAGCCAAAATCGTTCTGGTTCCCTGCAGAACCCTACAGGACCTGGCCTCCAGTTACCATTTGGGCCTTTTCTCCTACTTGCTCACCTTCTGCTCTGTTTCAACATCCCCCTTGCAAAGCTTTCCTTAAAACCTCTGGTTGGACGCCCCTTCTAACTGAGATGCTCCCTCTAGATCAGTGCAGTCATCACCCCCACTTCTTTCAAGTCTTCACTCACCTACTTCCTTCTAATTGAGGCCTACGCTGATGGCCCCTGCTATGGGTTGAATGTTGTGTCTTCCCTAATACTTTAATACTTTGAATCCTAATCCTCAATGATGGTATGTGGAGGTGGGGCCCTTAGGAGGTGATTTGGTCATGAGGGTGCAATTCTCATGAATGGAATTAGTGCTCTTATAAGAAAAGAAAGAGACTAGAGCCCTCTCTGGGCCACATGAGTATACAATGCAAAGGTGACTGTCTTCAAACACCCAATCTGCTGGCACCCTGATCTTTGACCTCCGAGACTCCTAAACTATAAAACTAAATATTCGTCATTTAAGCCATCCAGTTAATGGTATTCTTGTTATAACAACCCAAGCTGATTAAGACATCTCCCCATGTTTAAAAGTTCAGTCCATCCCCTTACCATCTTATATTACATTATTAACACATTTATTATGTTTACTTTCATTATTTAATGTTTCCTATTTTTAAATGCTGTTCTTCTAAGTAATCGGTAAGCTTCTAAAAGATAGGAACTCTCTCCTATTAATCTTTTAGCATGTATCATATATTCTCAAACTTAAAAGCTCACTTAGATTTATTGCTAAGATGATCTCATGAAAATGAAGCAGCTGTTTTGGGGTGACTGGTTTAAGCAAGAAAAACTCATTCTTTGAGCCTTTGGTAGGAAAGCAGGGCCATCCTAGTGAGTCAGCATTTATTGAGCACCTAGTGTTAGCCGACTTCTGCCCCAGGCTCTAAGAGAGAACTTGCTAAACCACCCTATCTTCCTGTGAAAAAAAGGTTGAACCAATGATATGGATCATCCAGGGCTTTGTATTTTCCTGTGCCCAAATTTCCCAAACTAGTATGGTTGCATTACCTGGACAATTTAGAAACATATGTCTGTAGGAGATGACAAAGACTCTTTGCTTGGCAAGACATTAGTGAGACTTCTAGCCCTTCTCCTAGCTCAAGGCTACATTTCCTTCTACAGATTGATTCCGTTTAGCAAAATAACTCTCCCAAGTCAGTTTAGCCAGAACTGCCCATCTTCAATATTGAATCATCCTCAATATCTGATCAGGCTCCTCCTCCTTTACCATCTTCCAGGTGGCCTGTTGATATGGTTTGGATGTGCGTCCCCTCCAAATCTCATGTTGAAGCATGATTCCTAGTGTTGGAGGTGGGTCCTAGTGGGAGGTGTTAGGGTGGTTTGGGGCCCTCTCTGCAGTAATCAGTGAGTTCTTGTTTTCTTAGTTCACTGGAGAGCTGGTTGTTAAAAAGAGCCTGGTACATCGTCCACTCTTAATTGCTCCCTCTCTGGACATGTGACACATCAGCTTGCCCTTTGCCTCTCGCCGTGAGTGAAAGCTTCCTGAGGCCTTACCAGGACCTAAGCAGATGCTGGGGTCATCCTTGTACAGCCTGCAGAACCATGAGCCAAATAAACCTCTTTTCTTTATAAATTATCCAGCCTCAGATATTCATTTATAGCAACACAAAATAGACTAATAAACCTGCCTTCAGCAAGAATTTTGTCAAACTTAACCAGAATCTTCCTCGCTCTTGGTATTTCCTCGTAATTTTTCACCCACTGACCCCCACACTGCTTCTTGGCTATAAATTCCCACTTGCCTAATGCTATGTCTGGAGTTAAGCTCAATCTCTTTCCCCCACTACAAGACCCCATTACAGTGGTTATAACTATCACAATGGTTCTGAATAAAGTCTTCTTAAACATGCCTTAAGTATCACTGAATATTTTTTTCTATAGCAGAGGAGGATTATATATTTTCTGAATTGTTAACTCTGGATAATTGTTTGAAATGTCATTGCTATTGAAACCCTAAGTCAAATTCAGTTGCCTGGGGCATATGATCAGAGCCTCATTTAATGAGTGTTGGTTAAACAGAGGCTATCAGAAAGATGAAAGTAAGAAATTATTCTGCCTGTGGAAACATGCTTTCGTTTCCTGGGAAGAATACACAGTTGTCCCACCCAACTGAGCTAATTCTAAAACTGAGAGAAAAAGAAGCAAAGGATCTCAGTGGACCATGTTCTATATGAACTTTGTCTGCCTTGCCAGAATGCTCTGACACTGCTTCTCATCCTGGCCCATTTTCTGCCTCCAGAGGGTCCTCTGTACACCAGGATATAGGATTTCTTCCCCACAAAGCTCTGCATTCCAACTGACTTCTTGGTTGCCACAGAATAGATTGAAGTTTAGGTAAGACACAGAAGATTACTAATGGAGCAGCTACTTGTATGTGCAGGAATTAACATGCTATTATTAATAATTAGAGGAAACATTTATTAAGCACAAGGAAAATATTTGACACAGACCAGGTGCAATAGCTCATGCCAGTTATCTCAGCATTTTGGAAGGCCAAGGCAGATCACTTGAGCCCAGGAGTTCCAGACCAGCCTGAGCAACATGGTGAAAACCTCACCTCTACAAAAAATTCAAAAATTAGTGGGGTGTGGTGGCATGAACCTGTAGTCCCAGCTACTCAGAAGACTGACATGAGAGGATCACCTCAGCCCAGGAGGTTGAGGCTGCAGTGACCCGTAATCGTGTCACTGCATTTGAACAATTGTCTCAAAAAAAATTTTTTTGACACAGACACATCACAAAAATAAGGGCAGTTTCAACCCCACACCCAGTGAATTTAAAACTTACATTCTGCTTCTGCACAGCTGCCACTGCAGAACTGCCTGACCCCCAAGATACAGTTCCAAGACCTCTGACAGTTGTCATTTTGGTTCAGGCAGTCTCTTGTTGAATGGCTCTAAGTTGCTTGACCTCTCTGGAGTTTGTGATTCGGGATTTATTTATTTATTTATTTTATTTATTTATTTATTGAGACAGAGTCTCACTCTGTTGCCCAGGTTGAGGTACAGCGTCGTCTTGGCTCACTGCAGCCTCCGTCTCCCGGGTTCAGGCAATTCTCCTGCCTCAGCCTCCTGAGTAGCTGGGACTACAGGCATGCACCACCACACCCAGCTAATTTTTGTGTTTTTAGTAGAGATGGGGTTTCGTCATGTTGGGCAGGCTGGTCCCAAACTCCTGACCTCAAATGATCCACCCGCCTCGGCCTCCCAAAGTGCTGGGATTACAGGCATGAGCCAATGTGCCAGGCCAGTTTGTGATTTTTAAACACTTTGTTTAAATAGCTATCACGCATGTATATGAAAACAAAATAAACTCCCCCCGCAATATACGCAAAAACCTAGTACTTTGCTCAATGACCTGTGAATGTCCACCCTCAACCTCCACTTCCTGCATTCCCCAACCCTCTTGGTCAGACTCAAGGTCTGCCTCCAGCTTTCACACTGCTGTCTAGACCTGGCTTCTCAGCTGCCAAGGACCAGACAGGAGTGTCTTACATTCCTACACGCCTTGTCTGGCAGTTATGATGTCTCCCAGGGCACATTCCATACCACTCTATTTCAAAGTGTATCACTTTATGTTATTCTTATTTCCTGATTTGCTTGCGTTACTCAGTAGACTGTGAGATCCTCAAGGACAGAGAACATGTTTTATTCATCTTTGTTTTTCTTACAGTGCTTATTATGATGCCTGGCCAGAATAGGTCTCAATAAATGCAGGTTGAATGAATGTCCCTCTGAAAATTGCCAGCATGTACGCAGTCAGTCTTCCAGCGGACTCCTGATGGCTTCCTGGGTTTGTTTGTTTGTTTGTTTGTTTGTTTCCCTAAGCCCCTATGCTTTAGTTCTGGGTTGAAACAGAAGGGATAAGTTTGCACAAAAGCAGTAAAGGGCTTAAATCAATGATTCATATAGTGGCCACTGAGTAAATGCACATTGACGAATGAATGCCTGACAAATGGAATTGCTGATGAATGAAGGAGACTTTATGGCCCCTCCTGTCTAGAGCAGCCACTTCTAACTTTCTTCCTAAGCTTAATGCTGCCTCTTGCCACTGCCCACTTAGTAATCCATGGGTAGACACCCGCAGGCTGATGTGCCTAGCTTTAAAAATACCTTTTCTGTGCCAAGGCCACCTGATTCATAAGGGTGACCAAGTGGCTTCTCTGTGTCCTAGGCCATCAGGCACCTTCAGCTATCCTAGTAATCCAAGGAACATCTTATTAGTAGGACCAGAATGAAGTCCAGATTCAGAGAGTTGGACACACAGGTATACACAAAAAATTAAAGGGCCGCAAGCCTCCCCCAGGTTGTGTGACTTCTCTAAGAAGTGCTTCCTATGCTTTTGTGTCTCTTAACCCTTGAATATCAGCCAGTCACTAACTCTCAAAGGCTTTCATCACAACCTCTTTCACCTACCTCCTCCCTCATCTTTTCCCAAGGAAAAAGAGTGAGTTCTAATATGGAGATAGCAACAGAGAAACCTGCAGGAAAAATAATAGAAGACCTCACCTATTCCATCAATTCCACAGTGTGACCTTGAAATAAGAAAAACAAAACCACAAAGTACTCTTAATAATTATTAGGTTCTTATCATGAGCAAGGCATAGAGTTTTAAATGTAGCATCCCATTTCATACTTTTAATAATCACTTGGAGTAGTTGACATTCTCCCCATTTTGCAGTTGAGAAAAGTAATTTTTAAAGACGAGATTTTTGCAGATGAGAACTCACTGTTTTGCTAACAGTTAAGCAGGTGATGCAAAGCAAAGATAAGTCTTGCTTAATAGCCTCATAGTGGCCTCCTGTGCATAGCAATTGCCCTCGGCAAACATTGCCCTCAACTCTATCCTGAGTCACGATACTTGATCATTTCCTAGTTCCAGATATGAGTACTCGTCTTGGTTGAGTTAGTTTTCCGCTAAGTTGAGAAATGGAAAGCTATTGCTTTTGAAACCACACAGCTCTTCTGTCACTGCTCATGTTAGCCTTCATGCTCAACATTCCTCAGAATTCTTGAAGTCTTCTCCCCAAAATTCTCTGCTCCGGAGTACAGCTCTCCAACTCCCAGCCCACTCTTTTCCTTGGGGCCCCATGCCCAAAGGCTGTTTCCTCCAAGGAAGTCTTGAGTGACCTGGGCCCTCAATTCTAACCCATTAGAAGACTGGCCAACGTACTGCAAAAATTTCCAGTAAGTAGCTGAAAATTTTCTAATACGTAGCTGAAGTCACTCCCTTCTGGCTTGTGATACCATATCTAAACCCATAAAATGAATTATTTACTACTGGGCCTTTTATGCACTATTAACAATTCTTTCAATATTGACACACCTTTCCTTCAAGTTTAAAACTGTGATTTTCATACCATATGTACTCAAAAACGGCAAAGGAAAGAGAGAAGCAGGAAGATGGGAGGGAAGGAGAGAGGACAAGGATGGGAACGGAAATTCATGCAGGTAAGTTTTCCTTCTCTTCCTTGTAGGAAAACAGTAATTTGGATTTCTCATTATATGAGCCTCTTATTTTCCTGCACAAAGTAGTTCTATCCTATTCGTTCTGGAGTAGAAAAAAGATGCTGCACAGCCACACACCCTGCCAGTTTGGGATGCAGAAATGATAGGGGACTATCTCAGCAACAAAGCGGGAGGAGTGCATGTCGGCGGAATGCAATCAGCCAACGTCAAGTCCAGCGAGGAAAACTCGAGTTAACAATGCCCCTCTGCTTGCGAAAATTGTAGTGGCTGGAAAGGAAAAATGCATTTGAGAATATAGTCAGTAATAAAGTGGCTTCACTGGGAGGCAAGTTATGAGAAGAGAGACATTGTGAGTTAGATAATAGGGTTTAAGGTCCAAGGGTCTTCCTGACAGAGACAAGGAAATTCAAGGTGGGAGCTGTCACTGAGGGACAGTGTGGTGCAATGGAAAGAGCCCAGGCCTTGGCTAGATCCTGGATAGAAGTCAACCCCATTGCATTTGGTGGACTAAGCAAATTCCTTAACTTGCATCAGACTCAAATTCTGGGTCTCTAAAATAACAACAATAATATTTACCTTGGAGGGTGGCTTGATGATTAAATGAGTTAATATCTGAACAGTTTCTGCTAAATATTAGTTGTTTAGTAGATGTGCCCTTATTTTCCCCTTGAAACCAGGCATAAATGTTGTTTTCCCACCTTAGCACCACGTGAGACAGAATTGTAAAGTAGAGAGATGAACAGTTGGAGCTAAAGAAAAACTGAAGGGCATCTAATTCAATCCTCTCATCGTATAAAGGCAAAAAGAAAAGTCCAGTTTAATAACATGGTAGAAAACTTCCCAAAACCCAAAGTGATGGTGTTTACGTGTAACAGTTCAGATAGTAGGAGACCCAAGGGGCTATTCTGGGGCAAGAGGTCCCTTCCTGTTTCTCAGGCTCCTTTAGGATCCCATCCCCAGCACACAAATCCTATTGCTTCTGTAGACGCATTTGATGTGGCTACAACACACACCACTTTAAGTTTGGATGGTGATAGCCATCCTTAGGACGAAGGTGGTCTCAAGATATGGTGGGTTATTTCCACTTCATGGTGCTGAGACACCACATTAAGAGATCTGAAGCCACTGTTTGGGAACCAGCTTTGAAACTTACAAGCTATGAGACCTCAAATAATTTAACTGACTGCTCTAAATCTCATCTTCAAATTTGGAAATAATTATATTACCAACCTCACAAGGTTTATTTTAGAATCAAATGAGATCATACACGTATCAGAGGTGACAGATGATTTTTTTCAAATTGCAGAAGTCTTGTAAATGATAAAGTACCAGGCAAATGCCATCAGGATAAACATTTTAGCATGAAGCTTGATTCAGAGTGTCTAACTGCAAATCAAATGGCCCAGAATTTCAAACTTTAGGTGGTCTTGGTGACTCTTGTTTTAAACAATAAATGAAATACTTGTCAAAGAAGAAGAGATAGAAAGAAGCAAAACAATTCAATGATTTCTTTCATGCCCACTAAGAAGCTTATTTTGTATCCTGAGGTGTATTTCAACACCATCAGGTTTCGTTCTCTGTGTTTGTAACACACCTGGCACATCCCCAGTCCTCAAGGCACTTTTGAGACAGATTGAACCTCCTGTTTTATTGCTGTGGCTGGCTCACCAGCCACTGCCCTCGTCTCTTTACTGCCCAAGGAAGCACAGGTGTTGCTGGGTCCCACATGGACTGGATCCTCCTGTGAGACCCACTGACCAAATAGTTGGCCCATACTGAATTCCCCAGGCCACGGCCCATTTGGGGTGGAAGGTCACCCTTCCCAGTAAGGAGACTGCAGTGGTAACAGTTGTTAATAAATGCAGCTCCATGGCCAGCGGCTGGCTTGGAGCATTTTATTAGGCAATCATATATTTTCATTAGTGATGGTGATGAAGCACTTAGGTTTTTATGGGGTGTTTTAATGTTTCATTTTGCCACCATACTTTATTATTGCGCCAGCCTATTGCCTGCTGGGGCAGGTCTTGCCCGGTCTTTTCTTCTGTGCAGAACGCCTTCCAGACATTTCCTTTCCCCATGCTTCAGCCATAAGATTACCTCCCATCTGCTTAAGGAGACAGCAGGGCCATTAAAGGCCATGAAGTCAATGACAAACCTAGCTCATAATTTTTATGTCCTTGTTATAACCTGACACCCCCCAGAATGTTATCACGAAGTTAATGGTTTAAGTTAAGCAGGAAAAATCAAGACAGTCTCACAGTGGACGCCTGGCTCTTGGTTTGCGACACTGACTAGGCTGAAACTGCTTGGGGAATAGGAGGTGGCAACTTCTCTCTGCTACCTGTAGAAATGAACTGAGAAATGTAGTGTTAGAAAGGTCGTTGGAGGTTATCTAATCACCACACCTCCTCTCATTTGACACAGGAGGGACCTGGAACCTAGGGTGGAAGGTGACCTGCCCAAGGTCACACAGGATGGAAATTCAGACTTCCAAGTCCCAGATCAAGGTTTGTCTCCTGGGCTGTGCTATCTTCACAGTCAGGCAAGGTTCAAGCTCTGAGCTTCAGGAGGCTCAAAAGAAACAGTCTCCATCAGAGGTTATCAGAGGAGACTTAAAGGATTCACCAGCTTATCCACCGCTGGATTTGGCAGACGAGGAAATGGAGTCTCTGCTGCCAGTCAAACCAGTTCCCAAGCCAGACAAAAAACACTGTCTATTCATAGGGGAGCAAGGAGCCTGGCATGACTGGGGCCCCCATAAGGAATGTGATCTCTTTATGAAGTACTTGCAGTTCCTAGTACAACGTTATCTCAAAACATTTGCAAAATTCTATTTCTGTGCCATTGTGGGTTACATATAAAATTATAGATGAATTATTGCAATAACAACTCTGCATTTTCTGGACGGTGGCAAATCAAAAGAGCCAACGCTTTACAGTCAAAAAAGCAAGGGTTCAACTCCTGAATCTACCCTGTACCAATAGGACGATCTTGATTATCAGTTTCCTACTCTGTAAAATGGAGATAAAATCCTCCACCTTAACGTATTGAGAGAATTCGGCCAGGCAATGTGTGTGAAAAGCTTTGCCGCCAGCACAAAACCACAAAATATATGGTAGTTACTGTAATTAGCATAATCACAAATAGAAAGAAAAGAGTTAGGATTGTGGTATATGTGACTTTCAGATCCCCTTCATAATCAATGGTTTCTTTCATTCTTACATGCTTAAATGGAACTATAATGGACATGAAGAAGTTATAAGAGCCCCTTGACTTTGCAATCTGTGTAGCTATGGATACACAAATTCTCACAACACATAATGGTTAAAATAAGTTGGTGATGGTGACATTAGAGAAGGAAGCAGGGCAAACTGGAAGGTTGATTATCAGAAAGGGATCCAAGGTGAATGCATAAAAGAGGAAATCAAGGCAGCCATAAAAGGAACTCCTTTGTTCTCCTAAGCACTTAGCAGTGTTCAGTATATGGTCAGTGGCCAATAAATGTTTGTGAAACACTGAATGAAGCAGGCTGGAAGACCAGGAAAGATGTCCCTGTCCTCTTTCCAGGAGGGGACTGCAGAGAAGAGGGTTGGGAGGATGCCAGGAGAGGGTCCTTGTTTTCTTGTACAGCAAGAGCCCCAGCTGCTAACAGGATTCAGAAGGAATGAGAGCTGCTATCATTGTTGTACCTATATCAGGGTAACTTTTGCAGAACACCCCAAGACAGTTCCATAAAATATTTCCTGGAATCTTTCCACGGCAACTTCTGAGATATAAGACAACAAATCGTAAAACTCTCCAGACATGGCCGTATGTGCCTGCAGCCCAACTAGTTGGGAGGCTGAGCTAGGAGCAATGCTTGAGCCCAGGAATTTGAGTTCAGCCTGGGCAACATAGTGAGATTCCATCTCCAAAAAAATTTTTCTTTAATTTTAAAAAGTAGATATATTGAAGCAAACTTACAAAGATTGGTTAACAGAGGACACTATTTTACACTTAAACCCAATTACATATAAAGAGAAGACCACCTAAAGACAGAGAGATATCGGAGGCTTAGTCTGTAGATCCTATCACCTTACTTATAACCCATGAACCCATGATACTCTAAGCTTTTCCCTAAGTGAACACAAAATACCTTAGAGAGTACATCTTTTGCACAGGAATCTATTCATTTTCAACCACTGAAATTTCTACCCTGTGTGCTCCTAATCGTTCTGCCTGAGTTACCCTCATTTCCTCCAAGGAAGCACCAGCTTCTGTAGCTGTGGTCCCACCTACTGGCAACTGAGTAATCATGCAAGAGACTGGCAGGTGTCCACTCCCACATTGCTGAAGGGAGAAACAACCAATCATCTGCCGATATACCCATTGCTTTTCTACTCAAGACCAGAGTTGCTGGTATTCTGTATTCAGCACTCAGGAACTCTTCGCTTTTAAGTTTTCCAACACTTCATCATTTGATCACATACATGTTGGTACCCTTCCTGTTGTACCTCCTCACGGATGCAGGATGTCCCCTGAAGCTCCATAGAGAAAATTTAAAGTTGCAAAGCAAAAAAAAAAGGGTCAGGTTCTAGGGAGCGTTAGGCACCTATTCTGTCTAATCATTTTACCTGCCATCATTTTGCTGTTCCCAAAGGAATGCTTTCCATACTGAAGTCCACAAAGGAGCTCATCAGATGGGTCAGCCATGCTGGTGCCAATTTCAATTTGCTCATCTACTCTCTTCCTGCCTGTTCCAGGGAGGTGGTTGTCAAATGGAAGGACAGACATCTGGGTGGAGTATATTTTGCAACATGTCCTTCAGTTTTGGACTTAAGCAAAGGCTTCTCTCCTTAGAAAAGATGCCTACCCTTAAGCAAAGGGCTACTGGGGATTCTTATACACTCTGTCTTTTTTTTTGAGACAGAATCCCACTCTGTTGCCCAGGCTGGAGTACAGTGGGAAAATCTTGGCTCACTGCAACCTCCACCTCCCGGGTTCAAGCAATTATCATGCCTCAGCCTCCCAAGTAGTTAGGACCACAGGCGCATGCCACTGCCTGGCTAATTTTTATATTTTTAGTAGAGACAATGTTTCACCATGTTGGCCAGACTGGTCTTGAAGTCCTGGCCTCAAGTGATTCACCTGCCTCAACTTCCCAAAGTGCTGAGATTACAGGTATGAGACACAATGCCTGGCCTCTTATTCACTCTTGATTAGGATGGATTATATCCTCACATAACCACCAAGGCATTCATATTTTAACATAGCAGTCTACAAGAAACAAAACCAGTAAATGTCATTTGTGCAAAAATAAATATGCTATGTATTCTTGAGAGCTTCCTACTGGTGATAAAGGTGGGTCTGTGAGCAGTGATTACCAAGTTCTCATTGGCACAGAGACTAACATCAGAGCCACTAGTGAAGCTGAGGGCTTGCAAGATCTCAGAAAAGGGAATTCTGAATGGAATAACCTGCTTTGATTTTTATTTTACAGAACTGCACCACTAACTGATGTCTAAAAATCACCCAAACTATTAATAGCTAGTCTGGATTATATAAATGACATTTATTTATGTGTTCTGGCCCTTTTCACTTTAGATACCTTTTTCTGGTGAAGAAAGCTTCCTCTGCCGTAACTGGACCTGCAGCCTAAACTTCAGATTGTCTTTCACTCTCTTGACCTGCACACGCAAGAGCTTTTCTTTCACCAACTAGTAACTTTTGCTTGATTTGATATATGCTTTTCTTCTCGATAATTGTTTCTCAATGTTTGATTAGTCCTTCCTTGCATTCCTTTCTTCTCTCTTTATCTAGGGTTAAAGCTACTTCCTCTCAATCCCCAGACTAAATTTATTACCTTTTTCTCTAAAATGAAGATGCAAGTATTTGTTTTGCTCAATAGCTATTTTTTAGTTTACCATTAAAATCACAAATCCAAAGCCTGCAAGGGCTATGCAAATAATGTAAATGAATGAGGAAAGTCACGTATAAGACAATACAGAATGGAAATCTGCAGAGCATATGTCCCTGGAAAATGCATGCCCCATCCAAAGACATTGGAAATAATTTTTTCATATCATGCACCCCAAACAAAACACACATGCTGACTGTCTGTAGGCTCTAAGTCTGCAACACCTGGTATGAAGTATCTGATGCAACCTTTGCCAAGGGGCACAATAAATAGCATTCTCATTTATTATCAAGATCTGTGTCCCTTACGTGGCCAAACTGTTAAAATGACTATGTATCATAGGGCCAGGCATGGTGGCTCACGCC
Organism: Homo sapiens; assembly: GCF_000001405.40. NCBI lineage: Eukaryota > Metazoa > Chordata > Mammalia > Primates > Hominidae > Homo > Homo sapiens. Next base: position 20,834,120 of record NC_000008.11, on the reverse strand, counting down.
TGTAATCCCAGTGCTTTGGGAGGCCAAGGCAGGTGGATCACAAGGTCAGGAGGGCAAGACCAATCGGGCCAAGATGGTGAAACCCCATCTCTACTAAAAATATGAAAAAATTAACTGGGTGCTGTGGCAGGCACCTGTAATCCCAGCTACTCAGGAGGCTGAGGCAGGAGAATCGCTTGAACCCAGGTGGCAGAGGTTGCAGTGAGCCGAGATCACACCACTGCACTCCAGCCTGGGCAAGAGAGTGAGACTCTGTCTCAAAAAAAAAAAAAAAAAAAAAAAAAAAAGACTATGTATCACAAAAGTTAAGATGAAAGTTGTACAAATATTCCTGAATGTATGTAAGCATAGAATAAGACACATGTTTCAGGAACTCAGAGAAAGGAATGATTCATTTTTGATTAAGAGATTAGAGAGTTCCCACACAAACATAACTCAGAGAAACAAAGATCCACCTGCTCTATCAACTTCTGAAGATACTTGGTGGTCCAAACATATCATGGTTATATGTTCATATTCTCTCCATCTGATATAGTTTGGATGCTTGTCTCCTCCAAATCTCATGTTGAAATATGATCCCCAAGTTGGAGGTGTTTGGGTCACATATGCGGATCCCTTATGAATGGCTTGGTGCCTTTAAAAATGAGTGAGTTATTGCTCTATTAGTTCATGAGAGAGTTGGTTGTTTATAAAAGCCTGGCCTCTCTCTTGCTCACTGTCTCAGCACGTTACACACCTGTTCCTCCTTCACTTTCTGCCATGAATAAAAGCTTCCTGAGGCCTCTCCAGAAGCCGAGCAGATATGGGTGCCATGCTTGTATAGCCTGCAGAAGCTTGAGCCACATAAACCTCTTTTCTTTATAAATTACCCAACCTCAGGCATTCTTTTATAGCAACACAAAACAGACTAATACAACAACCATCTTCTAGGTAAATGTGAATCTAGATGGCATTTACTTCAGTCTTCTCTCATAACTTAGAGATAATATATATGCCGTTAGTTCCATTTTGCGTTTCTGTCTCTGATGCTCTGTCTCTCATACTCTTGAATTTCAGTAAGTGTGTCCCAGTAATGTGTTGAATTTCATACACATTGCTTAAGTCTCAGCCGTTAATATTTACTAATGTTAACATTTCTTTATCCACATGGCAGTTAGCATGGTCACAAAACCTATCACTGAGGCAACTAGTGACCCCATCACCTAAGTGTATAAAGATCAACACGTTCTTATTTACTTCTGCAACTGTCTGATAAGCCTACAAGGTGTGACTACTTTTTAATGGAAAATTTTGTAACAGAGTCCAAATTTCCAAATACTTCCACAGCAAGTTTCTCAACATTTTATTAAAATGAGACTCTCTCTTCAAGTGCCCCTATTCCTGGCCCAAATTCCTAGTTTATCCTACTGAAAAGGCAAGTAAACAGACAAATGAAGTCCAGTCACCAGGAATCTGAGGAATGCTTTCTAATCTGAGGCTACAACTGCCTGTGTATCTCAGAATTGTAAATAATCCAGTGACCCACATTATGGCATACATTCACTCCAGAATTTGTTTATTTAAATAACTCAATTTGTTCACATGGAGTGTTTCTCTCCCAGCTCCCCTCCCTGGAATATCTTACAGCTATTTACAGGGGTTTACCTACTTTTGGTTTGGCTCAAAGTGCCCTTGATTCACATCTGTGGTTTAAGCCAGATAACAAAGATAGGTCTTAGAGTGAGAGGATATGAAACCTTCACATGCCTTCATGTGTGTGTGCAAATATTACTGACTGTATGTAAGCATAAATGTCAGTGCATTCCTGAGAGCTTATTCTGCAAAATAAACAACTTGGAATAATAAAAGCTATTATTTTTGCAGTGCTTAATACTTGATATGCTTTGTCCTGAGTACTTTAGATGCAAGATCTTACTTAATGCTCATAATAATCCTATAAAATAACAATCATTATTTCAATTTCAAAGATTGAAATTGAGGCTTAACAGAGTTAAGTAACTTGCCCAAGGTTACGTAGCTAGGAAGTGGAGAGGCTAAGATTAAATCAAAGTCGTTCTGGCCACAAAATCTGAGTCTTAAGTACTGTATTTTCCATTTCTTGGTTCCTAATCCTAGGAAAACTGGCTACAAGTTCACTTAGCCTTGAGGGATCTAGACCCAAGGGCTGACCCTGAGACCCTGCAGGTTCTAGAAGGTATCTACAAACTGTGGGGTCTTTAACTAATGGGTTCAGAGAGACAATCCATAAGATTTCCAAAGTCTGTGGAGGGACATGATTATTGTGATAAGTTTGTTTAAAATACCAATTTACTCACTGTGATATAAAAAATTAAGAAATTATTCTCAAGTGACATTAATCAAAGGCTTATGATACATCTCTTAGATATAGGACATCATGATACAGATATATATGTGTGATCATATTTTCCAAATAAAAATTGAGAATGTATGGCTGGAATGACAATATCTTTATGGGAACAAGAAGTGTCCAAAGAAATTCAAAACTGCTCCATAAGGTAAGATGCAAAGATGTACTAAGACATGGTCTTCAACCTCAATGAGCTGAATCAAGATGAGAAAGTAAAGTGCAAACCCATAATAATCATGGACAATCTTCATTAGAAGATTAGAATCCACAAGCTGAATATATATATATTGGGAAATAGTGTGTCTGTGGTAAAGATCAGTTAAACAAGATCATTAAGACCTTTTAAAATATTGTTTTGTAATAATCCACTTTAGTGAAATATTATAGATGTACAGTAAAATAAATCATAAGTATAGATTGAGAAATTTTGACAGAAAAATAAGGCCCATATAACTACCAGTCTTATCAAGAAATAGACTATTTCCAGCAGCCCAGAAGCCCCTTCAGATCCCTTCCCTGTCACTAATACCTTTCTCCAAAAGCAGTCACTGTCCTGATGTTTACCACAATAGAGATTATGGTTTTTTTAAACTATATATGCATAAAAATCTAGAATATGTGTAATTTTGTGTCTGGCTTGAGGCTCAACATTATGTTTGTAAATTCATCCACATTGCGGACTATAGCAATACCTTGTTCATTTTCATTCTCATATTGTGTTCCATTGTATGACTTTTACTAAAATTAATCCACCTGACTATCAATATTTGGGTTATTTACAGTATTAGGTTGTCATGTATATTGATAGTTCATTCTTTTTTATTACAGAGTAGTATTCTATTGTATGGATATACCACAATTTGTTTATCCATTTACCTGTTGATGGACATTAGGGTTGCTCCCAGTTTTTGGCTATTACAAGGAAAGCTGCTATAAATATTCATGTGCAAATGTTTGTATGGACATATGTTTTCATTTCTCTTGGCTAAATACCTAGGAGTGGAATAAGTAGGATGCATGATAGGTGTGTGTTTAATGTCTTAAGAATCTGCCAAATCTTTCTCCATCCAGACTGTTTGTATCATATTATATTCCTACTAGGAGCAGAGGACTGCTGCTTCACATTCTCACATGTGTTTCGATTTTAATTTTAAAGTTCAGTCATTTTAGTATGTGCATTATTATCTTATAATTTTAATTTTCACATCCATGATGATAAAGATTTTGAGTAACTTTTTACCTGCTTGTCATTCTTATATCTTCTTTAGTAAAATGCCTAGTTTACCTGTGAATTTTTTATTATTAAGTTGTAAGAGTTCTTTATATAGACTAGGTACAAGTCTTTGGTTGAATATTTGATGGGCTAAATTTTCATTTTTTGTTTTATATTTTTCGAAAATTTCACTGTTGTGACCACATGAAAAGACAATTGATTTTTACATAACAAGTTTATCTATCAATCTGCGTAAGTGCTGGCTTCATTCATTAATTCAAAGTGTTTTCATAAATTCTTTTTGATTTTTAAAATTTATTTCATATCATCTGTGAAGTACAACAATCATGCTTTTCCTCTAGTCTTTATATTTTTAAATTTTTTTCTTTTCTTATTGCATTTGCTAAAAATTCTTAGAATCATATTGAGTAGAAATAGTAATATTTGGCATAATTTACTTATATTTTCATGTATTTTTAATTTTTACCATAAGTATATTTTATACATTTGTTGTAGGCTATTCTGTATGGTATTAAGAAACATCACTTCTATTCCTTGCTTAATAAGAGATTATGATGAATGTATGTTAAACTTTGTCAAATGCTTTTTCTATGTATGCTAAGATGATCAAATGACTACAAAGGGGCACGGCACAAGTATGGGATGATGAACTATCCCATAACCTGCTTGCTGTTTAAATGACTGTATTTGTCTGTAAAACTCCCATCATTATACACTATAAAAGGTGAGTTTTACTGTACGTAGTTGAGTGCAAGAAATTTCTTAAGGTCAACCATGGATATTTTTCCACTTCTTTGAAAAAGGGAACCTAAGTTTTCTCAAACTTCACATGATGGTGTCACGTCAGTAACATCACACATTTCACTGGCTCTTACCCTGTGCTGCTTGCCTTATAACTCAGCTCCCAGCAAAGTCCCCAGGGTCCTCTTGAAAACACTACTTCTATGAGGCTTTTTGTGCACCCTCTCCTCCCCCGACAGTGAAGACTTCACAGTAACGTTGCCAAATTTAGCAAATAAAAATATAGGATTCCAAGTTAAATTTGAATTTTAGATAACACACAAAGAATTGTTTTAAGGACATGCTTATGCTGTCTGTTACAGGGCAGCCCGTCTTCATGGTGCAATAGCTATGGAAGCTAGTGCTGAGGATGGGAGTCAGCCTTCTTCTGTGCTACCCTTGGGTCTAGGGGCACATAATCTCATGTCTCAGTGGCACACAGGTTTTCAGTAAAGCAGCAGTTTCTATGCGTCTCATCATCCCGTCTCCCTGACACGAGGCACAGTGAGTCCGCGTGCCCCACTGGAGACACAATCACACATTCTTCATAGTTGTCTTCCCTGAAGATGAATGCTTTGCTACCAGGTCAAAATGGCCCCCTCGTGAATTTTCTTGGACCAGAGGGCCATTTTGTAGACGAGATACACCCATACCTGCCTGAATTTAGGTAAGGCCTCCATTGGAAATCCCACATAATCCAACACACACAGTGACATGGTTTAAAACACACAGTTTACCCCTTAACTGCATTAATTTTTATGACTGGCCCGTCTGTGAGTCTGCAAAGCAGACCATTACAGATGCAAATGCCGGAAGAGGGTTAACACTGGAAAGGGCATCCCAGCTAAAGTCATTCAATGTTGACTCCGTCTCTGTGTAAGATAATTTCCGGTGGCTCAGCCAGCCTACCACGGTGAAAGCTGAGAACATGAAAAGGGGCTTTCAGTGACAGCTTATCAAACTGAGACCAAATATAAGCTGAGCTTTAAAGATAGGACAGACTTCAGGCCTCTCCAGCAGCAAGAGACGAGGGTCTCTTTGTATTTATCATCTTTACCTCTCTATTTTGCTGTTGTTTTCTACTGGGTCAACCTGACACTTGGAACAGTCCTCTCTTCAGGGCTTTGAACTCCATAAACATCTCAGAGAACTTATGCTGATCTAAAAATCATATGCATTTCACTCAGCGATACCTTTCCTTACTTGGACCACTGATTGCAGCTAGCAATGCCTTAGATAAATGTGGCCAAAGTTATTCTCCATTCCCAGATTTCAGAAAGCTTCTGAGACCAAGTAATTTCTGGGAACGCTGTCATCGGTGCCCCAGTTGCACAACTATTATTCTTCCTAATATCCCCACCAAGGAATTTCACTATAAGGTAAGCAGGGGTTCGGTCGTGTATCCTTCCATCTCAGACCTAAGAGACCCAAAGGTTTTCATAGCACTCAGAGCGTGCAGCATGCTTTCCCACTATCATCTCATTTTATCCTCACCATCTTGCAAGGAGAGAAGTGTTATCTGCATTTTTAAAATTAGGGGTTCAAGATTCAAAGACCTTAAGGTCAAGGTGAAGGTCAGTGCTCAAGGTCAGTGATTGTCAGAACTTGATGAATGGGCTTTGGGCTCCAGATGCATCCTTTTTTACACCCAAAAAGAGGCCGAGAAGCAGGAATCAGCGCCTACATTTTGCTTGGCAACTACAGTGTTTCAAATACATTTGAGTCAACATTTTGAGATTTGAAGAAGTCATGGAGAGCCCTGGATTTCTTCTTACTTTTCAAAAAGAAGATTTGGTGATGTCAGGCTTATATTCCTGCTCATTAACGTTTGGCTGGAGCTAAACAGCAGCTTTCGCCTTTAGTCCAGAATATAGGCTCCAGTCTGGTACTGCGCCCACCACTCCTTATGGTCTCCCTGACACTGAGAACAAGTGTTAGCTGCTATTTATTATGATGTTCTGTCAGTTTATAGGAAAAGAAATATTATAAGAAAGAATTTTTTTTTTTTGCATTCATGATTCTATTCAAATCAGGAAAATGACCAGTGAGATAGAGGACTTCACGCTTCTAGGAAAATGAACAGAGCTATTTCTTTATGTAAGGGAAGGCTAGTGGCACATGTTTAACCTGAAAACAAAGTGTGTCTGTGGAAACAATGTATCCAATTACCTTTTCATTTGTCAGGAAGCTGCCTGGCTCCTGTGAGCATTTAAACTTGCAGTTTTCACACCACCCCAGGCTGGCTGGTTCTGGTTCGTGAGCAGTTGCTAGAGGTTCATAACAAGCCACTAGGTCTCCTGACTCCACATCAGCCAGTTACACATTGACTTTGACTCATAGGACACCCTTGCTCACAATTATCAAAGGCTCCCCATTGCTTTCAGGATCAAGTCCAAATTCCTGGTGTTAACAGTTACAGAGGCCGGGCGTGGTGGCTCATGCCTGTAATCCCAGCACTTTGGGAGGCCCAGGCGGGCGGATCACAAGGTCAGGAGCTCGAGACCATCCTGGCTAACACTGTGAAACCCTGTCTCTACTAAAAATACAAAAAAAATTAGCCGGGCGTGGTGGTGGGCGCCTGTAGTCCCAGCTGCTCTGGAGGCTGAGGCAGAAGAATGGCGTGAACCCGAGAGACGGAGCTGGCAATGAGCTGAGATCGTGCCACTGCACTCTAGCCTGGGCGACAGAGCGAGGCGCGACTCCGTCTAAAAAAAAAAAACCAAAAAGCAACAACAAAAAACAACAACAACAACAACAACAAACAATTATGGGTCCATACTTTCCCTCCTTAGACTCCTGCTGGCCATAAGCATCTCAAAATCTAGCTGCAATGCAATTTCATTCCATTCAATGCAATGCATATTTACCGCATGCTTGCTAAATATAAGGCAATATGCTTGGCCTAATGGGAGGGAGAACGCAATATTCCTCACAGTGCTACAATTCGGTAAATAAAGGTAAGCCTCAAACTCGAAGAATGTAAGTGAAGGAGAAGGTCATGAGCATTAAGCAGGGATGTATTTCAGGTTTAGAGGAGAAAATATTACTTTTAACTGGCCTGGGGATCTGTCCCTTCCATCTTCTGCTGTTCCTTGATGTGAGCCTGAGCCAGTTGGCTGATCATTCAATAGCCATCCAAGGCCTTGTGTAATTTCACCACCATGCAGTTGCTATGCTGTATAAATGGTCCTTTCAAGCAGCTTTTTGCCTTTTTGCCATTACTTTGGTCTGCCTATCCCATTAGCCTTCCCTGATTTCCTCAGCCCACAGTGTCCCTCCTAGCTCCTCCCAGCACAGCGAGCAATACATTTTGGTCTGGATTTCAAGTTGCCTCTTAATGGCATGTGCTGGCCTCCCTTAACCCAAATGGAAGCCGCTGGAGGGCACAGAAAACATTGTGTGTGGTTTTGCCTCTTTAAAATAGAAAACAGACAATGAACCCAATAAAAACATGTTGGCTTATTAATCATTCTCACAACAAATCCCTATAGACACAAACAGCTTCAGTGCTGATTGAGACAGCATTTTTTCCAGGGTTCTGTCTCAGGCCAAACTGACGTAACAACCCACCAAGCTGTTATTCTAAAAATAAACCTCCGAACCTCGGTAACCACATATGGCGTGCGTCCTCCTTGGGCCTCATAGGCTCTGGAGCTTTCATTTGCTAGGATAACCAGAATGTTGTGGGTGCCGAATTACAGCTATTCTGTGACTTACTCTGTCTTCGTGCTACATTTTATCCTGCTGTGGGCAAAACACTAGATGGGCAGTTTCCTTCCCCCTTTTTTTTCCCTCCCTTGGACAAGGCTGCAGTTGAGCTCTAAAATCCTAAGCCAATTTGAAAGGGGGATGTCACATGGTTTGTGTATTATGGGTCTGGAAAGGCAGCATACATACAAAGTGACATGAAGCAGGAGATCAAGACAAGCCATACTCCTAAAAATGTCCTTTGTGTGTAGCTCTCACCATGGGACTTTCTTCCATGACACTCAATGATATGCTTAAAGGCACAGGACGCTATGCAAGACTGATTTCAAGGAAGATGGGCACATAACATCCTAAAGGAAAGAATGCAGGGAGATGAGTATGTAGAAGAGTAAAGAACCATCCTTCCCTGAAGCCATTAGGGGATAGAAAATGAGATAACCCCATGGAGGCAGAAGCCACAGATGCAATGAGCTGTCCTTGCTGGTCTAGGGGACAGATTCAGGGACTCAGGGGAAGCCATTTGGTTGTGTCTATAAAGGCTCAGAAATACCCTGATATTTGTCTACTTTTAGAGTTAATTTAAACCATGGATCTCAGATGGAAGGCAGTCTCTGTTTCCCCATTTATAGAATGATTAAAGTTGGACATTGTATTCTTTGAATCCAGGGATGGAAAGGGACTTGATTGAGGTGAATGTGGCTATTACAATCTTAATGTTTGTGGTCCCCCAAAATTCGTAAGTAAAAATCATACCCTCTTCCCAAGGTAATTGTATCAATAGATGGGGACTTTGTAGGTGATTGGATAATGAGGGAAAAGCCCACATGAATAGGATTTGTGCCCTGATAAAAGAGGCCCCAGGGAACTTGTTTGCCTCTTCCACCTTGTGAGGACGCAATTAGAAGGCGCCATCTATAAACCAGGAAATGGGCTCTCACCAGACCAAATCCACTGGTCCCTTGATCTGGGACTTCCCAGCATCCAGAACTGTGAGAAATAAATTTCTGGTGTTTATAGCTACCCAGTCTCTGATATTTTATTAAAGCGGCCCGAACAGACTAAGACAGTGGTAGAGATGGTAACACTCATGAAATGTTTTCCTGGCTACCTTGCATTTCGTAACCTTCTGCAGTTGGTGGGGCCTCATAACTATCTCTCACCAGTGAAATGTAAGTCTTCATTGCTTCCAGATTGAGGCAGCAAAAATCCCTCATGCCATTCTCTAGTCTTTCTCTGCCCCTGCCAGTGCAACCAAGAGGGCTCCCAGATGGTGCAGCTACAATATGGCAGAGCCCCTGCCTCCTGGGTCTCTGAGTTACTGCATGGAATGGAGCCCTCCCAGCTTACTCACAATGGACATGCGGAAGGGCGAGAAAAAGATTTCTCTTGTGTTAAGCCACTGAAAACCAGGGAATACTTGTTATTGCAGCAAAATCTAGTCTCTCTTGACAGCTACAGTGAACTAATGACTGGCAGCCTGGAGGACAGAATTCAGGTTTTCAAGAAACACAACTCCAGGGGTGTCACATGGGAGAGAAACCAAAGGCAAGTAATCTCCTCCACTCAGAGAGGAGAGGTCCTTCACTAATTCCTTCATTCAGTCATTCACTTGCTCCTTAATCAAATGAAACCCACGTTCGCTGAGAATCTGCTGTGTATCTACACCAGGGCAGAGGACACAAAGGTGAATATGGAAGACTGTGCAACTGTGCTCACAAGTTTATGATCTGGCTGGGCAGGGAAGGCAGCTGTGTAGACAAGGGAACAGCAGGCAAGAGAATCAGCCTTGTAAAGGCCTCTGAGGGTGGTGCTGTGAGAGTGTTGTAGAGGTCCCAAACTGCTTCAGAGCAGCAGACAACGCTTCCCAGTTAATTTGTCCCAAGGGGTAAGTAAGATTTACTCAGGAAGGTAGAAAAAGAAAAGATGCTGTAGTCGGTAGGAACAACACTTAAACGCTCAGAGGCCCGAAAGAGGAGGCTCGTGTAGTTTCTCCAGAGAGGGAAGCAAAACTCAGATCCTAATGAACTAAGGAGTTTGGATTTTATCCTTTCGGCCATGGGGAACCATTGGAGGATTTTAAGGGAAGTTACACTGGAGCACCTGTTAGGAGCTCCTTGCAAGACCAGACATCTGATGAGAAGAATCTAAACAAAAATGGTAATGGAGGGCACAGAGAGGCAAGGATATTTCTTTTCACTCTACAGTACTTATTAGGGAGACCTTAGGCTACTAGGTTGTATCAGGTGAATTTCTCCCTTGGAGAACAGCCAAGCCAGCCACTCTCCAGCAGGCTTTAATGTGGCCATGGCCCAGGTATCATAAATGTAATGGCTCAGAGATCCTGGGTGTCCTTCTGGCTCCCCTCACCCAGGTCACGGTGGCTCTGTAGGGACAGCCTGGAAATAATGAACCTTACGAAAGTCTCCAAAAGCAATCAAACGTGTTGTCTCCCGGTGCCGTGTCCTGCTCATTAACTTATTGTGGAGATTCATTAATCCAGTGTAAAACTGTAATTAAAAATAATCTCCTTTTCTTGGAGAAGTCGGGAGGGAAGGGGTTCAGAATGAAGCAGCAAATAACTAGGCCAATTACCACAGTCAGAACATGATGAGAGCAATTCACCTTTCTCTACCTTTCTGTAAATTTCTCTTTATTGGGGAAGCTGCAGGCTCTCATATTGAACAATTTTCCTTTAAATAAGTGTGTTTATGGCTTTATGGTGTTTTGACTCCCATTCCCCCCTCAGTCTCATTTGCTTCTCTGACCCTATCTGAGAGGTCGGTGAGGAGGCTATGGTGACCCCCATTTGGCAGACAAGGAACTATAGCCCAGGAACAAGTGAGCATATGCAGGGTTTACACAGGGGATTATGGGGGAGGCCACACGACTGCACCCCTGAATCTCAGTCCAGAGCCCCATTCTGCTTCACCAAACTAGTAGCAAAAACTCAACGGTGGTCTCACTGGTGCTGCACGGTGAGTATATGGGCCTGCAGCCCTGCTTCAAGTTGGGCACATGTAGAGACAGAATCACAAGCAAATGCATGTGGAGAAACACGGGCTTTGGGGTCAGGGAGATGTCGTTTGGATCCTGCCTCCCCCATTTGCCAGCTATGTGACCTATGACCATCAATAAATATTTCTGTGCCTCAGTTTTCTCATCAGGAAAATGTAGCTATGAGTCATTCATTCAACACATGTTTATTGAGCAGAGAGAGGCTGTCCTAGATGCTGGGAATCCAGTAATGAATAAAACAAATGTTCTCCACTCATGGAGTTTATACTATCATATATTGGTTAGAGAAGATAGGTGGTATCTGTCTTATAGGGTTATTTTAGGGATTAAATCAGATAACTTCACACAGAGTAGATGCCAAGGAAGCGTTAACCCTTTGATCTGCAATGTCTCCTCCCATAGGACTGTTCTAAAACGACCTATGAACAGGGAAGTTCTCTTTACTTTCCATGTCACTCGTTCCCTTTCTCCTGGACTCCCCCCTCCTCCCCAGAGCCTTGCCCAGGACTTGCAAGTACACAAATCCTTTTCAAGAGGACCCAGACATGGGCATAAGGTCAGCCCACTTACATGTTAAAGGGGCCACTAGCAAAGTAAACCTAGAAAACTTAAGGAGTATATCTGGAACCTTGGACTTTCAGGTTATGTGACAGGCCCTGGGGATCTAATTTGATGCCCCGACCTCATCTGCAAATCACACCATGAAGGTGGGCATCTGGAGCCCAAGGGCAGATGTCCAATTATGATCTGTCTTGATCATAGACGGAAGAGCTGAGTGGAGCATTGGGAGAGTCAGTGGTTTTCAAGGTTAGCTTCTGGGAGTGCTGGTGGCTTTCTAAGGATCTTTCATGGGCAGGGAGGGGAAAGACCAAAGAACTTGGAGCTGGCTCCACTGTCTACCTCAATCTACTTCAACCAGTTTTGCAGATCAGAGTTCCACAATGATTCTGTGGGGGCCCTGATGTTCTAACTTCCCAGCCAGGTTATTCCAGCCTGGACCTTGACATTCTCCTTAAAACTCAATCGCTGGTGGATAGACAGTCACAGAGCACAGATGGCAGACTGGAACCACAGCTCCCATGACTGCAGGCAGGTCATTATATAGAACCCTCTCTTCACACCTGGGATTAACTGTGAATGCCCAAAGTCTTGTCAAGTGTCAGGAAGTTTCCTGCCTGGCCATGGGCACAGGATTCTACTATCACAGAGTGAAGGCTTTCACTCCATAAGGTGAGCTCAGACTTAGACACAGAGGCCCCTGGCAGAGGGCACCAAGGACCAATGACCTTGTCTTTTCTCTGAGGCCATGAAGGGATGAGGACAACATGAGATGTGTTCCTGACTGAGGAAAGATGCTCTGGAAAAAGCAAGGAGAGAAGACACTGGATGCCCCAAAGACAGGCCATTTGCTTAGCACTGGGATCCTGACAAAAGGCTTCCCCTATTAACTATGGAAGAAAACTGACCTCCTCGAAGATGCCCTACATGGCATATTTTAATTCACTAAAGGTGCATTTAGTCTCTAGATGTCCCTAGAGTTCAGCAAACCCTGGGAGATACAAAGACACAGCAGACACAGACCCTTCTCTTGAAAAGCTCAGCTGTCCATCAGAGGACAACATAAATTTCGGGAAGAGCTAGAGATTAGCTGGGGCACTCTTGCTCTACAACATGCTCTCTGGTACCTAGGGAAATTGATTCAACTTCTATGAGGCTTAGAGATAGTTCTAGTAAGGAGAGAATAACCTGAGCTAGCAGTTACGGAGCACCAACATGCCTCATCCTTACTATGCAAGACTATGCTGGATGGTCACAAAAATGTGGTGTGGAAGATATTACTATTATTGCTATTATTATTATTATTGCTATTTTATAGAAGAGCAAAATGATGCTTTAAGGGATTAGAGAGCAGCCTAAGGTTGCCTACTTATGGATAAAGGGGTAAGCATCACACCTAGATGGACTGTCTCACAGAGACTCAAAAATATTTCCAATGAGCAAACCATTGTACATTCTGAAAGATAAAAATCAAGACAGCTTTGCTAAATCCCAGGGATAAATACAGTGGATTTGATTCCCATTTAACAAAGGAAGGAGATTGAGACAAGGAACTAAAACGGCTTGACCTCCAGCTATGTGCCTGGCACTACACAATGCCATTTCTATGTATTATCTCATTGAACCCTCACCCCAGCAATATGTGAAATAGGCATTGTGTTTTACAGGCAGGAATCAGAATCTGAGTGAAGACTTCACCCATGATCCCACAGGAAGAAAGAGACAGCGCAGAGATTCGAACCTAGATCTGATGGTTGATACGAGTGTCAGAGGCCTTTCAACCAGAGCGACTCCATCTTGAGTAGGGGCTCGGTAAAATGAGGCTGAGACCTACTAGGCTGTATTCCCAGAAAGTTAAGGCATTCTAAGTCACAGGATGAGATAGGAGTTCAGCACAAGATACAGGTTATAAAGACCTTGCTGATAAAACAGGTTGTGGTAAAGAAGCCAGCCAAAGACGAGATGGCAAGGAGAGTGACCTCTGGTTGTCCTCATTGTTCGTTATACGCTAATTATAATGCATTAGCATGTTAAAAGACACCTCTACCAGCACGCTGACAGTTTACAGATGCAATGACAACAACAGGAAGTTACCCTATATGGTCTAAAAGGGGGAAGAACCCTCAGTTCTGGGAATTGCCCACCCCTTTCCTGGAAAACTTATTAATAATCCACCCCTTCTTTAGCATATCATCAAAAAAAAACCCATAAAAATGGCCAACCAGCAGCTCAAGTTTCTGCTCTGCCTATGGAATAGCCTTTCTATATTCCTTTACTTTCTTCATAAACTTACTTTCACTTTACTCTATGGACTTGTCTTGAATTCTTTCTTGCATGAGATTCAAGAACCATCTCTTGGGGTCTGGACTGGGACTCTTTTCCATAACATGAGGACTTGTTAAGATCACCCTTGGTGCCTTCTGCAGGGAAACAAGAAGGAATTCTATGTATTGTCTAAAGATCCAGACAGGCAGTGAAGGCTTCCTGGAGGAGGTAAGCCTGAGCTTAGCTTTGATGCTTAGCTGGTGCGGAGGTGGGCAGTGCAGGAAGGGAGAGCAGGACATCCAGTCTCTATGCTCGAGCCCCTCCCTCAGCAAGAAGGTTGGCCATGAACCACAGATGACTCCATGGCTACAGCAAATTATTTTTGAAGGCACTACTAGCAAACAGCTTAATTGCACCAGGCAATCCCTGCCATCTCTTCCATAGACAAATAGCTTCCAAAGAAGGCATTAATTGGAGTGGTTTAAATAGCTGTTGTTTATTTACTATCACAGAGCCGGCAACTGTTTTGAGCACCCAGTAGAAAGGACTGCCTGAATTTCCACCCCTACCCTCTTTTCCTCACCTCCCCATCCAGCCCAACAAGCCCCTCCAATCTGACTACCTCCTCCTTCCCTCCTTTTGGGAGCACTGCTGGATCAGCCTTTTTATTTTATGTCGCCTGATTTATCTGTTCTGGGAAGCTTTCATCTCAACTTGGAGAATGTTCAAAGTAAAGCTCACCCTGTTACAGACTTAATTGGACCATATTTCAGTCCCAGTGCATCTGTTCAGTGTGGCTTCCGTATCCTGGGTCCATAAACTTTTATTAAGTTATATATCAGGGAATATACACATATATTCCACTAACATGTTTGGGATCTTTTTTCTCCTTTTCCTTTTTTTCCCCCTCTCCTTTTCTTTATGTTGTTTTTATTTTCACCACTGGGGAGGGATACCTATGGGCTCAGAGGGAGATGGAATAGAATTTACTAGATTTCCCTATCTTTGTTTAAACCAGAAAGGACAGGATCACATTAACCTCAATTTAGTACAGCGACTAGATGTCTGAGTCGGGATTCTGCTAATTTCCATTCGGTTTACTGGGTATGTTTGATATGCTAATTCTCAACACCCATCTCCCCAAGCTCTCCAAGAAATTTGCTTTTCAATAGCCCTGCTTAAGCGGGGGAGGAGAGAGAGATAAGTGAAAGGGATAATTTTGAAAAAGAAAACAGACTTAAAGCGGAACAGCAACAACTGTTTGCTCAATCCTGTTTACTAATTTGAAATAACAGTTTAAAATAGATGTGAAATACCATGCCACCGGAGGGAAAACGTATCTCTGCCCTTGGGCCCAAGTGTTTCCGGATTTGACAGTCTGGGTTGAGCGCTTTGATTGGTTGACCTGGTACTGACGTCACAATTGTTCAAATCTGCTGGAAGGAAAATTCCTCCCCTTGAACGTTGTCCTAGATCATCTCTAGTGCTTGGGTTGAGACCTTTCTGAACCAGGTGACAGAGGGTAATGGAGAAAGGTTTTCCCAAGAGAAACTCTGGGAAGCCATTGACGAGCAGAAAGCGCGCGGAGTGGCAGGGGTCATTACCGTCGTTACTGGCAGTAATGATGCGGCTGGTTCCACGTGATGAGAGCTTCCTGCTTTCCAGTATGTGCAGCAAAACTCAGATTAAGATTTTGGTGCTGGTGTCCACTGAATTTTAAAAGCTCATCAAAATTCCCAAGGCCGGGTGCAACCTTTTCAAGTGTGGCTCTAACCTGCATCTATCTAAGCACCAGTCAAGCCCGTTGCATCCACAGCTCAACTTCAGGCCTTGGGGAGCATTTTTCTAATAGATTTTGAGGTCCCACTGTGCCTTCACCAGGACATACTGTTCCACTCCTGCGTGCCACCCCTACGTATTTACTGATCTTCTTAAGTCATTCTCTAGTTTTTTACTCCATCCGTCAGCACCATGGTGATCTTCACCTACTGTTTGTTCCTGGAACCCTGGGCAGGAATCTGCCATTCACGTTCATAAGAGCTCTCCGGGTCTTCCTCAACAATATCTTCTTGGATGCCCTTTATTTAAAGTTTGTAAAGAAAGGAGAACTTACAGGATAATCAGGCAGCTCTGGGACTGAATCCCAGCTTCACCATTAGTTCTGAGGCTTCAGACAAGTTATTTAACCTCCCTGAGCCTGGGTGAAACGGATATAATTTAATTACCCTACAGGGTATCTTGAGATTTAGTGATAGTGTATCTAAAAGCATTTAGTGCAGAGCCAGGCTCGTGGATACGTTAATAATAATATTTTATTAAGAGTATCATTATAACATTACTATTATCGTGACCATATTGTTTTGTTATTATTATGATTATGTTATATTCTTATTTTACTATTATGACAGTCATGTGCCGCATAACAACATTTAGTCAATGATGGATCACAAACATGACAGTGGTCCTATAAGAGCTCACTTCCTTGCTTCTGCTTTCACTATATTATGTGTCTGCTCCCTCTTTGCCTTCTGCAAATTTAGTGTAGCCTCAGTGTGCCATATTTATAAAGCCTACAGTGTTGTACAGTAGTGTCCTAGGCCTTCACATTCACTCACCATGCACTCCCTGACTCACCCAGAGCAACTTCCAGTCCTTCAAGCTCCATCCATGGTAAGGACCCCACACAGGTGTATCTTTTTATCTTATACCCTATTTTTACCAAATCTTTTCTATGCTTAGATACACAGATACTGAGAGACAGGACTAGCTGGATTTCCTAGGCTGACTAAAAATCCCTAAACTTAGCTGGGAAGTTGACCGTGTCCACCTTTAAACACGGGGCTTGCAAGTTAGCTCACACCTCACCAATCAGAGAGCTCACTAAAATGCTAATTAGGCAAAAACAGGAGGTAAAGAAATAGCCAATCATCTATTGTCTGAGAGCACAGCAGGAGGGACAATGATCAGGATATAAACCCAGGCATTCAAGCTGGCAACGGCAACCCCCTTTGGGTCGCCTCCCTTTGTATGGGAGCTCTATTTTCACTCTGTTAAATCTTGCAACTGGTCCGTGTTTGTTACAGCTGGAACTGAGCTTTTGCTTGCCATCCACCACTGCTGCTGGTCAACGTGGCAGACCCGCCACTGACATCCATCCCTCCGGATCCGTCAGGGTGTCCGCTGTGCTCCTGATCCACTGAGGCGCCCATTGCTGCTCCCCATCCGGCTAAAGGCTTGCCATTGTTCCTGCACGGCTAAGTGCCCAGCTTCGTCCTAATGGAGCTGAACACTAGTCACTGGGTTCCACGGTTCTCTTCCGTGACCCACGGCTTCTAATAGAGCTATAACACGCACGGCATGGCCCAAGATTCCATTCCTTGGAATCCGTGAGGCCAAGAACCCCACGTCAGAGAACAAGAGGCTTGCCACCATCTTGGAAGCAGCCCGCCGCCATTTTGGAAGCAGCCCACCACCATCTTGGGAGCTCTGGGAGCAAGGACTCCCGCAACAATACTTACCACTGTGTTACAACTACCTATTCAGTCTAGTAACCTGCTGTAGAGGTATGTGGCCGAGAAGCAGTAGAGGATATCATACAGCCTAGGTGTGCAGTAGGCTATACTCTCTAGGTTTGTGTAAGTACACTCTGCGGTGTTCAAAGGGTGTTGAAATTGTCTAACGTTGAATTTCTTAGAACGTATCCCCATCATTAAGCAACATATGACTGTATTATTATTATTATTATTTTACACATGAGGAAATTGATTTGAGAGTTTCATTCCTCCAATGTCAATTTTAGAATTCTGTTTACTGAAAATCCTAAATTGTGGATATGCCCAAAGCCCTGTGTGAGGTAATGGAGATAGAAGACGAACACAGAGTTCCTTCTGACTAGGAATTCTGGGTGTAGTGGCTGAAGGGGACCAGGCAGAGGGAGTGTGAGGGAGGGGAATTAAGGGGGTGGGGAAGGCGCATGAAAGGAGCACACTTCATCCATAAACCACCACAGCACCACAAAGTGCTCTAAGTGAAATGCACTGAAGCATTTGGGAGTGTAGAGGAGTGGCTGCCTGGTAGACTGGAAGTGCCATCTGAACAGCCGTGTTACTACAGATGGGTTTTGATAAAGGAACGTGTGTTACCAGGCTGGAAATTAATAAATGGCATCAAAAGAGGAAATAAATGATATATACAAAAGTCTGAAGATGAAGGATGTATTAGGGACTTGCTAGAAGTTCAGTGTGATAGGAGTATTGGGTGTGCAGGTATAATAGAAGTGAGTACAAGGTGAGGTTGAAAACTCAGTGTATTAGTTATCTATTACTGCTTAATAAACTGCCCTAAAACCTAGCTTAAAGCAACAAATGTTTATCATCTCACAGCCTCTGTAGAACAAGAATTCAGGCCCACTTCAGCTGGTGCCTCTGGTTCCAGCTCTTATCTCTAAGGAGGCTGCAATTGAGGTGTCAGCCAGGGCTGCAGTCATCTCAAGCATCCATGGATGTGAGGGGGATTATCTGCTCCAAGCTCACTCAAGTGGCTGTTGGCAGGATTCGCTTCTGCACTAGCTGCTGGCTTGAGAACTCCCTCAGCTCCTGGCCCTGTAGGCCTCTCTATGGGGCAGCACCCAACAGGACAGCTGCTGCCAGCAGGGTGAGTAAACAAGAGATCAAGAGAATTATCTGGTGCCAGCAAGATGGAAGTCAAGGTCCTTTCTAACCTTAGACATGACATCCCACTCTGTTTGCCATATTCTATTTGCTAGAGGAGTGTCCCTAGATTTAACTCACATTCCATGGCAAGGGATGACACAGGGGGTAAATACCAGGAGAAGGGGACCATTGGGCCACCTTGGAAAACTGTCCACCGTGTGTACGTAGGGGGAAGCTCATAAAGGAATTTATATGCTTGACGAAGGAATGTGTGCTTTATTTTAAGAGGCACGAGAAGCTACTAAAAGAACTTCAGGGATGGGGAGTGGAGATTGACACTTTAGGTAGGATCACTCTTACAGAAGTGGGGAGAGAGGATTCCAGTGGGAGACTCTGGAGGGACGAGGCTAGTTGGAAGCCTGCGGGATTAGACGCAGGAGATGATGGGAGCTTGACCCAAGGCAAGGAGAGACGATGCAGAGAGAAGGGTTCAGGTTGCAGAGCATTTCATAAGCAGAAACAATGAATCTGTCTTGGTGACTGGCTGGGGAAGAGAAGCAAATCAACCTACCTCCAGGTGGATGAACTGTGATCATACCACTGTACTCCAGCCAGGGTGACAGAGTGAGATCTTGTCGCAAAAAATAAAATAAAACAAAACACAACAAAAATCTTACTATATACCTACAGATGAGCGGGATACTTTAACTACAGTTAAGTTCATCCTCTAGCCCTGCCTTCTCTGACAGCTGCTGCATATTAAAAGCACTTTAGTTAGATCTCTGTTTGTGTGGTGCTTTGAGTGTTTCTGCCTCTTTAGAGGTTGGTGTCTGCCACTCCTGTCTTCAGTGGGGGAGAATTTTTAAATGTCCCCTCTTACACTTCCTTGCCATCCACAGAGCCCAGAGAATATTGCAAATGGCAAGAAATGCCTTCTTTAAAAACAATCTCTTTGTTGCTTCATTTATTCAACAAATGTGTATTGGAGATGGACTGTGTGCCCAAGGCACCCTGCAGGCACTGGGATGCAACAGGGAACAAGACAGATGGCTCCTGAATCATGGGCCTTACTTTTGAGTGGGAGAAGTAAATCAGATGCAAAAAAAAAAAAAAAAAAAAAATAGTGCAAAGAAGGAAATAAACAGAGTGCTGGGATTCAGAATAGCCATGAATGGCCAGAGGAGGCCTCTTTCAAGAGGTGACATAGGAGCTGAAGACAAGAAAATCTAGCCACATAAAGAGCAAGAGGAGGGTGTTCCAGGCAGAGGGAAGCCCAAGTGCAAAGACTGAGGTTGGAGATGGCTTAGCATGTCCTAACAATTGATAGAAGTCCATGAAATAACTCTATTCAGTTGAAACAAATGTGAGCCATGTATGTGATTCTAAAATTTATTTTCACAAAAAAGAGAAAAAATTAATATATTTGACTTCACCTAATATATCCAAAATATTATCATTCAACATGCAATCTATTTTCAATTAGTCACTTTTAAAAATACTTTTACTCTTGCTAGGTTTTCAAATTTCAGGGTGTGTTTTACACTGTGAGCACATCTCAGTTGCAACTGGCCAAGTTTCAGGGAGAATGAGACCAGAAAAAATATGCTCACATAGTCCCTGAAACTTAGTCAAATGCAGACATCACGTGATGCTCCCTCACTTACTCTAGGACAGGAATATGGAGGATGGCAGTCACTGGTCATGTGGCTCCAGGTCACCTCAACGGCTTGATGGCAACACGTGGCCAGCGGCTGCCATCTTGCATATCCCTAGAGTAAGTGATGGGGCATCACGGGAGCTGAGGCTGAGGAGACAGATGGACGTAGCTGGTCGTGCAGAGCCCCGTAGAATGTGGTAGGGAGGTGGGGGGGTCAGTCTCAATGTAGTGGAAACTACTCAAGCTTTCAATGCAGACAACGATTTCTGAAGGAGCAAGGAAGGAATCGGAGACTTTAGGCAGAAGGCTGTTGTAACAGTGTTAAGTGAGAGAGGAGATGATAAGGGCTTGAACAAAAGCATTGGCAATGATTGCAATACTAGCTAATACTTAGTGTTAGTTTCCGAAAACTTTTACACGGGTTAATTGTTTTAACCTTCACAATGACCCTATGAGGAAGGTACAATTGTATCACGTTTTCCAGATGAGAAACTGAGGCAAAGATAGGGACAGAGTAGGGATTGGAACTTAGGTAGTCTGGAGCCCTGCTGTCAGTGTTCTACTGCCTTTGTGGCAGGCAAGAGCACCTCTGTGAATGTGTCTATCTATTCACATAGATAGACACATAGATAGGAAGAAGGATGGAGAGCTGCTGGTGGTTGTTGGTGAAGACTGAGGAATCTGGGGCAGGCCTCTGTAAGGTTGTCCACCTTTCTTGAATGAGCAATCTGGTAGATGAAGATGTATATTATTGGTGATACAGAGAAAGGAGAAACTGGAAAACAAACAGTGTGAGGTGTGGGAATAGTTGATGGTGAAGCTGCCCAGGCAACTGGGGACATCAAATGGCAGTTGAATCTGAGGTTCCATTGTGGAGAGGTCTGGCCAGAAGATAGACATGTGGGAGTCCGCAGCATGTATACGGTAATGGGAAAAGGATGAGGGCACTTAGGGAGAGAGAACAAACAAAAGAATTGAGGCCCCAGCACTGAACTCTCAAGATCTCCCACGTATACAGGTGGGGAGAAGCGTCCAGGCAATAACGAAGCCTGAGAAACACGGCCATTTCTCACATTGCTGCTTCCCTATATCCACGTGCTGTTCTTTCTGCTGGATACCCTTCCTTTCCTCTGCCTGCTCACCTCCTGCTCATTTAGATTCACTCCAAAAATTGTCTATCTCCTCTCTAGTTTTCTTCATACTCTCTGAGGCTAGGTTGGCCATCCTCTCCTATATTCGTTTCTTAGGGATGCTATAATAAATTATCACGAACATGGTGGTTTCAACTACAGTTTAAGAAATTTAAACAGAAATGTATTCCCTCACACTTCTGAAGACTAGAAGTCTGAAATCAAGGTGCTGGCAGGGCCACGCTCCTGCTAAACACTCGAGGGGAGAAGCCCTCCTTTCCTTTCCCAGTTTCTAGAGGCATTGGGTGTTCCTTGGATTATGACAGCATCACTGCAATTTCTGCCTGTCTTCACACTGCCTTCTCCTCTGTGTCTGTGTCTCTTCTGTGCATGTCTCTTATAAAGACGCTCATCACTGGATTCAGAGCCTGCTTGGATAATCCAGAATGAGATCCTTAATTTAAAGACACTTGCAAATGCAATTGGTAAAAATTTGGTATTTGATAAATATACCAAATAAGGTAACATTCCCAGGTGTATCCTTTTGGGCCATTGTTCCACCTACTACAGGTCCTCTGAGCTCATTTATGTCTTTATAGCTACCTCCAATATAGGAAGGAAAAGAAACACATCATTGTTTCCATTCCAACTAGAACATGCATTCTCAACAGGGGCAATGTCTTTTCTAAGGGGGAGAGTATTGGTTGATGAGAGGGAAAAGATTATATACACAGTATATAAGCAAATACACAGTATGCCTGTGATATTAAAATGTCATGGGGAGGGCAGTTAGGAAAATATGTCTAAAAAGGCTCTGGAGACGGGGGATGTTAAGTTGATAATGGAAAAAAAGAGTTTGAGAAACACTGCACTGGAATAGTGTCCCTCAAAGGCAGGTACTGTGTTATAGTCACCCTTGTACAAGTGACTTGCACACTCTCACCCCCTCCACACACACACACACACACACATACACACACCGCTCCAACAGCACAGATCAGGGCTGACCACGGTAAAGATGGCACAGAGGCATTAATGACACATGGATCTGCCTTCCTCCTGCTCTTAAATGTTTCCTTTAAAGTAAACCCGGAGTGGCCAGAGCATCACAGGGCAGAGTCAGGACTGCACCTGGCCTCACCCTCCAGTCCATCCACCCTCCATCTGTCTCTGCCTCTCCAGTGTATGATGGAAGCATCCTAAATTATGGACTTTAATAGGCGTCTATTTTATAGTCTAAAGTCACAAACTCTAATGATTTAAAATATCACTACAACAGCCGTCGCTCCTTTCAGAACTCTACATATTTAAACAGAATTTCAGTTACCAGAAACAACTCATCTTTAGAGAGGAAAAGGGAGGAATGGGGATGGGAAATCCATTGATTTAAGGTTTCATCAAGAAGAAGACAGTGTGGAGAGAGCCTTGCTCAACATCAAATGGGCTCCAGTGTTGTGCATTTAGCTAGGCAGAGAGCAGTACAAATTGGAAGATTTAAAAGCCTGAAGTTTAAACATCATTTTTGTTTTTCTAGGCCCTAGATAATAATAATACCATTGTGCAAATTATAAGTCTTGCCTATTTATGAGATGGGGGAAATCAAACGTTTGCATCAACCAGCTGATTGCAATTCTGAAGGCCGAGATTTCCAAGTCCCCTTTCCTCGAGGCCAGTTCTCCTGGTCCCAAGAATGGCATTACCTCTTTATACTGGACCCCTCCGCAGCTGCCCTGCATAGTGTTTGAACATCTGTCCTCCAGCATCTATTTGTCTTGCTTCTTCCCACAAGAAGGAAACTGCCAATGCCCTGGTGCATGTCCTCATCACCATTCTCCTGAAATGCAATTATTAACTGGTCTCTGGTTTTAGCTGCTTCTTCTTCTTTTTATTTTTCTTGAGACACAGTCTCGCTCTGTTGCCCAGGTTGGAGTGCAGTGGTGCAATCTCAGCTCACTGCAAACCTCAGCCTCCCCAGTAGCTGGGACTGCAGGTGTCGCCACCATGCCCGGCTAATTTTTGTGGGGTTTTTTTGTTTTGTTTCATAGATACGCGGTTTCACCATGTTACCCAGGCTGGTTTTGAACTCCTAGCCTCAGGTGATTCACCTGCCTCGGCCTCCCAAAGTGTTGGGATTACAAGTGTGAGCCACCACACATGGCCTTAGCTTCTTTATTCTTTAATCCATCCTGAATATTTCTTCCCTATTTGTCTACTAAACTATCTCTTTCATCATGACACTTCTCTTTTCAAGAATCTCTACTGGCCCTCTGCTGCTTATAAAATAAAGCCCTAATTCCTCAGCTGGGTTTTCAGGGCCCTCCATAGGTCCTAGGATGTGTCCCATGTTCCCTGCTTCTGGGTACATTCCCAATTCCCTAACCAAGCCAGAAGCTTCCCTACCCCTCCTCTCACACCACCCTCATTCACATCTCCAGGTCTCTGCTCCTGCTGAGTCATCCACCTCCAATGCCTTCTCCTTTCTTCCCATTTATTCTTCTCTTTCCTCTCCTTCCAGGACCTGCTCAAATCCCACCTTATTCATAAGCTTTGGAGTCTCCAGCCCACCCTGAGAAGGGAGATTAACACTAAACCATGCCCCACTCCAGTACTTCAGGCACACCATTCATCAGGGAGATTTCCTAACTGGCAAAGAAATGAGCTGAGTTTATATGACTCTTGTGTCCTTCACAGTTCTATACAAAATGGTAGGAAATATTGTGTTTGCTTTGTTCATTTATTATTACCATTAGAATTGCATTAGCCACCAGTTATTAAGTACTTACTATAGGTTAGTTTATATATGAATGTATATCCTTTAATCCCCCCAAGCAGCCCTGCATGTTAGTGATATCTAATCTGGAAATATAGAAAAGAGGGAGATAATGGGGAGGAAGGATGCACATATTTGTCTCATTGCACCTTGGTCCTTGGCTCAGTATGGAAAGCTTCATAGTTATCTCATTTGATCTCTTTCCATTCTATCATTAATAACCATGTATTTTGATCCTATTTTTCAGATAAAGAAATTAAGGCCCACAGGGGTTAACAATTTGCTCAAATGCATGACCAGTGACTAGCGAGTGCAGAACCGAACACTGAATTCACGTCTCTCTGACTCAAAATTTGCACTTTCCACTCTCCATGCTCCTGCAGATGGGCAGCCATTGCTTCATGCAATACATCTCCTTTTCATCTGTAGAATGGGAAGAATCACTCTGTATTTTCTGCTTTTCTTTAAAATGGAGATTGTGCTTGAAAATCTCTCAAACATTGTATATTAGCTTTGTTATAAATACCACTTGGTTGGTGCCTTGAAATCCAGACCCATTCATTCAAGCTGCACAAAACACCACAGAGCCAAAAAGAAGCCTCACCTACTGAGACCTGTAAATATCTCTTTCAAATGGTAAACAGCTTGCTGGAATACTGCTTACTTCTGACTTGATGGCATGCAAACTGAGACAACTGTGCACTCCATTGTACAGTACTTTAAATGTATCTTGAAGTCTTAACACATAACAGTGTATTTAGGATGCATCTCATGTACAACTGTGCACGTGTGTGTGTTAAATAAGCAACTAGACACATTTTTCTCTTAGAGTCACTGGTAAAATATGGAGTCATAAGACTTAGTGCTAACACGGTGAAACCCCGTCTCTACTAAAAATACAAAAAATTAGCCGGGCGTGGTAGCGGGCGCCTGTAGTCCCAGCTACTCGGGAGGCTGAGGCAGGAGAATGGCGTGAACCTGGGAGGCGGAGCTTGCAGTGAGCCGAGATCGCGCCACTGCACTCCAGCCTGGGCGACAGAGCGAGACTCTGTCTCAAAAAAAAAAAAAAAAAAAAAAAAAAAAATGACTTAGTGCACCAGCAACAGGAGAAATCAAATTCTACCCATCAACACACAGAGAACAAACCATCAGGATATTCAGGAATTCTAGCGGCAATAGACTCTGCCTTTTTAGCTCCTTCTCCCTTCACACGTTGTATTAGTCCACTTTCACACTGCTGTAAAGACACTACCCAAGACTGGGTAATTTATAAAGAAAAGAAGTTTAATTGACTCACAGTTCTGCAAGGCTGGGAAAGCCCCAGGAAACTTACAGTCATGGCAGAAAGGGAAGCAGGCACATCTTTCATGGCAGCAAGTGAGAAAGAGTCAATGAGAGTGCAGGAAAAACCACCATTTAAAACCATCAGATCTCATGAGAATTCAGTCACTATAAGGAGAACAGCATGTGGGAAACTTTCCCCATAATTCAATCACCTCTCTCCCTTGATACCTGTGGATTACAGGTCCCTCTCTTGACACCTGGGGATTACACTTCAAGATGAGATTTGGGTGGGAACACAGAGGCAAACTACATCAAATGTGGAGCCGAAGCTGTTAATGCACTGGTTTTACCATCATGCCTTAGTCTGTTCTGCATTACTATACAGAAATACCTGAGACCCGGTAATTTATAAAGAAAAGAGGTTTATTCAGCTCTCAGTTTTGTAGGCTGTACAAGCATGGCACCAGCATCTTTTTCTGGTGGGGGCTTCAGGAAACTTCCAATCATGGAAGAGACAGCCATTGTAACACACTGCAAGAGAGGTGGAGCAAAAGAGGGGGAGCAAGAAAGATGCCAGTCTCTTTAAACAACCAGCTTTCACATGAACTAAGAGCGAGAACTCACTTATCACCAAGGGCATGGCACTAAGATATTCATGAAGGATCCACTCCTATGATGGAACATCTCCCTCTAGGCCCCACCTTCAATGTTGAGATTCAACATGAGATTTAGAGGAGACAAACATCCAAACTATATCACATCACCACTTGCTTCTTCTCATCTTTCCACAGGCAAAACCATTCACATATACAGGAAAGGAAAGTGTGTCCTATGACAGTGAGTTTCTTAACTCTTATTATTTAGCAAAAAAAAAAAATCCTTCCTTTTCAAGTAATATCTAATATGGGACCTTAGCACATAAAACAGAGAAAATAATATTTTGTTCTATATATGTATGAATTTACATTTTTATCAGTCACTTACTATAAATTCAACCCAATGATTAAGTTTTGATGAATACAAAAACTTGAAGTCAGGATTATGGATGACAAGAGTGTAGTCATATACATCTCAAGAGCTAATTCCTGTATTTTCTTTTGGATGCACAATATTGAGAAAACCCTAATCTAAAATGGATAAGGAGTATGTGTAGTTCTGAATTAAAATAAAATAAAATAAAATAAAATAAAAAGCATAAAAATGATGTTGAGCTACAATTATACTAATCACTGATTTAGCCATAGGAATTTCAAATGCTTTACAGAATACAGGGTGACAAGCTTTATACTGAAATCTTCCCCAAAACATGTTAGCCTAGCAATCCAACTTTACATGCAACTAGGTTCTCACGTATTATCATTTGGTACATAAAACATTTGAATTGTGTGTGGTGTGTGTGTGTGTGTACATGGGCATACATGTGTTTATTTCAGGTTGAAACAGAATAAAGTAAAAATTTCAAGAAGTGGGAATCCAATTGATGTGGAGCTTTCCAGTTAATGGTCTCCACTGAACCTTAAAATTCTGGACAATACAATATGAAAACACTGATTCTAAGGTATGGAGAGGCAGCCAAAATGGGTCTGAGCTTAGTGTTACCAAATGAGTTTCAATCTCAGTGGTCCACACTCGGAGCACCATGACACCATAGACCCTCAAGTGATCAAGAGATGTGAAGCAAATGCAATTTGTCTCTCAAGCAAGACAGGATAAATTGTACAAAGATGCATCCACCATGGGTCCTGATCATGCCACTTCTTTAAAACCATCAGTGTGGCCCCCCAATGCATGCATCAGCTTGTCTCAACTCTGAATCTTGCTACACAAGCATCTTCACAATCTGGCCCTGGCAATAGCTCATGCTGTGACCCCACTTATGTTTGCATCTCTTGTCCTCTGAATTTATCTTCTAATTTATCTTCATATACTTTCTTGTTTAAGCAACTTCAATGTCCTTTTCTCTAAATAAATTTTCCTAACCCATCCTTGCCATAAAATCTAGGCAGAAATATTGTTGGAGTAGTTTTCTTCATTTATTATTACAATTAATAAATTTGTGTTAGCCACATTTATTAAGTACCTACTACAGTCCAGCTTACATATAAATTTATGTACTTTTATTCTCCCAGGCAACCCTGCATGGTAGCAATATTTAATTTTCTTACATTCAGAGTGATTATATATAACCTATCCAGATGTCAGGCATGGACAAGGCAAAATTCAAACCCTTGTCTGCTGACTGCAAGTTCTGCCATATTTTCACCTACTATGTTGTTTTCTTTTTCTGAACTTATGTCTGCTAGATCTTAGTACATAGTTCTGGGACAGCTTTATCAAGTTGTATGGCAAGTAAGTATTCTCATGTTGCCTCCTTCATAAAATTCTGTGAACTTTTTGATGGTATAAATGGTGTTGAAACCAAACCTCTAGGTATGACCCATAGTTATACCTCAAAAAGTTGCTGAATTTAGTCTAAATGAATAGAACCATAAAACTGGTAGCTCAAAGCGATACTCTCATTTACTTACCTACCACCAGGCAAGAATTACAAAGAATCTATCCTAGATAAAAAATGTCCGTGCTTTCAATGATTATGACTGTGTTTTAGTCCTAGACTGTTTTGGGGTCAAGATGAGCATTTCTCAAAGTGAGGTATTACTCAGGGGATGAAATAGGGTTTCATGTCCACAAATATTTAGAAAATTCTGCATATCAAATCAATCCTATTGAAAATATTATCCTTAGCCTATTAAAGACTCTAAGAAGTAAAGAAAACCAATTAGCCCTGTTCAGCCTAGTATTTCTCAAATTTGTATGCATATCATAGAATTTTTTCAGATAAAACCCATTAGTAGTCCTTGTATCCAATGTTCTGCAGAACCCCTTTTGCAAAGATTAGGTCTGCTCTAATTTTTTATTGATTGACATTCTATCATGTTCTGAAAAGGCTTTACGGTGCTGAGTTGCACTTCAGTTTTCATCCATTTCATCTCCATGATCAGTAGGGAACTGAGAACCATTTATTTCCTTCCCTTATAAATAAGAGGACTAGTTTTCCCAAACCTTGGTTCATCAGCAGAAAGCTCTCAGGGTCATTTCACTTTCCACACACATTTAGGATTTGTGGTATCAGACTGATCTCAAGGGAAATAAAAGCTATAAAAGCCCCCTCCACGTTCAACAAACAAGGTCCATTTAGGAATGGAGGAGTAAACTCTGGCTTCTATGCCTCACTTGAGCACTGCCTCTGGGATGGGATTTTCCCACCAATGTTTGCCAAGTAAGATATAACATAGCATGTCATTCTTCTCCAGAATTCACATAAGCTCATAGGCTCTCACAAATTATTTAAGTGATTTTCCTGGAGGTCAAGGGAAATTTATACAAAATCATAAGTCATGGGACTTTCTACAAAGCCTTCTGTTACATGTGTGTAATACATTGTGATATGGTTTGGCTATGTCCCCACCCAAATCTCAACTTGAATTGTATCTCCCAGAATTCCCATGTGTTGTTGGAAGGACCCAGGGGGAGGTAGTTGATTCATGAGGGCCAGTCTTTCCCATGCTGTTCTTGTGGTAGTGAATAAGTCTCCGGCAGCTGCACCATCTAGGAAGTGAGGAGCGCCTCTGCCTGGTCGCCACACCATCTGGGAAGTTAGGAACGCCTCTGTCCAGCGGCCACACCATCTGGGAAGTGACAAGTGCCTCTGCCCAGCCACCCAACCGTCTGGGAAGTGAGGAGCGCCTCTGCCCGGTCACCGTGCAACCCTCCAGGTGGGAAGTGTCAGCCTTGTGTGTGATCTTTCTGCACTCCCTAAGTTTGCATTTTCCATTTTAAAGTTTACTTCTAAATTAAAAGTTTTAAATTTGGGAACATAATAATAATAATAATAGTAATAATAATAATGTCTCACAAGATCTGATGGGTTTATCGGGGTTTCCACTTTTGCTTCTTATTTTTCTCTTGCTACCACAATGTAAGAAGTGCCTTTCATCTCCTGCAATGATTCCTCCCCAACCATGTGGAACTGTAAGTCCAATTAAACCTCTTTTTGTTCCCAGATTTGGATGTGTCTTTATCAGCAGCGTGAAAACGAACTAATACACATTGATATATATGTCAATGCAGTGACTTCATCAGAGGACAGAGCGGATACCTTGAATTCCAAAACCTTGACTTCCTCTTTCTCTCCCACACCTCATGGTCAATCCTACGGCAAGTCCTGAGAGCTCAGTCTTTAAAATGTATTCATAAATAGACTGCTCTCACCAATCCATCACTGCCGCCTTTGTCAAGCCTCTATAGTCTCTTGATAACCACTGCAACAGCTTCCTAACTGGTCCTCCTGCTTCCACACTTGTTCTTCTGCATTCTATTGTCAATTCCTATGAGCAGATGATTTTTTCAAAACATAAGATAGACCACGTAACTCCGTTGCACCCAAGCACCAAACCTACCATGACTTCTGCCTCAGAGTAAAAGCCAATGTCATCACAATGGTCTACAAGGCTCTCTCTAGACTTATCTCTGACAACCCACCAGATTCCCCTGCCCAGCCAGCTTGGCCTTCTTGCTGGTTTCTGAGCATGCTAAGCATGTTTCAGCCACAAGAACCTTGCATTCACTACAGCTTCAGCCCGACCTGCTCATTCGCCACTAAGTGTGTGTATATTGCTTTTTTGCCTCTGTGAACGCCAAAAATTTGAGACAGATCTCAGTTAATTTAGAAAGTTTATTTTGCCAAGGTTGAGGATGCGAACCTGTGCAACAACCTCGGGAGGTCCTGATCACATGTGCCCAGTGTGGTCAGAGCACAGCTTGGTTTTATACATTTTAGGGAGACAGGAGACATTGATCGATATATGTAAAAATGAACATTGGTTGTCTGGATAGGTGGGAAAACTCGAAGCAGGGAGGGGGTTTCCAGGTCACAGGCAGGTGAAAGACAAATGGATGCATTCTTTTGAGTTTCTGATTAGCCTTTCCAAAGGAGGGAATCAGACATGCATTTATTTCAGTGAGCAGAGGGGTGACTTTCAATAGAATAGGAGGCAGGCTTGCCCTAAGCAGTTCCCAGCTCAAATTTTCCCTTCAGCTTAGTGATTTTGGGGGCCCAAGATATTTTCCTTTCACACCTCCTTCAATCAAGTCTTTGCTCAAATGTTACCCTCCTGACTATCAACTGCAACCTTACCCTCAGGAGCCCTCACCCTCCTCTGCTTTCTGTCTTTCTGAAACACTTATCACCTTCTAAGATACACTGTGATTTAGCTAATATTTTATTATATTTGTTTTCTGTTCCCTTTCCTTCCACATATACTAGAATGTGAGCATGATGAAGGCAGGAACATATGTTCATTTGATGCTTACCTAAATCTCCAGAACGACTTGATCGTAGATGATGAGAGCTAGACAAGAGCTTTGAGTGAGTAGACAGAAACTTAGAGTGAGTGGGCACTTTGGAGATTCCCAACCTGTTTATACAACTCTGGGGTTGGGCACAGGTAGTGATAAGGACTGGTGAGTTATTGTTAATATTTGACAATGTCAAATGCACTCCCCCATCTATCCATTGTGAGGCTACAGGACACCCTGAAGTGTCATACTTCTTTGCTTCTACTTGAAATTATCATAGCTCATTGTGTTAACCCTGATTATATAAGACTGATCAGAATCTCTGTCTACCAGTTACAAATGCCTTTGATTTTTAGACTTGGCGAAATGAATTAATTATCATGTAATATATGCAGATTGGTAGACGTTTTTGAAAACATGGATTCCATGGTTGGGGGAGGGGCAATAAATGAGGGCAAGCCATTGATCTCTTTCAATCCTTTGTGCAAGATGAGGACTTTGAGACTCTGGGAGATTAAGTGACTTTCTCAAGGTCACACAGCTAGTCACTGGCAGAACAAGGACTAGAACCTAGTCTTTGATTCCCAGCCCTTCGTTAGTACGATCAAAGACACAGTTTGCAGCAGAGGAGACATATACATGCTGTATATAACATTTGCATAACATATTACACTAAAGACGGCATCCCAACTGAGATTCTCAGCAGGAAAATAACAATTATTTAATCAGGGTTCTATTTAAACTTTTATTGTGAAGGTTAGGTTAAGATTCATCGGCTTGATTAAGGGTGCTGCCTACACATGAAAGTGTTTACTGAGCTCAGCTCCCTGGAGTGAAATTCAAACAAACTTGTGACATCCAAGGCACATTTTCGTGTCCTGAAAGCCATGAATATCTTTATTGCGAGCCAAATCTTCTTCTTAAAACAAACAAATGGGTATCCTTAAGGACAAACTATAAACAGAGTCTGCCAAGACACAGAGTCCTCTCTCTATGCCGACAGTGGCATTTCATAGCTAGTTTTAGTCTTTAAACCTAATGAATATGAATATACCTAGATACACAAAATGAAAAGCTTCTGTGTATTCAAGAGCATTATCATGTGCATTACACTATTTGATCCTTAGAATAATCCTGCAGGATTGGAAAAGCAGATATTATTATCTCTGTTTTAAACATAAGGGAGCTGAAAGCACTCAGGGAGTTCAAAGATCTGCCCAAGGTCTCCCAGCTTATTAGCAAAGGAAAACACTAGAATGGGAGGGGGCATTTATCCTCATGCACCACACTGACACTTACAGTACAGCTCTTAATTATTGACAAAGGAGTAGGGGAGGAACACTGCATAGTATTTCACTGTCCCTCTCCCATTGATAGCACCAATGACCTGAGACTTGAGCTTAAAACAGGAAATGGTTTCCATTTTACAGAGCAGGAAGGAACAGAGAAGATACCCTTCAGGATCATCCAGTACTGTGGAGGTGAGTTGGAAGTGTAAGGTGAGGCTGAGCTCCGTTCTGGCACTGCTGCCTTCTGTGCTTGCCTGGGGCATTGTGCTTGGTCGCTGATCTCTGCAGGCTTGGCTGGGAGCTGAGCTCCTACTGGGCATGTGGTCTTAGGCCAGTCACTCCTCACTCTGAACCTCTGCTTCCTCATGGGTAAAACAGGGCTTGCAATACTTACTTACCTGCTGGCATTTTTATGATGATCAAAGGAGATAAACCACCCTGGAAGCCTAGCTCTGGGTCTGGCAAGAAGTGGAAGCTCATAAATAAGGGCTCATTGACCTTTGTGGGTTCATCATCCATTTATCTGATGTGTATACAGGATTTCCTGCATCCCCATCCCTGGGTTAGGCGATATAGGAAGAAAGCAGAAACACAATCTCCTCACTGAAGTCTGGATACACAGATTGATGATTCAAGACTTAAAAATACCTGGCAAGGCTACCACTGTACTTTAAAGAATTGTAAAGAAAAGGTCATCATGTGATCAAAATATAAATAAGTAATGTTGCCATTCTCAGCAGTACAAGAAGAAAGTAGAGAAGTTATTTGGGGTCACTAGACCCTGACACCCCAACCTCTATCCCCAAATCACTGAGTCTGGCCCTGTAGATTAGTGAGAACAGGTTCCTATCTGCACCTCTTCCACCTGCCCTTTTGTTCCCAGTTCTTAGCAATGTCAAGGAAGGACTCTTTCAGCCATGCCTCATTGACCCAGCCCTGATCTAGTCTTCAAGCCTAGGTCCCCGGAACTCCTCTGCAAAGCTCCTCTGCCATTCAGTGTTCAGGCCTCCTCTGCTCCCGGCCCCAGCTCCAACACATGCTTCTGTCTCACTGGCTTTCACTTGTCCTCTCTCCTCTCTGGGAACTGGAGTTTCTTTAAACAGACAAGCAATTACTGGCATGTTATCCACACTCGACTGTGTGTTGGTACAACACCCGCTGATGTACAGTAGCAGGCAGCTTGATAATGGGACGTATTTAAGCTGATTGCCACTGGAGATAAGTGATCCCTCTGAAAGAATGCACTTTTGTTAAACTTCTGAAGGCAGAGAGGATAAGTAAAGTTTTATTATATTTTCTGTTTAAAAAAAAAATAGCAGCCTTTTTGAGAATGGCTACACCTCCCCCGAGATTCTCATTTCAGATTAGGCTATCAGGTATATAGTGCAATTGGAAGCTTCAGCTTCCACTGGAGCCTCTGTTTGATAGTCAGGCCTTCCATAAGATCCTCCCTGAATGGCTGACACTCCCCCCTTGCTAGCTGGCTGGCTCTGTGTCCTTAAGGACAGCTATATTAAACTCAGGCCTCTCTCTCCTCTTAACTCCTCCCCTTTCCCTTCTCTCTTTCTCTTCCTATTTTCTTCTTCACATCCTCTCTCTTTTCTCTCTCACATTTTTCTCCAGCCTGTGTCCCCCTTCTCCCCTCGTCTCTTCTCATCTCTCCGCTTCTTCTGCTGTCTTTCCATTTCGCACAGTCTTTCTGACTCTCTATGCCTGTCTTACCTCCGTCTCTCTCCTCCCCCATCCTGGTGCAATTGCTTCTCTGAATCCCCTGGGAAAGCTAGCCTTGGGGAAGCTGTTAGGGTGCTAGGACTGTAAGCATTGTTTTTGCAGAGCAAGAAAACATGGCAAAATCACATAGGTTGCATGATTTGCTCACCAAGAGCTAAATCTGAGGAGGAAGGCAGGCGGTGCAGGGCAGAGAAGAGCTCAGTAGGTTGCTGGAAGTTGGACTAGGAGGATAAAACGGGGATTTAGGGAGAAGACAGCTGAGTCAGGGAGAAGCAAAAGGGAGCTAGAAAACAAAATGGAGATGTTGGCTACAATTGCCTGACATAGGAGCAATAAGGAGAAAAAATTTCATTAGTCACACATGGAGCTGCTCTCCAGCCAGTCACCACTGCACTGTTTGGATACAAAGGTACCAAGGAGAAAGCAAAGCGCCAATCAATCTCTTAAAGGGGCCACTTGCTGGCATCTAATATCCAGATAAGTGGCAGTGGGAGACAGGTGATGACCGCTTTACTGTGGATTCTTTAGTCGGTGAGTGGAGAGGAGCATCTTTATAAACACATTACACCTCATGGGGAGTAGGGAGAAATTCAATTAGGTTTGAATGAGAAAGGTAACTTGAATATCAATTAATTGTCTAATTGAAGATAATGGAGACCTGGGGGCACCCTGCCAGATTGATTCCCATACCCAAATCCAGAGATTTTCTCAGGGATTAAAGACCCAACTTCATTACACATTTCTATTAGATTAGATGCTGATTGCATTCGGCACTCTGAGTTAATTACATAGTTAATTACACAGCCAATAACTCCCCTTTCCTAATAACCCTGCTGGATGTGGGCTGGTGCTGCCCAAGGGGGATCCTGCACCTTTAATGGGAGTCCTGGGAGCCCAAGGTGGAGGGAGCCGCCTTCAGCGAGGGGACATGTGAATACTAATAGGGAATTATTCTAATTGTCTCTTGTTCTTGATGAATAGTCAATTATTCTAATAACATTTACCATTGTATTCATTCATTATCCAAGGGTAATTAGGAATGAAGGGCTTGTGGGGCCTCTCCTGTGGCACAAACAAGGCTGCACTAACTGGGATTGTCTTCATTTCCCACCTCAGGCGCCTCCAGGACAGCCTCCCCTTCTCCTTGCTTTCCTCCACCCACCTGGGACAGAACTTTGCACTTGCCGAAGTACTTTCCCATGGCGTATCTTCTTTGATTGTAAACTGAGCTATGAAGTAGGTCTCAGTTTTCCTATTTTATTATCTAGAAGGCAGAAGGGGCCTTTGACTGGGAGGAAGGGCATCCAGTAATTTGTCCAAGGACACAGGGCAGGCAGAGGTGGTGTTGCTCACTGGGGTCTGGGTTTCGCCGCAAAACTCCTTCTTGTCTTGTGCACTTCAGGGCCTCTCAACTCAAAATTCTTCTTTCTAGTATGTCTTTATCAATTTGGGCTGCTGTAGCAGAGTATGTAGACTGGGTGGATTATAAACAACAGAAATTTTTTTCTCACAGTTATAGAGCCTACTAGAATTCCAAGGTCAAGGTGCTTGGCAGATTTGGTGTCTGATTAGGGACCACTTTCTGCTTCACAGAAGGCTATTTTTCATTAGTTCTGCATATGGTGGAAGGGACATGAGGTCTCTCTTGATTTATAAGATTGCTAATCCCATTTGTGAGGACTGTACCCTCATGACCTAATTACCTCCCATAGGCCTCATTTCCTAATATTGATGATTAGATACGAATTTTGAGAGGACACAGATGTTCAATGTATAGCAGATTTTAATTCAAGGTTGAGTGCATTTGAGTTTTAGGTACAGATAAAACAGAATTCAACACATCCAGTTGGCTGCCTGATGGCACAACTACCAAGACTGAAATATTCATTATTCTCAAGATTTCTAGACACCATCTTTCAGCTGGTTCACACAGGGACATGGAAGAGCATGCATGGAAGGGGCAGTCTCCTTTCCACCTGCCTACCTGCACTCACTCACTTAGGCCACAAATAGCAGCAACCCCAGTGAAACTGACAACATAGGGTGTTTCATCTGCCATGACCACTTTGTGTTAGAGAGGGAATTATATGAGAAAGTCTGTCATCAGGCCAAAGAGAAAGGAGAGGAAAAGCCGGCCCCACAGCCTTCCAAAGGTTTCCTGTAGCTAGTGAACATCAGCAGATGCCTAGTGAGGCAGGCCAAACCAACCCAGATGAAATGGTAAACAAAAGCATATTGATGATAAACCAATCAACCAACCAACAAACAAAAAAGCAGCTATGGTTTCCAAACACTTCATTCCCCTCCACTCAACACATTTTTTTTAATACGTTATACTTTTGCTCATGCCATTTCCTCTACCTCTGCCTCACTATTAAAGTAGCTCTTATGAAATCATGTCTTTTGCTGCAACGTGGATGGAATTGGAGGAGATTATGTTAAGTGAAATAACTTAGAAACAAAGTTAAATACTGCAT
This sequence comes from Homo sapiens, assembly GCF_000001405.40. Lineage (NCBI taxonomy): Eukaryota > Metazoa > Chordata > Mammalia > Primates > Hominidae > Homo > Homo sapiens. The sequence goes on along the minus strand of NC_000008.11, from coordinate 20,797,844 downwards.
GTTCTCACAAGTGGAAGGTAAATAATGTGCATACATGGACATAGAGTGTGGAATAATAGACATTGGAGGCTCAGAAGGGTGAGCAGGTGGGAAGAGGTTGAGGGATGAGAAATTGCTTAATTGGTACAATGTACACTATTTGAGTGACTGTCACAGTAAAAGCCCAGACTTCACCACTAAGCAATATATCCATGAAAAAACCTGCACTTGTACCCCTTAAGTTTATATCAATAAAATCAATCAATAAATTAAATAAGTATAAAAAGATATCTCTCATTAAAAGCTCTTCTCTGAAAACTGTTCTGATGCTGCTGTTCTTCTTTCTTCTACCTCTCTCCCTTACGTAGGGTCCTGTCTCATGTAGCACACTGTAGTGTGATGTCTGCTGACATGCCCACTACCCCATACAGAGGGAAATATTTGAGCCTGTCAGCTATTTCTTCTCCATCTGTGTCCAGCATGGCCTCAGCATATGGAAGATACTCAGGATGGAACTTTCTGCTTTGCTGTAGCTATTTGGAAAATTGGATATTCAATCACACAGCAGGCTTGACCAGCCTGGATTTTCCTCACTGAAGTTTTGACGACACTGTTACGGCCAGCACAGCCACTCCTGGATGCGACTCTAGAAAGGATTTTGATGGCCAACAACCTTTCATAGCTCTGCAGTCTTTGGGCATCAATCACCAGGGGAGTCTTGGCAAGGAGATGGTTGAAATGGGGAAAAGGGGCTGTCCTGTGTGAGGTGTTCTATCTCCACTCCCATCTCCCCATCGCGGCTCTCCACCTCCCTCCTGAACACTCCCAAGGCTTTCCAGCTTCCTGATGCTGTATACTCCCTGGGTACCCAAGCCTTTCATCTGTGTCCTCTCACCCTTTCTCCCAGTGAACCCCATCCACGGAGTAGGTCCTGATACTGAGGATTCTGTCCTCAAGCTTTTCTACCAAAACTAACCTCCTCAATGCCCTATATGGCAAAGGATCCTGTTTCTGTTACAGAGGGTCTAGCTGTCTCAATGAAGATTTAGCATTAATAGTTAACAAAACCTCAGAATGCTCAATGCATTCTTTACACTGAACAAAAGCTCCTTCAAACTCCTTAACTCCCTGGCTTTCACCTGAGGGTGGTACCACCCCTATGCTTCATATAGAAATGGTTCAGGAGTTCTGCATTGTCACAATGACTGGGTGAGTCGCTATCATTTAATGGGCTAAGAGCAAGGACGTTCAATGTTTTGCATTGCAGAGGGTAGTCCTGCACAGTGAATTGTCCCACCCAAACTGCCAATAGCACTTGTTTAGAGATACTGCAGTGAAAGTTGGGGTGAAAAGTACCAACTGCAGCAGAGTCCTGAGATAAAGAGGGGAGGTGCTTATTTTGGGGAACAAAGAGCCTCCTGAGAAGTGGCTGCTTATCCTTCATGTACCCAAACCTGCCTCACAGCCTTCTGTAGTCTCCCCTGACCCTGCCCTCCTCTATTCCGGGGCACTGGTCCTGAGTAATGCCAGGTGTAGGTCTGAAGATTGGTAGGACCAATCTCCACTGGTGCGTGGTCTCTCCAGCTAAGGACAGAATTGGGAAAAGAGACTAAATAAGCACATGTTCCTTCTCACCTAACTCTGTTCGTGGCCTGAGCAAGGCTCCCACAGAGAGGGCAGTCTCATGTCAGGGTAACAGGGTGGGCGATTGCAGTTGCTAGATGTAGCCCAAGGGTCCCCTTCAGACCAGTCATGGATGTTTTAATGGCTCACTTGACCAATGGGGGCACACAGCAGCTGTACGTGGACTCCTCCCCAGGGAGCCCTCAGTCATTTTGAAAAAAAAATTACATCTGGAGAGGTTTTACTTTCCAAGGGAAGGCAGAGAGAGCAACTCCTTAACCGACATTTCAAGTATGCATGCTAAAGCTATCAGTCTGGAGGGAGGTAGCTGGCCCCACGCCTCTTCTGCCCCAGGGGCCTTTCCAGATGGGTGGTGTGTGGGCTCAAACCCACTCCTCTACAGGTGATGGATAAGACAGCAGAACAGAAGACATAGTACTCAGGGTCCTTGGTTTCAAGCAACTGAAAATCACACTAGCCAAGAAAGGAATTTATCTACAAAGTATTGGGTGCTTAAGCAATTTGTCAAAATGCAATGAAGACCAGGTTCAGAAAATAGTATAGAACAAAGAAAAACTGGGAAGCCATAGCCCAAATCAGACCACACCATAGCCAAAATCAGACCTCCACTGCCACGGCCACCCAGCGAGGCTGCAGGCCGCTCTGCCACACTGGACACTGGGTATACCACAGTCTCCACCATCATCCCAGTCCCTACAGAGACCTCACATTGTTGCTATCACCACTTCCAAGGCAGCCTCCCTCTGGCCCTTGCTTGTTTGTGCGGCAGCTCGCAAGTTGGATGGATGCATGTGATTGGCCAAGCACGGGTCAAATCCCTGCACTGTATTTCAAGGGAGGCTGGAAATGTGTCTGGCCTTTTTAGCTTCTGTAATAGAAGCAGATTCTGCCTTCTATGGCAGTACCTATGATACGAGGTACCCCAAACATTAGAAAGATATTCAGATGCTAGGCTGCCAAAAATAGGCAAATATTTACTGCCCCCAAAAACCCATAATGGAAGTGGCTACAGAGATGGTTATTACAAGAAATGCATCCAGACCAGTCAAGAAGTAAAGTCACTGGTATCGATGATGAAGACAGGAAAATATGGACACAAGATAAAATACTAAATTCTGGGCCCTCAGGCTGAGACAATTGAGCAAATTAAGATTTTCTTATCCTCCCCTGACAGATTCCAAGAGGACTTAAATTAACTAAAATCACTTGCCTACAGTGACATTGCCAATTAGGAAGAAGCAGAGACTAGAATCTACCACCCACCACCATGCCCCCAGCACAGTTCACCAGGTGCCCTGACAGCTTTGTCAGTAAACATTGCCCAGTACTGCGAGACACAAGCCCTGAGCATCCACACTGAGAGTGTACAGACTTCTCCCTGAGTGTGCTGCTATCATCCAAGGTTCAGTCTACAAGAGGATTGAGCAGTTTCATCCATGCTGCTTTTTTTTTTTTTTTCATCACTCTGTCACCAAGGTTGTAGTGCGGCAGTGTGATCTCAGCTTAATGCAGCCTCGACCTCCCTGGCTCAGTGTAATCCTCTCACCTCAGCCTCCTGAGTAGCTGGGATGACAGGGACGTGCCACCATGCCCAGCTTAGGCTGGTTTTGGCAAGAGAATAATGAGCCAGTATAATGCACATGGATGTGCTGAATTGAATTACTGTTCCCAGTTCTTTACCTTTCTGTGTATCCATACCTTTCCCACGGCCTCATCTTGAGACTTGCATATTTCTACTTGCATATTTCTACTTATATCTCTTGTGCCCCAGCTGTCACCATGAGAACACGCCCCACCTAGCAAACTAGCTCAAGCAGACTAACAGACAGGTGGAGCACAGCTTTTCCAGCAGAACCCAGCCAGATCAGCCAACCACCGGCCAAACTGCAGTTGGGCAACCAAAAATAAGCCATTACTCTTTTAAGCCACTGAGTTTTATGACTGGTTGATCATGGATTAATTACTGACCAGTACAATAAACCTTAGATTCTTTTTTTGTTTTTGTTTTTGTTTGAGACGGAGTCTCGCTGTCTCGCCCAGACTGGAGTGCAATGGTGCGATCTCGGCTCACTGCAACCTCCACCTCCTGGATTCAAGCGATTCTCCTGCCTTAGCCTCCCAAGTAGCTGGGATTACAGGTGCCTGCTGCCACGCCCGGCTATTTTTTGTATTTTTAATAGAGACGGGGTTCCACCATGTTCCCCAGGCTGGTCTCAAACTCCAGAGCTCAGGCAATCCACCTGCGTCGGCCTCCCAAAGTGCTAGGATTACAAGCGTGAGCCACCTCGCCTGGCTGATAAACCTTAGATTCTTTTTTAAACACTTGACTTATTGTTTAGAATCCAGCAGCCTGGAAATCAACCCTATCCCAACACAAGCACACATACACACACGTACATGCACACACTTTTGTTCACACCCATGTGTACACACATGCACGCAAAGCACAGCCAGGAGAAACCTTGAGTTTGCAGTTCCTATTCTACCTAGAGCTGGAGGAGCTCCTATGACATACCAAAACCACTCTGTAGTTGGCTTCCTACCTTTCTCTCTCTACTTCCAACCCTCTTACCATCTCTCTTGCACATTTCATTGACTGTAGGTCCAGGGCCGGGAAGCACTCTACTCTCAGCCATAGAAAGAAGGTGAGGAGAACAGCAGGTGTCTAAAATCATAATGTGACCGAAGATCTCCTGTCACCTATATGTCAACAGCCAAAGATTTGGTCACTGAGGTTGGGTGGCTGCTAGAAAATGCCAAGTGCTTCTCAGTATTCCTAGAGGTTTCTAGATAAGTGGGTCCTGAGGGGTCGAGGCAGACATCAACATGGACATGCCACAGAGATTGACACCGCATCGTGGGGAGGAGGCCCAGAGTGTGGGAGAGGGGAGGGAGCCAACCAGAAGACAGGCCCATGTTGGTGAAGATAGTGAGGAGACAAATGAACAAAGCAGTGTGGCATCTCAGCGGCGCATGCACTCCTGGTCTTGAGCTGAGTGAGGCGTCCGGCAGATGCATTTTAATGTCACTTAGAACTAACCTACAGCTCACATGTCTGTTAGATATGGGCTTGAAACGAACTCCATAAACACTGCAACAGCCCACCACCACCATGTCTATAGCCATGCCTCCTATTGAAACCTTTCTTTTGTTTCATCTTCCCCTGCTAACAGCCTGAGTCACAGGTGGGTAGGAACCTCATGCCAGGCTCTGTGGATCCTGGAGAGCCGGGAGGCTGAGAGAGGATGAAGAATCTCATAGTGATCAGAGCACCTAATAGCTGAACCCACCCCAAATCTCTGGGAGCTCTGAACCATGAAGGGAACATGAGGAACATATTCCAAGGAAACACTTTATCACTGAGAGACAACATATTGATCACAGATTCCAGGCAGCTGATTTCTCAATTTGGGATGCAGTGGACGTGTTAATAAATTCCTTTCCTGCTGGGAAGATAGAGATCCCAGGTTTCTGAAAGCTGGCTGCAGAGGGAAGGCAGCCGACAGATTTCCGCCAGAGGATGGGGAAGGAGTGGCTGGGCTCAGGCTGACCCTGGGACTCTGATCTGGTGTTTGAAAGAACTTTTGCCAGAGGAAACTTCCCTACTTGACTCTAAGCTTCTGCTAATTAGCAGGCATTTTGTACCTTACCATTGCTTTTCCATACATTATTTATTCCAACTAAATGCTCTAAACATTGTGAGGTCCTTCCTCACTTGCTAAACATTTCAGACCATGGGGTTAATATGGGATGTGACACCGAAAAGCAGAAATGAAAATGAGGGATCACTAAAGGATGGGGCTGAGAGGTGGTGACTCCCAGCTGCTCCTACTTTTTCTCTCTAGGAGGAAACGCTTTCTATGGGTCCTGCGCAGGAGAAATTTAAGAAGTACACATGCCATTTATGAAATCATGGCTGCAGCCTGGAGGAGAGACACTGATGGCAGAGGCTAAGGAGATGGGAGGCCAGCACTCAGTCAACACAACCACCTCCCTCTACACCATGGGATGGGGTGGACCTAGGCCTGAGACATCCAAGTCCTGAGTCTGAGACTTGCTCCTGCCAGAACTGTCTGTGTGATCTTGGACAAGTTCCTTGATAGTTTAAAGCCTCGGTTTCCTCATGCATGAATGGGATCTGAGGACTGACTGACACTGGCCTTTAAAAGGCTCATCCAAGGACTCTAAAGCCCAGAGAGGTAAAGTGATTTGCCCAATGGTGAACAGCCAGTGGGATTATATCTCAGGCCTGCCTTTAAAAAAAGCCAGTTTCATTTTACTTTCACCAGACCACTTCTTCTGATTTGGGTGATTAGAGCTGTTAGGTCCAAACGCTCCTTCTGAAAAAAAGCATTTGTTTAGGAGTCAAACACGCCTTGGCTCAAATCCTAGCTCTGACATTTATCAGCTGTGTCACCTTGGACAATAGACTTAACCTCTCCATGCCTCTCCTTTCTCATTAGCAAAATGGGGCTATCAAACCTGATCTCAAAAAGTCATATAATAGGAGATAATGCATGAACTCAACACAGTAACTGAGATCTAAGATAATTACCAAGCAATACTCTGAGTATTTTACATCAATTATTTCATATGATCCTAACAATCTCTTATGGTAGGAACTGTCACTATCCTCATTTTTACAGACAAGAAACCTGAAGAAGCATGGAGTAGTTAGGTAGCTAGGTAGGTAGGTAGCTCACCTAAGGTCACACAGCTGGTAGTTGGAAATGGCAAAATTTCAACTCAGGCTGTCTGAGGAAACACCTCGCATTGGTATGCTCTCTTGTACTGACTATATCCAGGCAGTCATGATTATCCTAGGAAGAGGCGAACCTGGGAGTAAGCATCCTAAATAATTCTCCCTGCTGCTTTTTGCTTCTTCTCTTTTCATCTTATCTTTGGGTTGAATCCTTATCATCGTCAATGAGAAGAGTTAGAATTAGAACAAAGACAATCCCTAAGGCCAAACAGTATAATTAAGTTATCAAAGACCTTGGGTTTGGTCATAACTCAACAGGCTTCAGCTGGAACTGTCCTTTGGGAGTAATTTACACCATTGAGGAAGGAAAAAAAGCTGTGAATGAGTGATCTGGCAGTTAGAGAAATTAACCTAATATGTGGGTCTGAGCTACCCTGTGGCATCTGGGGCAGCTGAATCATTCAATGCCGGGTGTCCAAAGGTCATCAAACCAAGCATGCAATTTGGCAACGCAAGTTTAGAAGCCCAGCAGGTGATGGCATCCTTGGTCTAGGCCTGGGATGCCAATAACAGTAACTCCTGTTGTCATTCTAACTCCCTGTCTTACAGGAGACCTTGCTAGATGATCACAGCGCCATTTTCTACTGGGTCTAGATATGGCCTCAATATTGTTCCCACCTACCTGGATCTGGCCCTTGAGGAGAATCACATCGGTTACCTTTGTCCTGAATGTTTGCGAGGAGCAGAAGCAGAACCTGATTGCAAGAGTATAGCTTGACAATGAGCTCAAACAAGGCTGGAAACTCTAGGGCAGAGCTTCCACTCTCCTAGGGAACTAGAAAGAAGACCAGGATAGGTTTGAGGACAAGATGCTAGGGAGAAATAATATGAAGGAGGCAACTTAGACAAACAGGGCTGAGACTCACCTAATCCATACTGATGTGCTTAGATAGAAAGACCTACCTTCAAATACCTTCCAGAGGGCTGGGCTAACATCCCTGATGTACACTTGCACCTGTCCTGGAGAAGCCTCATCTGGCAGCTGGAGGTATCAGCCAACCTCACAATGAGTATCTAGGGTAGACAAGGTGGAGAAGGTGCACCATGAGCTGATGTTGGTACCATGGAGACGTAACCATGCCCAGAGGTCTAAGCCTATTCCCAGGTCAGCCACAGAACCAACTCTCTGGCAATAGGAGACTGGAGGGCTCAGCCTAGTTGTCGGCATGCCTCGCTGTGGGGATATCCGACAGTTACAGCAGAACTAACTGAGGTGGCTCTGAAATTTGGGGCAGCCTTTGCCATACAGAAGCGACAAGTGAAGTTCTTTCTAAGCCAGTGGAAGCCAGTCAGTGATTCAGAACATGGATTCAGTTTGATCCTGGTACCTGGTAACTTGAGTAAATTACTTACGCTCTCTAAGCCTCACTTTTGTCATTTATAGAAATAAACGATTCTAAAAAACTTGTCTTAGGGTGGTTGTGAACCTTACAGAAGATAATTACACTAAAGGCTTAACAGTACACATAGTGTTTAAGCATTTCCATCAGTGAAGACTGTACAGAGAAGAAGGTAGTGGAGATGACAGATGCGCGTGTGTATGGAGCATTTACTATATACCCACAGATCCTAGAGAGACAGGGTCACCACAGTCCGCAAGGGGGCCACATGGAAACAGCGCCAACGGAGTGTACTTAATAGAGCCTGCGGGGATTCAGGAAGGAGGGAGGACCTGCAGGCAAGTGCCTTTATTGAGGGTCACGTTGGAGAACACAGCAAAAGGTGCAAGGGAATTTCATTGGTGCATATGAATGTCACTAGGTCACAGTCAGGGGTGTGAAGGAAGGACTTGTGGCAGTGGTCAGCACCCTGGTGCAGCTGGCCACCCGGGCACGGTGCTCACAGCCAGCTAATGGAGATATTAAGGCAGCAGGAAAATATGAAGTTCTGAAATTTACAAAACAACATTATTCAAATATCTTACATGTGTTACACATTTAATCCTTACAATAACAATGAGAGGTTGATTGCACTGATGACCATTGTTGATGGACTCCCTCCATCATTATATTTTGTAACATGGTTTTCTGTCCTAAAAAAGATGGAGTCTGTTTCTCTACCCTTTGAACCTGACCTAAACTTATAACTTGTTTTCACCAGAATAAAGAGGTAGAGCTGATGGGTGAATTCCAAATCATTCATGTATTCTGTCTTTTGGAATCCTGCCACTGCTGTGTAAACAAGCTGAGACCATATGGAACAAGCCTTGAGCCCAGTTGTTCTAGCTGACACCACTAGACAAGCCTATAGCCAGTTAACCTGCAAGCATGTGAGAGGGGCTCAGACAAGATCAGCAGAGCCACCTCCCTGACCACAGATGCGTAAATGAGACCAGAAGATTGACCCAGCTGACCTGGAAAGTTATAAGAAATAATAAAGATGTATGTTTCAAGCTATGAAGCATTGAGACCGTTTGTTATACAGCAATCACAAGTGATACAATAAGTTTATGAAGTTGAGCAAAAGAAGGTTAAGCAACTTACACAAATCACCCAGTTAGTAACTGTTGCAACTAGGGCACAAACTCAGGCTACTTAGCTCCAGAACCTGCCCTCTGAATCAGTGTGCTACAGCAATCCCTTAGAGATGACAGTTTCCTCCCCTGCTGTAGAAATACATGAACGATCCCCTCATTTCTAAAACATTGTTTAAGCAAAGATGCAACCACTTCTCAGAAGATTTCCCATTCTGAGGCAGTCAGATGGGAGTTTGGGGTAACTTATCAGTCCTTGCTGTGATCACGCAGTCCAGTCAACAGATGGTCAAGGTCTCAGCCCGGCTGGATATTAAGCACTTTATATTTACTAGTGAATATTTACTACTTTATATTTGCTGCTTTAATTTACCACTTTATATTTTCTATATTTAGAAATAGAGTTGTACTGTCTTACACTGGATGGTTGAAGCATTGCATTAATCGAGATAATCTAGGCCTGCCCATGGCAATAAACACTTAAATCTCAGCGTCTTGATCCAACAAAGGTTTATTTCCGCTTGATATCACATGTTGATGCAAACCAGGTGGCCATGCCTGATAATCTCTGAGAAAGAGCAAGAAGACTTCTGTAGGAGACAGGGCTCGGAGTGCCTTACATCCATTTTTCCACATCCCATTGGCCAGAAAGTAGACCCAATCTAACTTCAAGGCAGGCTGGAAAATGTAGTCTTCTCGTGTGCCCAGGAAGGGAAAATGGCATACCACCTATGGCATTGTCTCTGCCAAAGAGATCCTAGGCATCAGCTTTGCAGATGCTCAGGACCTCTGGAGCTCCTCTGTCTGCCTGGGTCTCTGCTGCCCAGTGGAAATGCTGCTGTCCCAGCAGGCAGCTGGGCCTACACTTCTGGCTTAGCTCCTGCCAGTTGTCCCTGAAGCAGACCCACTTAGAGTCTGACTTTGCTGAGCTTCCAGGTCACAGGTCAGACTTATATTAGCACTCCAGTTGCCTTAATTTCTAAACTGTCTCCCACACTCATCCCATTTCTTTGTTATGGGTGTTCTTTCAATATTGAGGCTTCCCAGGAAATTGACTTGATGAGGTCATAGGTCCCCCCTTCCCCATCTTTAAATGCCTAAACAGACACACAAAATATTTCACTGTATTTCTGAGGGCTCACGGCTCAGCAGAGAGCCACTGGGTAATGATGGTCTGCATGAGAGAACATCACCTAGCCCACCTGCCTCATCTTGTGGGTGAAGCCCATACTACTTAAGAAATTTGCTCAAAAGCAGAATGCTTTTGCTCTTGGCAGGAGTAATGAGGACATCCATGCTAGGATTGAAAGACAGGGTTTGCGGGCGGAGGAGTCCAAAACATTGGGCCTTTGCCCGACTCCCACTACCCCCTGTATCATCAAGCACACCATGTGTAGAACAGGCCTATAGAAAGTGGTTCTGTATGACCCTGGTGAGTGTTTAGTAATTCAAATATGCATGGGGATTACTGACCCTCTTTCCTTCTCTTTTTTTGAGGCCTGCTAATGATATTTCATTCTTGAAGTTGTCCTGAGAGTGTGAGCTGATTGCTGCTCCCTAGAGGGAAGTGGGAAGAGGGGACGTGCAGCTGCCCCTGGAGGATGGGGAGTGGGTGGGACTACAGAGGACCCCTTAACCAAGAAGATGAGGTATTCAGTGGGGAACAATGGAGAATAACTAGGATGAGGAGGAGGTGACAGGCCTGTTTCCAAGGAGATGCCTCACTGCTATCTTCCCTACACACCCATTGTCCATCATCCAGCCTCTCTCTAGAGACACCAGGCCTTCCACCCCAAGGTCACTGAATGCTATTCAAAGCCAGGACCCCTTCTCCCTCTCTGGTCTCACTGATGGACATCTGGCCCCAATCAAGGTCAACAGTGAACCTCCCTCAACCAAGGTGGGGAAAGGAGGGCTTCACACACAGCTCAGGATCATTTTTTTCTTGGGGAGAATTAAGCTAAAATGAATAGTAAACACAAAGGGACAGGAAGTGAAGAAGAAAGGGGAGTGGGAGGACAGGAGGAGACCAAGGACAGATGATGTTTTGCTTTAGTGGTAATGGTGATATCCTCAAGGGGAAAGGCAATTGGATTAAGCCTCCTGAGCTTGTGAATGGGCCTTTTAAAAGCCAATCTCATTCAGTCCTCAGATCTGTTACACTCGTGAGGAAACCGAGGCTTTAAACTATCAAGGAACTTGTCCAAGATCACATAGACACTTCTGGTAGGAGCAAGTCTCAGACTCAGGACTTGCAAGTCTCAGTCCCAGGTCCATTCCATCCCATGGTGTAGAGGGAGGTGGTTGCGTTGACTGGGTGCTGGGTGTGAGTATGAGTTTGTGTTTAAGGAATCAGCTTGCAGCAGTACAGAACCTTCCCCCAACCACATCAGGAAGCCCAGTCATCTTCCCCCTAGTCTGACTCTGCTTCTTTCCAAACAAAAATGTGTCATCACTGGACTTTTTTTTTTTTGTCCTGTGATGACAATGTTTTGTGTCGCTGTGCACATGGTTGTGTGTGTAGCATCTGGGATGATGGTGGCAGTTGGCTCAAGGCCCAGTGTCAAGGATAGATGAGAGGTAGGGGAAAAGATAAAGAGAAAAATTACTGATGCTTCTCCTTCTATCCTGACTCAAAAAGACTGCAGAAATGTCAGGATCGAAATGTCCTGAGAAACAAGGTGGAATCTGTAAGGACTTAATTACAGTTGCTCTCATCACTGCAGCCTGAAAGACCTAACAGTTTCCTCCGGAGCCTGGACTGTTCACTGATGATGGAGAAAGACCAGAGAGAGAGATCGGCAATGGCATCCCTGTGTGCTCTTGCCAGAGCCAAGAGCCTGTGCCAGCCTACTCTATTATTTATCATCTAGAGAGCTTTTCAGGAACGTCAAGGGCTTCATTATCTTCTGATTAGCCTCAAGCTCTGGCAACTCCAGGAGTGAGGTCAGTTCCATTTCAGGGATGAGATAAACAAAGGCACAGACTGAATGACTTGGAAAACATTGGCTCGAAGGTTGCACTATTTTAAAACATTTTTTGAGTACCAGCTATACACCACGGTCCAAACAACAGTCCCAAATGTCCTTTATGACATGCGTTGGTCTTGGAGTGTACTGGGCAGTGTGGTGTGTTGACTAACAACCCCTAGATCTCAGTAGCTTCAAATGGCAAAGGTTTATTTATTTGTTTACTTACTTTGTTGCTTTATTTGCCCACTGCAGGTTGTCTGAGAGTTGTGCACCCCAATAGTCTCATTTTAGGACCCAGATATTGCACTATTTGAAATGTTGCTGGCCACTGTGGTGGAGAGAGAGCTTGGGAAATTGCATGTTGGCTGTTAACCTTTCAACCTAGAATTTTCACAGGTCACTTAGCTCACATGCCATTGGCCGTACCTAACTCCAAAAAGCCAGGCAGGTGCAGTCCTATAACACACCCAGAGGAAGAATCAGATGTGTCTGTGACTAGTACTGATAACTATCAAAAGAGGGCATATTTCTGGGCTACAGAATCATAGAATATTAGAGATGAAAGAAGCTAAGAGATCATTCAATTAATCTGCCTTCATTTATTGAAGACCAAGGTTCAGAAAGGATATAATTTACTCAAAATTGCAGTAATCTATGTTATAGCTCCCTTGCTCAAAATGCTTCAATGTTCTCCATCACTCTTGGGACAAGGAACATATAACCCACGATCACCCAACAGGGTTGGCCCCTGCCTGCCCCTCCAGCCTCACCCCTTCCTATTCACCTTCTTGCTCTCTAACCTGGGCACAACGGCCTTCTTTTGATTCCTCATATGTACATCATCCTCCTACCTCAGGAACTTGGTTCTTCCCATTCCTTCTTCATAGTTCTCATCCCCTGTCCCTTCCCCTGGCAGATTCTTATCTCTCCCTTCTCATCTCACACCAAATGTCACCACCTCAGGGAAGCCTTTTCAAATTCCCAGACCGAATCAGGCTCTCTCACAGGCATTTGTACTTCTCCTCTATGGATCTTATCGGGGTTTATATTTGTATATTTGGATGTGATAGGAAAGTCTTCCTTCTCCTCTAGCTAGTATGTAATCTGCATGGATGCAGGGATGGGGTCATGTCTGTAGGTTCACCTTTGTGTAACAAGAAGGCCTATGGACAGAGATTACTGGCATTTACTCTGATCCTGTTTCCTAAACATGCACAAGGTGTTTAAGTACTGTTGGTTAAGTACCATGCCACACTTCTATCTAACTGAGGATGCACACAGCAGGGACAATAGAAATCAGATGGTTGTGAACACCACTAACCCATGAGCTGATATTAGGTTGATGCAATTACTTTTGCACCGACCTAATAGAAGCCGGGGTGGGGTGGGGCGCAAATTTCTGATTCATCTCAGCATCCCCAGCACTTAACAGTGTCTGTCACTGGTAGGGGCTCATTAAACGTATGTTTACAGTTGAGGAAGAAAAACTTTATCTGAGGTGAGTGAGCCCGCTCTAAATTACTAGGCCCAGAGAGGCATTAAGATGAAACAGCAGTCCTCTTTCTAGACTAAATGTCGCCACCAAGAGCTATAAATTAACCTAACAATGCCACGTGCTGGACACCATAACTCACATCCTAGAGTTCAACAATGTATCGCCAATCACTAATCAATGTTATTACTGTAAAGCTATGAGGATTCCTGGTAAACAACTTTTGCAATCAGATCCTCTTTGATTCTTCTTCTTTTTTCTTTAAAAACTAGAGCCTCGGCCGGGCACAGTGGCTCACACCTGTAATCCCAGCACTTTGGGAGGCCTAGGTGGGCGGATCACAAGGTCAGGAGATCGTAGCCATCCTGGCTAACATGGTGAAAGCCCGTCTCTACTAAAAATACAAAAAGAAATTAGCCGGGCGTGGTGGTGGGCACCTGTAGTCCCAGCTACTCGGGAGGCTGAGGCAGGAGAATGGTGTGAACCTGGGAGGCGGAACTTGCAGTGAGCCGAGATCGCGCGTCTGTACTCCAGCCTGGGCGACAGAGCAAAACTCCGTCTCAAAAAAACAAAACAAAACAAAACAAAACTCCAGCCACCCCTTTGTTCTCTAGAGTGGTTTCCAATGTAGTCTGGAAGTGTTCCCAGGCTGCAGTCTTCAATCTTGGCCTAAACTCTCTACCCATATCAATTTCACCTCTGTTTCTTTCTTTAGGTCAACACTATTGTCATTGAAATCTGGAAAAATAAAAGCCAGGGGGCAGGTTTTCAGCAAAAGTGTATTGACAAGTGTGAAGTATTCTCCTTGCACACACTGCAGGCCATGGTCACAGAGGAGGCAGGTGCATAGGTGGTGCTTGGCCAGTGGAACTGAGCTATTGGCACATAATATCTACCCAGCCAGCCTGGAATGTTCCTCACTGTATTCCTTTGGGCGACAGTGTGATGGACTGCAAGTGAATTAGCTACTATATTGCAGGTGGTTAGTTGATTTGAATAACCATTAACGCTTTAGATTGCCATTAACTTTTTATCACCCATTATCACCTTGGTGTCAATTACTAATCAAAGACCAGGACCCTGAGGTAAAGGAACAGGAAGGACAGCTATGGAGCTGGCAGGATGAAAGCAGAGGGTAGGTAGGAGCGGTGGGTAGGAGCTGGGCCTCCCTGATCTGAGTGGCCAGTTTCTAAATACCTGGGGCTGGGAAAGAAGAAGTGGAGGTGGAGACACACAGCACCAAGCAGGGCCATCCCCTCGCCATCTGCACAGGCTCAGTCTAAGGTGGGAATTAGAGCCTATTTTGCAATGTTGGCTCACACAGAGCATGATCAACCAGATTTCAAATCATAGCCCTTTGCTAAGAACAATGAATTTATTTCCATGAATCTCCTTCCTTAAATCTTTACTGCAGGATGAAATAGAAAGCATTTTAACTTGAGCATCTCATCTTCCCTTCCAGCTTCCTCTCTCCACTCCCCTTAATGCCTCAACCTCACAGCCCACAGAAAATGATCTAGTGCTTCCAAGTGCCCCATAATTAGTCCTGCCTTCCTGATGTGTCTCCCTTATCATCTCTTGTACACAGAATGGGATGGCAAATTTTAAGTGTCAACATGATTGGGCTATAGGTTGCCCAGATATTTGGTTAAATATGATTTCTGAGTGTGCCTGTGAGGGTTTCTGGATGAGATTCATACTTGAATTGTTAGACTGAGCAAAGCAGAGTTCCTTCTCCAATATGGGTGGACTTCAGCCAATCTTTTGAAAACCTGAACAGAATCAAAGGCTGAGTGAGAAGGAATTCTTTCTCTCTGCCTGTCTTTGAGCTGGGACATCAGTCTTCTCCTGCCTTTGGACTAGGACCAGGACTGGAACTTACACCGCAAACTTTCCTGGTTCTCATGCCTTTAAACTCAGACTCAAATTTATACCATCAGCAATCCTGTGTGTTCAGTTTGCTGGCTGCAGATCTTAGACTTTTCAGCCTTTATAAGTGTCTCTCTCTCTCTGCCTCTGTCTCTCTCTTTCACACACACACACACACACACACACACACACACAGTTTATATCTATGGCTTCCAATTGATTGGAGAACCAGCAGACCACTGGTGATGGCAGGGCTGACCCTGCCTTCCTCCTAACCCTGATAGCAGTGGCTGATTATTTTCAATCTGCAGACTTAGCCTGGTCTACATAGAGAATAAACTAATCCAATGATAAACCAAACCAGCATCTAGTTAGACTTATGACGGTTGAACACTTTCATCTCCCAGTGACTTGGAGATTTTCTTCTACCACATCAAAGCTTGGCTTTCTTCCAGGCTCGTATTCCAGTTCCATTATGACTCAGGGGCCTAACTTGGGCCCTTTATTCAGTATCCCCAAGTTTGGGTGCTGATCCTTGCTTTTAGACATTCCTAGTCCCTATGTCCCCACTCTTAAACCTGGGCTAATTCATCTCTGCTTGGAGAGATCACCGAAATGGGATTTTTCTATGTGGATCTTCTGTAAACAATGTTCACAGCCTTCTTGAGTTAACCCTTGGATTGACATTAGATTCTAGTCCCTGGTTGCAACCCTAGAATAACCAATTTCTGGACAATCCACTATTTCTACTCCAGCTCCACACAATCCTGTAGCTTTTCCTGGCTTCCTATCCCAGTGTAGCCAAAGATCTGGCTTTATCAATGTATTGTCATATTGGAATTAGATTTAGGGAAATTTCATTTTCTTATATTCCCAGAAAGCTTAAAGGAACATATAGATTTGGCTGAGGAGAATTTGTTTTCTCATGGGAGAAAGCTCAGGGGTGAGAATGGACTCTTGCTTTTTTGTGTCATTTTGTTAGCATGTTTGTTACAGAGCTATAATTACATGCAGGAAAATGCACAGATCTCAAGTGTACAGTTCAAGGAATTTTGGTCTATCTATGTAACTAATACCTCAATACCCCATGTAACGAAGACCTCAATCAGGATATAGAGTATTGACATCATTCAAAATTTCCCATCCTTTCCTTTCTACTCCCTACCACTCCTCTGTACACCCAAAAGGCTATCATTATTCTAATTTCTATTTTCATGGACTAGTTTTGCTTTAGGTTGAGCTTCATGTAAACGTTATCACACATAAGTACAATTTTTGCATCTGGCTTTAAAATTTATGATGTTTTTGAGACTTACATATGTTGTGTTGCGTATTATTAGTCCATTCTTAGTTGCTGAGATACATCTTATTATATCACTATGTTACAATTTAATTATCCACTCACCTGTTGTGGACATTTGGGTGATTTCCAATATTTTACTATTATGAATAACACTGCAATAAATGCTCTCACACAAGTCCTTTTGCAGATATATGGTGTTACTTGTTTTGGTAAACATCTAGGAGAATTCCTGAATCACAATAAATTCCCAAATGGTTTTCCACGGTGATTGTACTATTTTATACCTCTACCAACTACGTATGAAACTTCCAGCTGTAAAACATCTTCTTCAACTATTAATTTTATCAAAAACAAAAACAAAAACAAAAAAACCAAAAAACAAAACCAAGCTTCTGGACTTGTTAATCTTTTGAATGTCTTTTCATGTCTCAATCTCCTTCAGCTCAGCTCTGATTTTGGTTATTTTGTGTTCTGCTAGCATTGGGATTTGTTTGCTCTTAGTTCTCTAGTTCTTTTAGTTGTGATGTTAGATTATTAATTTGAGATCTAACTTTTTGATGTGGGCATTTAGTTCTATAAATTTCCCCCTTAATACTGCCTTAGCTGTGTCCCAAAGATTCTGGTATGTTGTATCTTTGTTCTCATTAGTTTCAAATAACTTCTTGATTTCTACCTTAATTTCATTATTTACCTAAAAGTTATTCAGGAGCAAGTTATTCAATTTCAATGTAATTCTGTGGTTTTGAGTACATTTCTTAGTCTTGATTTCCAATTTGATTGCTCTGTGGTCCGACAGGTTATTATTATTCCAGTTCTTCTGTATTTGCCAAGGGGCATTTTACTTCCCATGATGTCATCAATTTTACAGTATGTGCCCTGTGGCAATGAAAAGAATGCATATTCTGTTGTTTGGGGGTGGAAAGTTCTGTGGGTGTCTATCAAGTCCATTTGATCTAGTACTGAGTTCAGGTCCTGAACATCTTTGTTAATTTTCTGTCTCAATGATCTATCTAATGTGGTCAGTGGGGTATTAAAGTCTCTCATGTTAGCAAGTGTGTAGTAGAATCTCATTTTGACTTTTAATTTTCATTTCACTGGTGATTAAAAATGTTGAGCATCTTTTTATGTGCTTATTAATAGTATATACTTTTGTATGTACTAATAGTATAAATAAGATTTTTCTATATTCTATTTGTGTATACAAGTTTTTTTGTATCTTTTCTCTGTTTTAATTATCTTTTTATTATTGATTTGTAGGATTGTTTTATATATTCTAAATAAAAGGTCTATATTACTATTTTTTTTCCTCCTAGTCTATGGCTTCCTTTTTTTGTTTTTGTTTTGTTTTTCCTTTCATTTTTTAATTGTCATTTTTGTTGAGAAAAAGTTAATTTTGACAAAATTTAGTTAATTGTTTTATTTTTCTTTTAAGAGCTTTTATTATTCTGAGGAATCTTTGGCTACCCCTAGGTTACAAAATTATTATCCTGTGTTTTTGTCTGGAGATAGTTTTTGTCTTTACATAATCTGTCTATAATCCATCTCCAGTTAATTTTTTTGTATAATGTGAGGTCTAGGTCAAACTCATTTTTTTCTTATATAGGTATCAAGTTGACCTAGAACTGTTCAATAAAAAGACATTTTTCCCCATCGAATTGAATCATCACTTTTGTTAAAAATAATTTGACCTCTTATGCATGAATCTATTTCAGTTTTACTGATCAATTTGCCTACACAAATGTGATTATCTCATTGTCATGGTTATTACAGCTTATTAGTCATTGTTAAAATCAGGTAGTATTTATCTTCCAGCTGTTTCATTTTTATGAATATCTTGAACGTTATTTTGAAATTCTATATAAACTTTAGTATCAGAATATTTTATAAAAATATTTTCTAGGATTTCGCTTGGCACTGTTTGGAGTCTACAGATCAATTTGCAGAGGACTGACATTTTCATAATGTTGTGTCATTCAGCTCATGAGCATGGTATATCTTTCTATTATTTAAGTAGTATGTAATTTATGTCAGCAACATTTTGTTGCTTTATAGAGGTCTTTTACATCTTTTCTTAAATTCGTTTTCAACAATTTTGTGGTTTTGATGCTATTATAGTGTTAATTTTTCATTTTTTCTATTGCAGGTTGCTAGTATATACAACATAATTGGTTTTTGTATATTGATCGTGTATTCTTAGATGTTGCTGAATTTACTTATTAGATCCAGTAGTTTTTATATTCGTTTTGTTTTCTTGGAAGATTCTTTTGGATTTTCTGTATATACAATTATGTCATCTGCAAAAGGCATATTTTACTTCTTAACAATGGTTGTATCTTTTTACTTTTTCTTGCCTAATTTCATTGGATAGGATCTCTAGTAATATGTTGAATAGAACTGGTAAGAGTAAACATCATGCCTCATTTCTAATCTTAAACACTTTTAATATTTTTCTATTAAAATGATGATAGTTGCAGGTTTTTCATAAATGTCCTTTATAAAATTGAGGAAATTCCCTTTTATTTTTTATTTATTATAAATGAGTGTTGAACATTTTGTGTACACTTATGCATGTATTGAAATGATCTTATGTGCTTCCTTCTTTTTTTGTTGTTGGTATGATCAATTACATTCATTGGTTTTCAACTATTAAATTAACCTGACATTCTCAGAATAACTTTCTGTTTGTTGGATATATTAGACTTCTTATATAATGCTACAAGTTGATTTGCTAACAATTAAGAATTTTTATTTCATCTATATGTTCACAAGGGATATTAGTGTTTAATTTTATTTTCTTGTAAGGCCCTTATGAGGTTTTGTTATTACAGTGGCCTCATAAAATGAATTGGAAAATTACTCCTCCTCTAGCTTTTGTGAAAAAGTTTGTGTAATACAGGTATTTCTTTGTAAAACATTTATTTGAATTTACAGAATAGCCAGTTGGGCCAGAAATTTTCATTGTGGGATTTTAAATTATTACTTCAATTTCTCTGTAGATCTAGGCTTATCCTGGTTGCTCTCTTTTTGTCAGTTTTGGTAAGTTTTGTTTTAAAGCAAGACTTTTCATATTTGTTAACTTTTTTTTAGCACACAGTTGTATATAATGTCCCCATATTCTATCAATATTTGTAGTTTTTTTGGTGATATTCCTTTTTTAAATTTCTGATTTTGTTATTTTTTTTCCTTGATCTGTCTTCTTAGGGATATTTAACTTTCTTAACCTAATTCAAATAACTGAGTTAAATTTCTTAAGTTTTTTTCCCTAAGTTTTGTCTCTCTTCTATTTCATTGATTTCCACTCTATAATTTTTAATTTTTATAATCTTCTTCTTCTACATACTTTGGTTCAATTTGCTCTTTTTATTCCATTTTACTAAGGTGAAAACTTCCATCAGTGATTTTAGACTTCTGTTATTTTCTAACAGAAATAATTTAAAATACAGACTTGCTTCTTAGCAGCACATTAGCTGGATTCTACATATTTTAATATGTTACATTTTATTATTGTTCAGTTCAAATTTTTTTTACTTTTTCATGTATGTTTATTTTCTATCGCTGCTGTAACTGTCACAAATTTAGTAGTTTAAGACAATACAAATTTATTTTCTTACAGTTCTGGAGGTCAGCATCTGAAATCAGTGTCATTGGTCTAAAATCAAAGTGTAGGCAGGCCAGCACTCATTCTAGAGACTCCAGTAAATAATTCATTCCCTTGCCATTTCCAGCTTTGACAAGACGCCTGCATTCCTTGGCCTGTAGCCCCTTCCTCCATTTTTGAAGCCAACGGTCTACCATCTTCTCTTCTCTTCTGATATTTGCTTCTGTTCTTACATCTTCTCTTTCTGACTCTGACCCTTCTGCCTCCCTTTTAAAGGTCCTTTGTTGTTACATTGGGCCCAGCTGGATGATATAAGATAATCTCTCTAGCACAATACACTTAATCCATAAAATTATTTTTATCACATAAGACGATGTATTCTGGGTTTCAAGAATTAAGACATAGACCTCTTTGCCAGGCCATTATTCCAGCTACACTCTATTTCATGCCATACTCCTTTTTTCTCTTGTGAGTTCAAAATACTTCCTAATTTCCCTTGTGGCTCTATTAGAAGTATGTTATTTTGAAAAACTTAGCTACTAACACAAATACCTGCATTATTTGAAGATCTGCTTCTATTTAATGTTTCATACCTTGATTTTCAGATCCTTTTCTCTGCTTCTTTCCATGGCTAGAAAATTTTATTATGTAACAGAATCATTGATGAGACATTTTAGAAGTTTATATTTAGCTGGGTTAATTCTGAAGAGAAAAATACATTTAAAGTTTAAAAATATACTTTTTAATAAACTGAAGTTATATTACTAACTGAGGTTATGTTTCTAAATATTAGACATAGACAGTTTGAGATAGATGGAGATTCTACCTCAATAAGGAAATCTACTAGAAATTATCTTCCAAGATCAATTATCTTCCAGGATCAATTCTAAATCTATTATATTTTACTTCTGCGTTGTCTAATGTGTGAACCTTCTTGGGTGCTGTCAAACCCATGATGTGTATCAAAGTAGCTAGCTATCTTGATGCTCAGAAAGCCTGGTTGTCAGTCCAAGTGGAGGTTCACCAACTAGATAGAGGAGAAAGGAATGCATGTGTCTATCTAAAAATACTGTTAATGTAATGAAAATAATGGCCTTTAAAAGTGAGATTCTGGGGAATTTCACAGACAGCATCTGGTCTAGGTGAGGTAGTCCAGGTTATCACTTTAGAATAATGGAATGAAGACTATTTTAAAGTTATCAAGTGAATCTGTTAGTTTTTATTGCATCCAAAGCATCTGAAAACTTAGAGGCTTAAAATAACAGTCTTTTCTTCACTCGTGATTTTGCAGACCACAAATCAGTCAGTGGGATAGAACTTATTCATGGGCCTGGTAAAAATTAAGATACCAGAAAGTCTTATTTATCTATCATATTCTCTAAGCTGACTTTGAGGTTGGGAAGAAATATTAGGTTGGTGCAAAAGCAATTGCAGCGTTTGCCATTACTTTCAATAGCAAAAACCACGATGACTTTTGCACCAGCCTAATAAACACAGACTCACAAATATCACTGATCGATATAGTTCTGACTAAAAATTTACAAATACTTATGGGGTCCTGCAGTATATATATTTTGGCTGCACCTCTAAATTCACCTTTCACCTTGTCTGGCATGCCTAGGAGACCAGCCTTGATGAGTTACTGTCTAGCTAAGGTGTCCATCTGTACCAGTTTGACCAGTTGGAGCACTGAAAGTTCTGCAACTCAAGAAATTTCTGAGTTTCTGACATACTGGGACTAATGGTCACCTTATTCCTTGCCTGCTCCTGCCTTGTTGGGTTTGGCCATTAGAAGCCACCAGCAGGAGATTAGAGGTTGGGAGCAGATTAAAATTGTTTTTTTGTTTTGTTTTGTTTTTTCCTGGGCTCCCTCCCTGCTGAGTCACTGCTGGTTGACCCTTACTTTTTACCAAAGCCATGGTTTCTGTTGAGTGGCCTTCTCCAAATAGCTGCCCTTCCAAGGTTCTGCCAGCCACCACCTGTTCCTTCAGGCCCAGAGGTTGCAATGGCTCCTCTGAGCTGGTAGACCTGGGATGCTTCGCTTTCCCATTTGCTTCCTCAAATCACCTGCAGATCTTTGCACCTCTCCCCTTATTAAATTCACCTCAAATTTGCGAAAAATGCTACTCATTTTCAGATGAGATCTGATTGACGCTGGTGCAGCCTCCTGAGACCTGTGCTTGATACTGTGAGAGATATAAGAAAGGTCTAAAATATGGTTCCTACTGACAGCCCAGTGGGAGGAAATAATTTGTAATAAAGTCATTAGAAAGCAATGGAACAACATCCAAGCCTCAGTTCTCTTCAGCTGTGAAATAAGGGGACTGAACTCAAAACATGCTTTAAGAGATTCCACAAAGCAAGAAAATATTGCCTTCCAAAATGTTTATCTCACTAATCATCTTTATCACTGTCTCACTCGTATTTTATTAAACATAAAAAAAAATTCAAGGTAGTTTCTGGCCCCAACACAATGACTGCTCACTTCTTAATAAAGTGCTAGGTTAAATACAATGTACAGGGCTATCCAAGGAGAGTAGCATGCAGAGCTGGCCTGACATTTTCATGGATGGTGTCAATGACTTTAAAGATGGGTAGTCTGCAATACAGAGAAGCCAAAGGGGTGAGGACATTCCAGGTTTAAGGCATGACTATAAATTAAAGCAAGACATGAAAGAAAGCCTTGTGGAAGGCAAAGAGTCAATGGAGAGGCTGATGTGATTTGTTCAGGATAGAATATCATGGGACTGGATTTCAGGAGCCTCCAATGCCAGGACAGTTTGAGAGGCATAGGTGTCCTGTTTTCCTAGGTCAAGCAGGAAAAACAAGACATTCTAAGAGTATAAGATGTTAACATAATCTTCTCCCTTCTTAAATGGAATTTTCTTTCATTGTGTGTGTTTGGTGAATTCAGATAAAAATAATAGGAGGTCACAGCTCATATGTTCCCATGGAAGCAGAGAAGATCTACAGAAGATGAGACTCCCAGACGGGTGTGTTATTTTTACCAGACCCAGTTTGGGGAGCCATTCCTTGAAGGGAGACCTCAATATTAAGGTGATTTTTCAAATCTGTGACCTTCAAAGGTCCTGGGTCTATCATTTAGAAAGACCCTACTAATCTCTACCTGTTTCATAGCAGAGGATTTCCAAAGCAGGGAGGTTCCCTTGAGGGAGTTATTTGGTAACTGTTTACACATTTGCACAATTAACATGCCATTTAGGTGTAAATAGAAATCAGCCCAGGGAAACACATAATTAAGTAGCAGCAACGTGCGGTGGGTTTTAAAAGGGTCCACCAGTGAGAGGTTAACCCTCATCCTTGTACAACACCAAATGCATTAACAGCCATGCCAGACAGAGGCCTGTGGAATCGCCAAGCTCCCAGAATGCAGCGGGGAGGCCAGCACTGTGGAGTTATTCCCAGGTGACACTGTTTGAATGTCATTTAAAGTTCACTTTCATTATTTTAATTGTCACTGTAAAAATTTCCCATTCAGGACTGATTATGTTCTAAGGGAAATCAGAACTTAAATTCCAATCAATCATAATTGAACGTGTTGTTGCAAGTGGCATATAAAGCTGTACCTCGGAAGTGATTAAGACAAGTATTAGTTACTTGTGAAAAGCTGCAGGGAGATTTAGGAGCAGACAGGATTAATTCTGAATAATTTGCATGGCCAAAGCTATCAGACAAGGGATAGAAGTGTTTTACAGGTGCCTCTGCAAGCCCAGAGGAGGGCAGGGCTGCTGCTTGGAGCTCAGCTAGGAATCAGCAGGAACATGAATGGCAAGAGGCAGCTGCCTTGCTTCAAGGCTTGGACTTCATTAGGCGACCTGGGATCTGGTCTTAGATCTTGTGGTTACCGGCTAAGTGTAGGGAAGGCACCCAACTTCTTTGAGTCTCAGTATCTCCCTCTGTAAAATTTCTGCCCTAGAAATTTTAGAACAAATTATCTTTTAATTACGAACATGCAAAAGCTCTTTGTAAAGCTCTAAGATGCTCTTGAGTGCTAACTTCAATTGTGATCAAATGTTGGCTACACAACAGGGATGACCTTGGTCCAGAGGTGGATCAGCTAAGCTCCATTAGGATGGAAAAAGGATGGCACCAGTGTGGCCCTCAGGGGAGCAAGCCCAAGACAATGTGTCTCATTAAGGAGTCATTAGGTAACAGGGTCAGGGTCCTAGCCAAGGGTGGTCACCACTCTTCCTGCCTGTGTCCTTTTCTCCCCCTCCCCGCCCAGGTCCAGCTGTGCACATGGACACAGGCTTGAGGGGCTAGCCTTGGATTATTTCACTGCATACAACTGGGAATTAGGCATAGAGTATCTTGTCACAGAACTGGCATAAAACTCAAGTCCCCTGAACAGAAGGGAAATGAAACTCACAGGCTTTGGAATTAGGCAGAGGTATTTGTTAAATTTCTTAATCTCGTAGGCCCAATATTTGCATCTGGAAAACAGGGATGAGAGGTACCTCATGGTACTGTAGAAGGATAAACCCAGTACTTAACAAGCTGCAAGCTCTCACAAATTGTAGCAATCATTGCAACCCTCAACTCATCAACAAAATTTTAGGATTTGTTCAAGGATTTAAAAATGAAAGCCAAAGGCCAGCGCCCCTGGTTTCTGCTTCCCAGAAGGTTTTTGACTGATGAAGTGGCCATGAGCCTACAGTCCCTTGGGTCTGAACCTAGACCCAGGGGTGTAGAAGGGGAGAGTGACAAGCTGTTAACAGTTCTGACTTCTTGCTCTACATTCCAGTGTCAGTGGCTCTTCTTACGGCAGGAGGCAGGACACAGAACAGGAAATAACTTCCCTACCTAAGAGGCACCAACAGCCTTTCATTCCGGAACCTCCCAGAAAGACGAGAACCCCAAGGTCTTTCCTCCCCCTACCTTCACATATAAACCAATTTTCTTGGAAAGAAAAGTCAAGGGAAATGTTAGGAACCTAATAAAGGTCTCTGAAAACAATGTTCCTCCATTTGAAAAATAAACTATGTCTTTAAATGCATTAACTCTGTGGGGAAATAAATGTAATAAACCAAATTCAATCCCTGACAAAATTTGTTTTCTTATCTATGTAAAATCAATATACTTGTTGCAATTATGTCTTTCAATAAATCCTCCCAAAGTCTTATTTTCTCATAAGATTTCCTGCCGCACTTAGATTCATTGCATTTATTTTCCATCTAGAGAAATTGTTTCTTGCATTTTTGAGCCATCGAGTTTCCTTCAAAGACACTGAACCGCACCCTCTGCCCCTCTTAGCTGCAGCTCCCTTCTGCAAGGGCTGTTTAGGCGACAATTACTTTAATTGGATTGCAGTGTGAGGCTGGGATTTGCACTGATGATAACAGTCCTCTTGGGTGGAGGGGTGAATTTTCCAGCCAGAACTGGCCTCTGCCTGCTCCTCCTTTCCATAGTTCTCACGGTGCAATGTGGGAAACTGTAGTTCTTTCCTCTCTAGGATATGAGCATGTGGCCATTTTATTAGGGGATGGATAGTGCTGCTGCAGTGAATTCTTCAAATAGGAATATTTATTTTATTTTGCAATGGATATGTGTGTGCTCTTGGGTCTATCTCTGCCAAGCCTAAAGGAGTTGGATCGCAGCATGCTAAAGCCCAGACAATCTCAGAGAAGAGTCTGTGTACCCGTTCCACCAGGCCCTGGTGTGGAGGTAATCCCACAAATAAGGTGTGCTAGCAGCTCCCCTGATACCTGCACACAGTAGGTCCTCACTAAAGAGATCGCTTCCCTCTCTCTTATGGCGGAGAGCAGGAAAATGATTCAGAGAAGACTCGTCCCAGTATCAGCACTGCACTTGGATTGGTGATTCCAGATACAATGTCACATGTTATGCAGTTTTGACACCGGTCTCCAGGCAGCTTCATGACTTTCTTTTCTCTCCTAATTGCCCAGGTCAGGTTACAGAGGCAGAGCCCTGTCTCTCAGCATCTCCTACATTCTCCCCAGATATGTTTTCCACAGGTCCTTCCTTCCCTCCCCCACTCCCACCCGATTCTCTCCTAGGGACTTGCCCCAGTCTCAGAGGAGGGAGCCAGAGCTGGCCCAGCCCTCCCCACCTACCCACTGCACTCCATGGCACATGCAAATCGGCTGCTGGTTTCAATGATTCCAGAGTGACTGCAAAGACACAGAGCAAGCACTTGAACCATCTCTCTCTTGCCAAATGCTGCTGATAGTGACAGGACAGTAAAAGGCCACCAGGCCAGAGAAGCCCAGCAGGAAGCAGTACAGCTTGAGGAGCGGAGGAGACAGGAGATGAACGAGCTACCAGAGACACTGGAGAGACGGGAGACTTTGACTTATTTATTAAGCTAAATTATTTACACTGAGGAGTCAGCTGCTCTGAATAATTTATCTCGGGTTCCAAGTCCAAACGCCATGTTGAATGGGAATGGGTGACCCTAGCCAGTAAAAGAAGACTCAAAAGTATAAAAAGAGAGAGCGTGCTCAAGTGCTCAACCCTTCCTTGTCGACGTCTGTACCTCTGAGGGGAAGAGGAGACTGGCAGGGAAAGGGGCTCTGGAGGTGGCCTAATGTGCCACCCACTGCAAAGGAGGGCCACCTGGGCTGGGTGGCTGCTCTCCCATTCCTCTTTGCTGATTGGGGAGTATGACTCAGGCTGCCAGGGGCTACAAAGCCACCAGGCTACAGGGGACCAGGAGTGGCTTCCTAAGATGTGACGAGAAGCTACAGAGGACTCGAATCACATCCCACAATGATGAAGGGAGCTCAATTCAATATTTGTAAAACCCTGGGTGGGATCCCCCTCCTCACATAAGAATTTAGTAATTATCACTGGGAGGACATTTGCTATTCATCTCTTTTCAATTATTCACCAGCAGGAAAGGCCAGGAGTGCATGGAAACCCAAGCACGAGCAGTTAGCCAGGTCTTCCCCAGTGTGGGAGACCCCAGAATTTGCTGAAGACAGGACAACACAAAGGCACCAGGTGTCCCTCCTTCCAAACTCACCCAGGGCCTCTGAATCTACTGCCAGGAAAAGCCAGCTCGGTTTCAATGGAAATCTCACCATGCTTTTGGGCTTGTAACGTGGAAGTGGTCATTCTACCGTTGCTTCAAGATCCTTTGGGCCGGGCGCAGGGGCTCATGTCTGTAATCCCAGCACTTTGGGAGGCCAACGTGGGCGGATCACTGAAGGACAGGAGTTCAAGACCAGCCTGGCCAACATCGTGAAACCCTGTCTCTACTAAAAATATGAAAGTTAGCCAGGCACAGTGGCGCTTGCCTGTAATCTCAGCTACTCGGGAGAATCACTTGAACCCAGGAGGCGGAGGTTACAGTGAGCCGAGATTGTGCCACTGCACTCCAGCCTGGGCAAGAGAGCAAGACTCCATCTCCAAAAAATAAATAAAAATAAAAAAAATTAACTGAGTATTCCATTTCCTATTAAAGAAAAATGGAACTACATTCCCTGGATTGAGTCCTTTGTGTTACCAGAAAGTGGGTAAGGCCCCAGGCCCCAGCTTTGGAACTGAAAAGATTGGGTTGGATTTTTGACTCTGTTTAGGAGCTGAATGACCTGAGGCTGGTATGGCCTCCATGTCTACATCAACATAATGGCGATGACAATGTGTACCTCATTGGATTGTCTTTAGAATTAGTATGTAAAAAAGAGTCCTCACATAAGCAGTAGTCAGTATAATGGTGAAGATTACTGTTGTTCATTTTTACTCTCTTTAATATTCTTTATTGGCAGCATAGAAAACTCATCAAGATTTTTTTGAGTATCTGGCTCTCCTTACCACCCAGTGGAAGAAACAAACACTTTTAATTCCAGAAAAGCATGAATTTCTGGAATCCTTTCTATTTCTTCCATACTCCTCACACGGATCTATTTAATACAGCACCTGCTATCTTCCTGGTGTTGCATCAAAATTGTGCTTGTGAGATACATGGTATTACCCAGATTTTATAGTTGAGGATATTCAGATGCAGAAAGTCTTAGAGTGAAAAACACTGAGCAATGATAGCTTCTGTTATTAAGCCATGAAGATTTTGCCATTGAGTCTCAGAAAGGTGTGCATGAAGGTCATTTTTGAGTGGTGGGAATGGACTTCCACTAAGCCCTTCCCCTTCTATGCTCACTCCTTGTGAAAGGCCATGCTTACCAGATGGGACAGGCTCTTGTGTGGACAGTGTGGAGCTGGTGTCCACCCAGTGAGTTGGATGAACCAGCCCACAGGGTGGCTGAGCCTATAGCATAAGCTCACCCATCAGGACCTGAGAAGGAAATCAATGTCCCATTAAAATAACTCAAGGAGTATTTAATATAAAGACTATTTACAAAGATGTGGGCAGAATTTAGGGAAATCACTACAGATAGCCAGCCCCTCAAAGTGAGAGTTCTGACAGCCCCACCAGGCCTGAAGCGGCCAGGGAAGGAAGCCATTCCTGGAACCTGGAAAATGCTCTGTCTGGCAGGACATGAGACCTCTGTAGGAGGGATGGAGTCACCCACTGCCAACCCACAGGAAGGGAGCTAGAGTAGGAAATACACCTTCCTC